>NC_000008.11:41375254-41678284 GCF_000001405.40 Homo sapiens
GCCATGATTTAAATAGAGTAATTTTGCCTTAGGAATTACACACAGACACACAGCTACACACACACACATACACACAACACACACACATTCTGTCTCATGAGTCTGAAAACAGACCCATGCATACATGAAAACTTGATATATGACAGAGGTGGAATTATACATGCGTGGAAAACATAATCATTTAACAAAGGGTGACACCAATCTGGAAAAGAGAAACCACTTAATTCCCTACCAAAAAAAAAAAAATCATTTCCAAGTAAATTAAGGCCTACATGTGAAAAGTAACGTTTTTAGAAGGCAATATAGAAAATCTCTATGACTTTGTAGAAAACAAATCATAAGGAAAAGATTTGACCTCAGTAGAAGTTAAAATTTAATATCTTTTATGCATAAACCTATAAAGGGTTAAAATTAGCATTTATACATGGCTTTCAATTTAAGGAAAAAATGACAGTAGAGAAATGGCTAAAACACATGAGCAGGCAATATACAGAAGAGGAAAGGGAAATGATCAATAGACAGAAAAGAAATGCTCAATCTCACCAGTAACCCCAGAATTCTCAACTACAAGAGGGAGAAACGATCTCTTGTTCATCATATTGCAAAAGTTTGAAAACAAGTGTTGGTAAGAATTAGGGGGCGATCGGAACTCTCACTTAGCATGAGAAAGCAATTTGGAAATAGTAAGGGTAAAAATGTAGGTCTTCAACCCAGAATTTCTACTATTAAATATATATTCTACGAAAACTCTCACACACATATTGTACACAGAAACATGTACAAAAATGTTAATTGCAACAATGTTTATCACAGCAAAACACTGGGGAAAAAAATCCATCCACCAAATGAGTGGAAAAATAAATTATGACATATTTATTGAATTCATGTCTATTATACAGCAGTCAAATTAACTGGAGCTACATGTATCAACATTAGTAATTCTCAAAAGCATGCTGATTACCAAGAAAGGAAGTGGCAATATAACTACAAGATAATATGTACAGAAAATTTGAGAACATGCAAAACAATACATATTATTGGCACATTTGTATGTTATGATAGAATCAAAAGATGCTTGGAAGTTATGAACACAAAATTCAGTGTTCATCTGGGAAAGGAGAAAATGAAATCACAGAAGAATACACTGGAGGCTTCAAATCTATCAGAAGTGGTTTTAATGCTTTTTAAAACCTGAAGTAAACATAATAAAATGTTATGATCCGATTAAGCTGGGTGTTGGATAAATGGATGTTTGTATAATCTGTATTTTCACAAGAATCACTTCAGTCTGGGTATCATTAAGCTGCTATCAAACTGTGGCAGGACATACAGAAAGATCTGCCAATAATTCAAAATAGAATCAGGCAGGAAATAGATTTAAACATGCTGTGAAGTAAACTGGGCAGGAGGCTACAGATTTCATATCAGGCCAGAGGGTTAAGTAATGGTATATTTTAAACTCAAAAGAGATAAATCCTTTCCAAAAGATAAGGACTTGGGATCCCTGTTTTTAATGACTATTAAAAACTAAGTCAATGTTTCGCTGAGCGGCTCCAGGAGGGTCAGATCTAGTGTAGGACCCAAAATCTCTGGCCCATAATTTTTTTTCTGAAATCTCTCCCCCAATTTGATTGGGGTAATAACTCTTATTGGCTTGGGATGGTAAAATTGTTTTCCTCATGGGTGTCTTTTAACCCTAGGACATTTTTGAATTAGATACAAAGATGAAGAAATAAATCAAACTACATATATATTAATACTTCTGTGTTACATTCAGGAATCTGTTTGGATAATCATTGGAACAACGTGTGTATATTTGGTATCTAAAGTGACTGTAAAGAGGGCTGGGCACGGTGGCTCAGGCCCATAATCCCAGCACTTTGGGAGGCTGAGGAGGCCAGGTCACTTAAGCCTAGGAGTTTGAGACCAATCTGGGCAACATAGAGAGACCCCCCACATCTCTATAAAAAAATACAAAAATTAGCTGGGTATGGTGGTGTACACCTGTGGCCCCAGGTAGGGAGGCTGAGGCAGGAAGTTTGCCTGAGCCTGGGAGGCAGAGGTTGCAGTGAGCCGAGACTGCAGCACTGCACCCCAGCATGGGCAATAGAGCCCGATCTTGTCTCCAGAAAAAAGAAAGAAAGAAAGAAAGTGACTGTAGAGATTTTGGGGGGACATAAGATAATCATAAAGATTAGAGCTGTGATTCCATTTTACAACATGCATTTGAGTAATTGATTTTATCATTGCAAGTTGAAAGGTATGAGACTTTAGCTAATTTTTTAAACTACACTGAATTTTTTTAAAGATTTGTCATATTTATCAATTTGTTTTTATCACACTTAATAGAATTGTTCAAGAACTTGGGAAGGCTATTCTTGTTAGGGGCATTTGAAGTGCTGAAAAGAAAAGCAATTATGCTAAACTTATAAATACAGTTTTAATGATTGAAGGAATTTAATTAACTGAGTTGTAAACAGAACTGATTGTTTAAGGGGATATGTTCTATTCACCTTGCATTAATTCAACTTTAATCAAAGGAAAATTTAAAATTTTTGCATGTATTTTACCAATTTTATGAATAGGTTTGTAACTTGAACTTAAAAGATTAAGAAAAATCTATTTTTAATTTATAATTTTAATAAGTCAAGTACTAATGTTAACATCCTGAAACTAATCTTCTGTGTACAAATGACTCCCTTTAGGAACACTCAAAAGCTCCAGTTATATTCTGTAATTGTGGTCATAATAAAAAAAAATTCCCTCTCAATTCTTTTCTTAAATAAAAGAAACATTCAGGTTATCTGTAAATAAAACTATAAAATTTATTGGAAAAGTTTTAAAATCTTGAATATCAAGAGAAATAGCATCCTAGCTGAAAAATTCAGTATGAAACCTACTGAGTTTTTTGTGTTTTGTTTTGTTTTGTTTTGTTTTTTGAGATGGAGTCTCACTCTGTCACCCAGGCTGGAGTGCAGTGGCATGATCTTGGCTCACTGCAACCTCCGCCTCCCGGGTTCAAGCGATTCTCCTGCCTCAGCCTCCTGAGTAGCTGGGACTATAGGCGCCTGCCACCACGCCCAGCTAATTTTTGTATTTTTAGTAGAGACAGGGTTTCACCCTGTTGGCCAGGTTGGTCTCAAACTCCTGACCTCAAGTGATCCGCCCGCCTCAGCCTCCCAAAGTGCTGGGATTACAGGCATGAGCCACCACGCCTGGCCAAGATTTTTTTTTTTAATAGCAAAATTATCCTAAGGTACATCCCAAAAATAAAGAATCACTAATTACTAAAAATGTTTGAAAAAGAAAATTAGTAAGAAGTGACTTGCTCTGCCAAATATTAACAAGTATCATAAATCTCTATTACTCTAAAAGGATGGTTCAAAATAAAAAAAATAAAAAATAAATAAAATAAAAGGATGGTACTGGAACCATAATAGGTAAGCAAACCAAAGAACCTAAAAGAAAGCTCAGAAATAAATCTGTGTGTATCTGTTACTGAAAGCACCTCTATTTGTAAATATTGAATAAAACAAAGGTATATTTTGGGATGCTTCCTTCCTACTCATAATATTTCCTTTCAGGTGGAGGAGGCTGCACTGCAGCCACCTCTCCAGCCTCTTCTCACCCCTTACTCACTCCTCTCTGGAGAGAGCAAGTGACATGGATCTAAAAGTTTTGGGGGAAGATGCAATGTGCTTATCCTAACTCTGCTCTTCCCTTACTTGGGAGGGAGCTGCACATGGGGAGCAGGCACTGTTCCCATTCCAGGGGCAGGCTCCCCTTGCACACCAGGAGGGCTGCCTGGTCTCATTTTCCACTCATGGAGTGGGTTTATCTGCCAGACGCAGCGCCCATCAGCAGAAGCTTTGGGCATTCTCCAGTTTAACCTTTATCAGTAATAAAAGACTGGCCTTCATCATCCCAATTTCGTCAGGACCCATGTGAAGAAGAAAAATGCCTTCCAGAAACCCTCATGGTAGGTGCATGGGCCAAAAGCATTTAGGGAAGAAATCTTGTTCCCTTTCGACACTTTGAGTCCAACCAGAAAGGCAACTAAAACTAAGTATGCTTGATTGTTTTCCCCAACTTACTAAATAAAAAAGTCACTCAACCTCTTCAGGAGTGGAGTGAGGAAGTGGATGGAGAGAAATCAGAAGTACCATACCAATGGCGTTCCTTCACCTGGGAGGAAATATCTAGAATAGATAATAGCAATTTCTCTATCATGCAATATTCCATCTTAATGAGAAGAGGATTTTTTTTTTTTTTTTGAGACAGAGTCTGGCTTTGTCGCCCAGGCTAGAGTGCAGTGGCACGATCTTGACTCACTGTACCCTCCACCTCCCGGGTTCAAGTGATTCTCCTGTCTCAGCCTCCTGAGTAGCTGGGATTACAGGCACCTGCCACCGCGCCTAGCTAAATTTTGTATTTTTAGTAGAGACAGTGTTTCACCATGTTGGCCAGGCTGGTCTCAAACTCCTGACCTCAGATGATCTGCCCACCTCGGTCTCCCAAAGTTCTGGGATTACAGGCGTGAGCCACTGCGCCCAGCCCAGAGGATGTTTTAATCAATAAAATAGTGCCAGGGAAATTGGTTAACTAATTGATAAAAACAAAGTTTAATTCCTACCTCACATCATACATTCAAGTAAGTTACACATGGATTAAAGTATTAAATGGGAGGCAACTGTGCCACAAATTGATAAACATATAAGTAAATATTTACCAAACCCAGGGTTAGAAAAGGAATTTCTAAGCATTAAGGCAAAAGAAAGACAAATTAAAAGACTAAGAATTATTATATCAAAATGTAAAACTTTTGTATGTAAAGAAATAACATTTATCAAATGAAAAATCAAGTTACTGGGTTCCATGAGGACCCAGCAGAGACTGAAGGAGAGAAAGAGTAGAAGATCAGAAGGAGCTCTCAGGGAGTAGGATCTAGGGAGGATGCTAATTTCACTTCTGAAGTCATAGAGAAGATAAGACAACTATCACAAAACCTGTAGTACTACTGTTCAAATCTGCTTCCAGTAGCAGTGGAGTGAAGTCATTGGTGAATCCTTTCCTAGACAATAACGAAATGCAGACAAATTCTTTTTTTTTTTTTTTGACAGAGTCTCACTCTTTATCACCCAGGCTGGAGTTCAGTGGCATGACCTCGGCTCACTGCAACCTCCACCCCCCAGGTTCAAGCAATTCTCCTGCCTCAGCCTCTCCAGTAGCTGGGATTACAGGCACCCACCACTATGCACGGCTAATTTTTGTATTTTTAGTGGAGACGGGATTTCACCACATTGGCCAGGCTGGTCTCAAATTCCTGACCTCAAGTGATCCACCTGCCTTGGCCTCCCAAAGTGCTGGAATTACAGGTGTGAGCCAACACACCTGGCCAACAAATTCTTTTTTTAATAACCAACTATTTGAAGAAACTAGTAGATAGAAGTCAGAGAACAGCCTACCCTTAAATGACTGTAACTGTTTCCAGTAAAAATTGCAAGTTTATGGTTGTTGATTTTGTGGGGTGGGGAGTTGTTTGCTTGTTTTCTGCCTCAGAACATTCCCTAACCCTCACAGCTATAGCAGAAGAAATAAATCAACCTTACCAATTCAAGATGGCAGAGGAAGGAGTGCAAGAGTGGTAGAAGAGGAAATTTAGGGTTAAAATCCTGGAAGTGAGAAAATTGAAGAAAGTGTGAGACCAAAAATCTGAGTGCATACTATACCCCAAAGCCCTGGATGATGACAAAACTATGGATGGATGTGGAGGAAGGGCAGGGTACCTAAGAAAAGCAAACAGAAACCAGAAAGGCATTTACCCTTGAAAGACAGAGCTGTATTAGATGAGTTTGAGAGTTTTCTCCTTTTTTGACAGTGGAATCCCCAACCAGCAAACAGGTAAGCAACAAAAAGCTTAAGCCTTACTGGATTGAAGTATTGAAGGACTGGGCTCTGGAATGACAGAAGAGTCAAGAATTTAGAAAACTCTAGAAGCAAAGAAGCTGTAGAGAGTGTATGCCCCTAAATCTGAGTATAAACTCTGCACAAATCCTTGGCTAACCATCAAAGCATGCAGACACCAAGAAGACACAAATACATACATACATACACACACACACACACACACACAAACACACACACACACGGAACTGAAAGAACTGAGAAGATATACAAGTTACTGCACACTGCAGAGGAAGCAGAGTTTGCAGTTTGAGTCAAGGCAATTAACTATGTACTACAACAAAACAATTCTCAGAAGAATATAACAGAATCTATAATCACTAGTACATTTATTCTGCACTACTCAGTCTTTGACCAAAAATTACCAGGTATGCAAAGAAATAGGAAAATAAAGTAGTCAATAGAAATTGACTATCAGTGGCCCAAGATATTGGATTTGGCAAAGATTTCAAATCATTTTTATAAATATGTTTAAAGTATTAAAAGATGTGTGAATGATTAAATGAAAATATAGTCCTAATGAGTGGACTGAGTGTCATCAGATAAATGGAAATCATTAAGAATTCTAGAGCTGAAAAGTATAATAACTAATATAAAAAATGTACTAAATGCATTCAACAGTAGAATGAAGATGGAGGAAAAATCAGTGAATTTCCAAATAAATCAGTAGAAATTATCCAATTCAAATAGTAGATATAAAAAATTTTGAAGAAAAGAGTCTAAGAGATATGTGGAAAAATATTGTGCAGTCCAACATTTTGTAATTGGAGTCCCAGATGGAAAAGAAGATTAAGTACTTAAAGAAATAGTGCCAAAGTTTTCCAAATTGGAAGAAAAGCATTAACCTACAAGTCCAAGAATTTCAAAGAACCACAAGTAGGATAAATATAAAGAAATCCACACCAAAGTGCATCATTTTCAACTGCTGAAAGTCAAAGAGAAAGAGAAATCTTGAAAAGGGTACAAACATTATGGAAAACAGTTTGGTCATTTCTTACAAAGATAAACATAAAAGCCTACTCTTACCATATGACCCAGAATTCCATTTCTAGAAATAAAGATTATACAAGGCTGTTCATAGCTGCTTTATTAATAATAACCAGAACACTGTAAACAACCCAAATATTTATCAATGGATTAACGGAAAAATAAATTATGGTATATATATATACAATGGAAAATTGCTCAGCAATAAACATGAACAAATGCCTAATATATACAACAAGATGGACAATTCAGAAAAAAATACTAAATTATTTGAAATTTTTGAAAAGAAAACAAATTTATAATGACAGAGGGATCTGTTAACTAGTGGATATCTGAAGTTGGGGTTGGAAGAGGTCAACTGCCAAAGGTCGGGAGGTATATTAGTTATCTATTGGTTTATAACAAATTACCCTGAAACTTAGTGGCTTAGTGTCTTAACACATGTATTATCTGTCAGTTTCTGTGGGTCAAAAATCTGGCATGACTCAACTGGTTCCTCTGGCGCTGAGCATCTCACTAGGCTGACGTCAATGTGTTGGCTGCATCTGCAGTTATGTTAAGGCTCTCCTGGGGGTAGATCTACTTCTCAGCTCACTCAGGGGGTTGTTGGCAGTATTCAGTTCTCTGCAAGTTGTTGGACTAAGGGTCTCATTTCCTCATAATCTGCTGGCCAGAGGACAGCCTCAGTTTCTTGACATGTGGGCCTCTCCATAAGGACACTTACAATATTGAAGCTGGCTTTATCAGAGTAAACAAGCAAGAGGGCAAGAGAGCAAGAGAATGGCAGCAAGATAGAAGTCATGATCTTTTGCAATCTAATCTCAGAAGTAATGCCCCATTACCTTTGCTATATTCTATTCATTAGAATCAAGTCACGAGGTGTAGCTCACGTTCAACACAGAAAATGAATACCAGGAGGTGGGAGTCATTGAGGACCATTTCAGAAGCTGCCTACCACAGAAGGGAAATTTATGGGTTGATGGAAATGTTGTATATCTTGATTATGGATCAAAACTCGTCAAAGACTACACTTAAAGTCAGTGCATTTTATCGTATGTGTGGAGTTGATTTTTTTTTAAGTTACGTGTAAAAAAGAGAGACTAAGAGGAATCTCAGCAGTTTCTGTTAAACGTGGAAGAAACCCTCTTCCTCCAAACTCAACTAAATATTCATTAAAGGAATGTACATCTCCAAGTACAAAGAGGTGTGCTTGAGAGAGCTCAGCAGAATTTTATTAATTAATTTATTTATTTATTTTGAGACACAGTCTCACTCTGTCATCCAGGCTGGAGTGCAGTGGTGCGATCTCGGCTCATTGCAACCTCTGCCTCCCCAGTTCAAGTGATTCTCCCACGTCAGCCTCCTGAGTAGCTGGGACTACAGCACACACCACCACACCTGGCTGATTTTTGTATTTTTAGTAGAGATGAGGTCTCTCCACATTGGCCAGGCTGGTCTCAAAACTCCCGACCTCAGATGATCCACCTGCCTCGGCCTCTCAAAGTGCTGGGGTTACAGTTGTGAACCACCACACCCAGCCTGTAGAATTTTAGAAAACAGAAAATGGTTAGATAAGTATTGCCTCTCCTAACAGAGCAGAGGAAGGATGGTTCTAGGTGTTTTCTTTAAGAAATAAGCCAATTTATTCATTCATGCATGGAAGCACCACAGACTATGACGTATAGGGCTGAGAGTAAGAGGACTGATAAATGTGTATAACAATTAGACTCCCAGATGCTTTCCCCCACCAAACAATATCCACCCTCACCACATTCAAGAAACCAGAAGTTTATTCTCTGCAGAAGGTCTAGATTGGGCAAGATAATGCCCAAAATGGCAAGGATGAGGAATAATGCTGAGAGATTAATTTAAATTCTGAAGTCCGAATACTGACATTGGAATTCACAGCACCCACTCCCTACCTGTTCTCAGAACACTGGTTGCCAGGCATATGGCCCCAGACAAGACGTTGGAAGATTTTTCATTGAAAAAATTGAATTACCCCCAGAAAAAAAGGACTTCCAAAATCTAGCCATTGTAATCCCTGAACAGAACTCTCCATAGCAGCACTTCTCAAACTTTGAAGTGTATGAGAGTCCCCTGGGATCTTGTTAAAATAAAGACTGGCTCAGTAGGTCTTGAGTGGAGCCCAAAATATTGCCTGTATAAAACAATCTCCCAGGTGATGGAGATGCTACTGGTTCCTGGGTCACACTTTGAGTGCCAGGGCTCCCTTGTTCTTGATCTGCACGATGCAAGCTGAACTCATTTGCTTAGTATTTCTATTTCTTTTTGGCATGATCCCCCTCACTTGACCTATCCAAACTCACTTCACAGCATCATCTCCCACCACACCCTCAACCCTACTTCATTCCAGGAAACACTTTCTGCTCCAACCTGAAATACATCACTCCTTCCTTTACCAGCACAAACCCTTTCTCCTCCTTCAATAGTCAACTCAAACTTCCATCACCTTCTCTCTGAAGTTGTCCCCATTTCCCTGGGGCAGACTTAATTCTAGTGCTCCATGTTTCATAGTACCTTAGGCTTACCTCCATCATCAACCTGTATCTGAACTACAAACATATATATATGTGTGTGTGTATGTATGTGTGTGTACATAAATGTGTGTGTGCATGTATATATATATTTTTTTTTGAGACAGAGTCTCACTCTGCTGCCAAGGCTGGCATGCAGTGGCATGATCTCGGCTCACTGCAAACTCTGCCTCCCGGGTACAAGTGATTCTTCTGCTTCAGCCTCCTGAGTAGCTGGAATTACAGGCACCCACCACCTCACCTGGCTAATTTTTGTGGGGTTTTTTGGTTTTTTTGTGGGGGGTTTTTTAGTAGAGACATGATTTCACCATGTTGGCCAGCTTGGTCTCAAACTCCTGACCTCAAGTGATCCGCCTGCCTCAGCCTCCCAAACTGTTGGGATTACAGATGTGAGCCACTGCACCTGACCCACAAATGTATATATTTATAAAGACACAGATAGGTTAAGATGAAATGAATGAAAAAAGATATACCATGCTAATACAAATCAAAAGAAAGCTGGGGCACCTATATTAATATCAGATAAAATAGATTTTACAACAAGGAAGATAATCAGGGATAAATGGGTGCAATATATACTGATAAATGGGCCAGTTCCCCAAGAAGACATGATACAATAATTTTTAATGTCTATGCACTTAACAACAGAGCATCAAAATATGTGAGGCAAAAACTGACAGAAATGCAAGAAGAAACAGAAAAATCCACTTCTAGTTGGGGACTTAAACATTCCTCTTTCTGTATATGACAGATCAAGCAGGCAAAAAAATCAGTAAGGATATGGAAAACCTGAGAAGCACTATCAATGTAATCTCATTGATATTTATAGACTACATCCAGCAATAATAGAATTACACCTTTTTCTCAAGCTCACAGGGGCCATTCACCAAGATAAACCACACTCCAGGTCATAAAACCCACCTTAACAAATTTAAAAGAATGGAAATAATTCAAGGTATGTTCTCAGACCACAATGCAATTAAACCAGAAAACAATAACTGAAACATAGTTGGAAAATTCCAAAATATTTGGAAACTAGACAATACAATTCTAAATAATACATAGGTCAAAGAATATATATCAAGAAAAACTTAAAATTATTTTGAAGTAAATGAAAATAAAAAACAACTTATCAAAATTTGTGAGATGTGGCAAAAGCTGTGCTTAAAGGAAAGTGTACAACATTAAATGCATACGTTAGAAAAAAAGAAAGATCTAAAATTGATCATCTAAGCATTTCCACCTTAGGAAGCTAAAGAAAGAAGCATAATTTAAGCATAAAATAAGCATAAAAATACAAATTATAGCAGAAATCATGAAATTAGAAAACAGAAAAAATTTAAAAACAAAGCTGGTTATTTGAAAAGATTAATAAAATTAATTAGCTTCTCAGGCTAAACAAGAAAAAAAATTACTAAAATCAGAAATGAAAGAGGGGTCATTACTACTGAACCCATACACATTAAGAGGAAAATAAAGAAATACAACGAAAAACTCTCTGCCTACGAATTTGATAATGTAGATGAAATGGGCCAATTCCTTGAAAGACACAAACTACCAAAACACACACACACGATGTAAAATACATTTTAGGCTGGGCACAGTGGCTCACACCTGTAATTTCAACGTTTTGGGAGGCCAAGGTAAGAGGATGGCTTGAGGCCAGGAGTTCGAGACCAGCCTGGGCAATATAGTAAGACTGTCTCTATAATAAAATTTTTTAAAAAAATAGCCAGGCATGATGACACATGTCTGTAATCCCAGCTACCTAGGAGGCTGACTTAGGAGGACCACTTGAGCCCAGCAGAAGTTCAAGCTTACAGCGAGCTATAATTGCATGACTATACTCTAGCCTGGTTGACAGAGGGAGACCTTGCCTCTAAAAAATAAGAAAATAAATAAACAAATAAAATACATTTTTAAAATTCTGGAACTTGTGAGCAATTACAAAATTATCTCAAGATACAAGGTTAATATATGAAAGTCTATTGCTTTTCTATATACAAAAATAAAAAATTGAGATTTGAAATGAAAACACAACACTATTTACAATGGCACACAAAAAAACATGTTTATGTATAGATCTAATAAAATAAATATAGGATCCGTATGTAGAACTACAAAACTGTGATAAAATCAATGAAGATCTAAATAAATGTCACATTCATGGATTGGAAGACTCAATACTAACAAGATGTCAGTTCCTCCCAACTTGACCAATAGATTCAGAACAATCCTAATGAAAACCCTAGCAATATATTTTGTGTATATTGACAAACATTCTAAAATGTATATGAAAAGGCAAAAGATCCTGACTAGCCAACACAATACCCAAGAAAGAGAACAAACTTGGAGGATTGATGCTACCCAATTTCAAGACTTAACTATAAAGTGATAGTAATCAAGACAGTGTGGTATTGGTGAATGAATGGACACATAAATCAATGGAACAGAATAGGTGACCAGAAATACACCCAAGCAAATATAGTCAGCCTATTTTTAACAAAACAGCAAAGGCAACTCTGTGGACAAAGGATAGACTTTCCAACAAATATTGGCTGAACAACTGTGCCTCCCTATGTGAAAAAACTAATCTAGACACAAACCTTACACCTTTCATAAAAACTAACTCAAAATGGATTATAGACTGATATGATTTGGCTTTGTGTTGCCACCCAAATCTCATCTCAAATTGCAATCCCCACGTGTTGAGGAAGGGAACTGGGTGGGAGGTGATTGGATCATGGGGGGAGGTTTCCCCATGCTGTTCTCCTGATAAGGAAGGAGTTCTCACAAGGTTTGATGATTTAAAAGTGGCAGTTTCCCCTGCACTCTCTTTCTTTCCTGCCGTCATGTAAGACATGCCTTGCTTCCCCTTTACCTTCCACCATGATTGTAAGTTTCCTGAGGCCCCTCCAGCCATGTGGAACTGTGAGTCAATTAAACCTCTTTTGTTTGTAAGTTACCCAGCTTCAGGTAGTATCTGTATAGCAGTGTGAAAATGGACCAATACATAGCCTTAAATATAAAACTGGCTGGATGCAGTGGCTCCTGCCTGTAATCCCAGCACTTTGAGAGGCCAAGGTGGGTGGATCACCTGAGGTCAGGCATTCAAGACCAGCCTGGCCAACATGGCGAAACCCTGTCTATACTAAAAATACAAAACATTAGCTGGGCGTGGTGGCGGGCACCTGTAATCCCAGCTACTTGGGAGGCTGAGGCAAAGAGAACCGCTTGAACCCGGGAGGCAGAGGTTGCAGTGAGCTAAGATAGCACCACTGCACTCCAGCCTGGGTGACAGAGCAAGACTCCATCTCAAAAAAAAAAAAAAAAAAAAATTATAAAAATTCTAGGATGAAACATGGAGAAATCTAGATGATCATGGATTTGGTGAAGAGTTTTTAGGAAAAACATAAAAAGCATAATCCAAGAGAGAAATAATTGATATGCTATACTTTATTAAAATTAATAACTTCTGCTCTGATAAGAAAATGAAAAGAAAATCCATAGACTGGAAGAAAATATTTATAAAATAAATATTTGCTAAAGGACTTGTATCCAAAATACATAAAGAACTCTTAAAATTCAACAATAATTTTAAACACCTCAGTTAGTTGTAGCTAAAAAATTTGAATAGATATCTCACCAAAGATAAACATATGAAAACATTGTCAACACCATTTGTCATTAGGAAATTGTACATTAAAACAATGAGATACCACTGCACGCCTGTTAGAATGGTAAAAATCCCAAAAATGACAACATTAAATACTGGCAAAAATGCAGAGCAGAGCAAAGAAACTCTCATTTATTGCTGGTGGGAATGCAAAATGGTACAGCTACTTTGGAAGACATTTTGGCAGTTTCTTACAAAAACAAACATAGTCTTATCATGCAATTCAGCACTCACACTTCTAGGTATTTGCCCACATGAATTGAAAACTTATGTCTGCACAAAAACCTGCACATGAATGTTTTAGCAGTTTTATTGATAATTATCAAAAACTAGAAGCAGCCAAGATATTATTTTATAGGTGAACAGATGTCTTGTGATATATCCATGTGAGGCAACATTCAGTGATTTTAAAAAACTGAGCTGGCGGGGTGAGGTGGCTCACACCTGTAATCCCAGCACTTTGGGAGGCTGAGGCAGGTGGATCAATGAGGTCAGGAGATCGAGACCACCCTGGCTAACACAATGAAACCCCGCCTCTACTAAAAATACAAAAAATTAGCTGGGCGTGGTGGTGGGCGCCTGTGGTCCCAGCTACTCAGGAGGCTGAGGCAGGAGAATGGCGTGAAGCCAGGAGACGGAGCTTGCAGTGAGCCGAGATTGCGCCATTGCACTCCAGCCTGGGCATCAGAGCGAGACTCTGTCTCAAAAAACAAAACAAAAAAACTGAGCTATCAAATCACAAAAAGACATAGATGAACCATAAATACATAGGACTAAGTGAAAGAAGGCAGTCTGAAAAGGCTATCTACTGTATAATTCAATTATTATGACATTCTGTAAAAAGCAAAACTATGGAGACAAAACTAAATAAAAGGATAAGGTGTAAACACCTGGGGTTCAGGGAGATAGAGACAGAGTTGAATAGGTGAAACACAGGATTTTTAGGGCAATGGAACTGTTCTGTATGCTACTGTAATTGTGGATACATGACACTACGCATTTGTAAGAACTCACAGAATTTTACTACACAAAGAATAAACTTCAATGTATACACATTTTTTAAATCAAATAATTTAACAGGTTAGAGGATCCCTGGAAGGAATGCAGACTGTCATAAGAGACTGTAACTGTATTATAAATTTATGAAACAATTTCATGAAAAGGGAGGAGAAATGTTGCTAACCTAGCTAGCTTTAGAAGTGTCTGTAAATTTAAAGGCAAAATAAATTGCATATAAACACTGTACTCTAGCTGATAAAGTTGTTTTCCACAGTAGTATAGGTTAACAATTCTGATGCTGCTATGCATGTAAACTGGAATTGAACAATTAAGAAAATGTATGATGAATGATAAGAGCCATGTTTCTCATTTTTAAAGCAGAAATTTACAAATAATAAGGGGAGAAAAAAGAGTTAAACACATCAGTATGAACTCTTGTTTAGCTTAATATAGGCCATACAGTTACATATAGAAATACCTATGGATACATGTATATAAAAGGGTTAGTATATACACACACATTTCCTGCTCTGTCAGCTAAGAGAACCTACAAGCAACAACACCATGGTAGCAATGAGCACACCTAGCACCCAGATTTGGTTTCTAATGCCATTCTCCAATAGAGGGAACCAGGGTTCCTTGGGAAAACGGTGGATTCTAGGACTAAGGCAGGAAATCTACAGGTTGATCCTGGAACATCTTTTTCATGCCGGAAAATAAAGAAGTGCTCAGGAAAACACACACACACACACACACACACACAATTAATGAGAGTATGTCAAAGAGCCATGGAAGTCAACTAAAAGAGCTCTCAGTGGCGAAAGATGGAAAAGTCTGAACAGTAAAGTGAAGAAAGTAGTATTGGATTATAACAAAGTACAAAATAAACATCCATGAGCCCATACTGATATAAACAGATGATTGAATAAATAAATAGATGGAGGAGATAAGACAAACCTCCCATATATAAAAATTTCAAATAATTACATAAATACACCAACCTCTAAGAGGGGAAATTTCAATCCCCACTCCTTAAGTGTGGCTTATGCATAGGGGCTTCCTTCCAAATAGGATAGTATGGAGAAGGGGGGAAAGGATTAATTTTATAGTTGAGAAATCTGACAAACACAGCCTTGAGCAGAGTTATCAAGGTCAACATCAACAGTAATAAATCACTTAATAATGATGTACCCTCGATAAGATGTGATGAGAATGTCACTTTACCTTTGTGGTCTTCCTCCCCCGAAATCATAACCTCAGTCTAATCACAAGAAAAACATTGGCCTGGCACAGTGGCTCACACCTGTAATCCCTGCACTTTGGGAGGAGGAGGCGGGTGGATCACTTGAGGTCAGGAGTTCGAGACCAGCCTGGCCAACATGGCAAAACCCCATCTCTACTAAAAATACAAAAAAATTAGCTGGGCGTGGTGGCACACACCTGTAATCCCAGCTACTCAGGAGACTGAGGCAAGAGAATCACTTGAGCCTGGGACGCAGAGGTTGCAGTGAGCCAAGATTGCGCCATTGCACTCCAGCCTGGGCAACAAGAGCAAAACTCAGTCTTGGGGGTGGGTGTGGAAAAAAAACAGACAAATTCCAAAAGAAAGACAACCTATGATATATCTGACCTGTACTCCTGAAAACAAAAACAAGGAAGGTCTGAGAAACTGTCACAGCCCAAAGGTGTCTGAGGAGACATGACAACTAAATGCAATGAATCACATGAGAAGAGATCATGGAACAGAAAAAGGATAGAAGACAAAAACTAAGAAATTGTGAATAAAATATAGACCTCAGCTAATAATCATGTATTAACATTGATTCAATAATTAACAAATGTACCATACTAATGAAAGGTGTTACCGACAGGAAAACTGGGTACAGGCAGATGGGATCTCTACTAGCCGCAATTTTTCCATTAATCTATAACTGTTCTAAAAGTCCATTTTAAAATATATCTATGTTACCACTTCACTTTCACCTTCTAAATATCACACAAAATGTTGCTTTTGGCCAACACCAATCTGAAACTCTACAGGAAACAGAATTCTGAGAAGTAAAGCTTCAGCTGAGCTAAGTTGATGTGGTATAAAAGCCGCCACAGGTGCTTTGCTGTTCTATGTGGATCTATGTTTAATTTCATAAGTATATTGTTTAGCTATTTAAAGACTGGGAGGTTGTCCTAGGCTTTCAAGTCACATCAGACACTCATTACACTACTGTGTATTGGCTCGCGCCTGTAATCTCAGCACTTTGGGAGGCCGAGGCGGGCAGATCACGAGGTCAGGAAATCGAGACCATCCTGGCTAACATGGTGAAATCCCGTCTCTACTAAAAATCCAAAAAAAATTAGCTGGGCTTGGTGGCAGGTGCCTGTGGTCCCAGCTACTCGGGAGGCTGAGGCAGGAGAATGATGTGAACCTGGGAGGCAGAGCTTGCAGTGAGCCGAGATCGTGCCACTGCACTCCAGCCTGGGCGACAGAGCGAGACTCCGTCTCAAAAAAAAAAAAAAAAAAAAAAAAAACAAGGGAAGTACAAATGAAGCATCAGAATTTCAGTGAAATTTACTCTGCTCAGGCTAGACCACTTACATCATTGAGAGGACTGGTGACCATTTGGGCCCAGCTCTGCATGGTTTCTGATGCAAAGCATTCAACACACAAATAGGCTTTATCTGTTTACCAGCCCTCTCCACTGGGCACTGGGGAACAAACAAGCACTCAACAGGATCAGTGGGAAGATTTACATGACTATTGATGAGACATTGACAAGGAAGATCCAAAGTAAATAATTAAGTCATGTTTGAAACCAAAAGGCCAAAAACTTGTTAGCAACATTATATGCCCAAAGTTTGTTTATAAATTGTTTGAAACTAAGAATACATTTTATCATGCATTATCAAATACTAGTTTAAGAAACAAATATTTGTTGATTGCTGCTCTGTGCAAAGCAATCAACAAATTGTTTGTAGAGCTGAAACTATGAACGTGGGGAGATGAATGAGAGAGAAATTCAGGCTGCCTCTTGGTCTTTGGCTTAGTCCCAGTAAAGCCACATAGTAAGTTGAAAAAGACTAAAGGAAAACATGAGATGGGAAGGGGACAGGAAACCAATAATTTTGTTTTACACAAGGTACATTTGAGATGCCTATCAAACATTCTAATAGAGTAATCAAGCAAGCAGTAAACTATACACCTGATACTTTAAAAAGTCATCAGAGATATACATTAATGAGCAGCAAATGGCTCACAACTAAAGTCATGGAACTGAATAAGGTCACCCAGGAGAGACACATAAGAAAGAAAATGGGCCCCAGATTGGAGTCTTATCACCCTCCCAAATTTAGAGGGTGTCTTAGTCCATTCACATTGCCACAAAGGAATACCTGAGGCTAGGCAATTTATTTACTAAAGGGGTTTATTTAGCTCATGATTCTGCAGGCCGTACAAGCAGCATGGTGTCAACACTTGCTTCTGGTGAGAGTTTCAGGAAGCTTCCACTAACAGAGGGAGGCAAAGGGCATCACATGTGAAACAAGAAGAAATGGGGAGAAAGGTAGAGGGAGAGAGAGACAGAGACAGAGACAGAGACAGAGAGAGAGATCTCCCATGAGCTAATAGAGCAATAACTCACTCATTACCACAGGATGGCACCAAGCCATTCATGAGAGATCCACCTTCATGACCCAAACGCCTCCCACCAAGCTCCACCTCCAACATTGAGAATCAAATTTCAACATGAGATTTGCAGGGGACAAATATCCAAACTATATCAGAGGCCAACCAACATTTAGAGGCCAAAGCAGAGAATCAATCCAGCAAAGACAAAAAGAGTATCATTGATAGAAGACTATGAGTATGCAATGCCACGAAAGCCAAGAGGAAGGGTAAATCATGTTGAGTGATGACAAGAGCAGAGATGAGATTAGAGAAGTGCCCACAGAATTTGGCTGTGTAGAGGGTGTTGGTGACTTTGATAGCAATAGTTTCAGTGGAATAGCAGAAGTGGAAACCAAATAAATAGTATGTGTTCCTTACCAATTTGTGTTTGAATTTTTGAAAAATCACAGGAGTTTTTACTGATGGATGAGAATTTGTTTATTTATTCATTCATCTATTGACTCTTTGCCAAGCACTGAGGTCAGAGATAGGGATTCACTGATGAATGAGGCTTCTTTCTCTGGGTGCTCCCAGGCTAACAGTGGTGACCATAGTTATATACAAAATTGCAACAAGATGTGGTGGTAGCACCAAGGAGTGACTCATCATTGTTGCTTGGGCCCTCAGGACAGATTCGGGGGCTTGAATTTGACATACTTTGAATTCCTCCAGAGGAGATCCCAACTAGATATTTGGATCTGTGGGTCTGAATTTCCAAAGAGATACCTAGACTGGATATATTAATCTTCCCACAGACAGCATTGTGTGGGGGAGATTGCCTAGTGAAAAAGCATGTCAAGAAAAAGCATGTCAAGCTTAATGAAGAACCTTAACAAAAAAGTTTTGAGGACATTTAAGAACAATGTAGAGGGATTCGAGCCTGCAAATGGACACATGTTAATTCTGATTGCTGCTAAGAAGTTGAGTCAAATGAAGATTGAAAAATGAGGAGCGGATTTGGCAAATGGAAATCGTCAGGAAAACTGAAGCCATTCCTAATCTTTCCACACTAAATCTTCCAACTTACCTACACCTTTCCCCGTCTTCTTGCACTATTCTCATTGAGAGCCACATTTTAAGCCCCCATTAAAACCTAAAAAATTATATTAAGTAGAACTTCTTGATTGTCAGACTATGTTTTAAAAGGAATTTCTTTGAGACTAAAAACAGAGCCATTTTAACTGAGCTAAAGTGGAAATAAATCAATTTGTTATGTTTGAAAAATTGGAGAAAATTGCATTAATTTAATTCACTGCTAGAACATCCCTGAGCCTATGGCCTCTGATACATAGCAGGTGATGAATTAATTAAGTGGATTATATTCCACTCTTTTCTGTATCACTTATTAAAGAAAGAAAACCACCTACACCTTTGCTCAAATTTTTGAGAGTCTATAATTATTAGGGTGTTATGCAAGGTCCCCATTGACTACAAAAGTGAGTCAGAAATTATCTGAGTCCTCAACAGCCTGGGACCTTGTCTTGTTGGCTACCCCCTCTTATAGAGTGTCAGTCTTTCTCCTGCCTTCCCCCATGGGAAGGAGAAATGTTGGAACTCACCTTCACCTCACCTCCCTTGTCTCCTATTCTTCCCATGGAGAAAACTGCAGCAATGAGGAAGGCCCACTGCTTTCTTCCCCATGTCAGTCTAATTAATTCCAAATATCTATTGTTTTCCTGAGCTTGCAATCCAGTCTCTATTATCAATTTCTGCATTATGATAGTCCCACATCTCCCAACCTATGTTTTTTAAATGACTGGTTTTGGCCAGGTGCAGTGGTTCACCCCTGTAATCCCAGCACTTTGGGAGGCTGAGGCCCAGCACTTTCAAGTAAGGAGTTTGAGGCCAGCCTGGCCAACACAGTGAAACTCTGTCTCTACTAGAAATACAAAAATTAGCCAGGTGTGGTGGCGGTTGGGAGGCTGAGGCCAGAGAATCTCTTCCATTGTATCCATGTGGCAAAATGCTACTAAGTGGTACACTATTGCATTGGTCCATTTTGTGCTGCTATAACAGAATACTACTGCCTGAGGAATTTATAATAAACAGAAATTTATTGACTCAGTGTTCTAGAGGCTGGGAAGTCCAAGATCAAGGGGCCGGCATCTGGTGAGGGCCTTCTTGCTGTGTCATAACATGGTGAAGGGCAAAGAGAGGGCAAAAGAGAGAGAAGAGAGGGTCATACTCATCCTTTTATAGGGAAACCACTCCAGTGATAACAATTGCACTCCTGAGATAACAGCATTAGCCCATTCATGAGGGTGGTGCCCCCATGACCCAAACACCTCTCATTAGGCCCCACCTCTCAACACTGCTGCTTTGGGGATCAAGTTTCCAACACTTGAACTTTGGGGGACACATTAAAACAACAGCAACACCTCTTTTTGACTCCTTGTTCAATAACATTGGTGCCTTGAAATTGATCATGAAATTAGCCATGGTAGGTGTATTAACACCATAGAAATTGGCCACCACTATAAACACAAGTGGCCAACACATGTGACATTGAGTCTTTTTGGTGGGGTTGGGAAGGAATTAATTGTTGAACTTTTATCAACACCTTTCCCCATGTTTTTCACATCCCTTTATCGTCAACATTGGGCCACTCCTCAGGCCTTGGCTCAATTCCTGCCTCCACCATGATCACTGCTCACTGGGACTCCCTGCTGGAACTTCCATGCACTGTCTGGCCCTTGGCTAATAGTATGAGGAACATAGCACATCTTTTTACATGGCTATATATATGTTTCTTCTACCCTCCTCTAAGGAGATCGTGTGCTCTTTGAAGGCACAGGCTGCGTATAAAATAGGTGTTCAACAAAAACTTGCTAAATGGAAATTTGCAAATGAAACTTCCTAGGTAAGATGATCCTGCCCTAGTTCCAAAGGAACTTCTGTCAAAGGAAGAAAAAGATAGATACTGACCAAGCTAAATGCAAAAGTTTCTCTTTATGTGACTAAATATTACCAATTTGAAATGCAGTTGTCCTTAGGTATGTAGAGAGTCACTCTGATGCTCCTTCCAATGAGTGTAAATTGTGCCAAGTGTTTCTTCTTTTTATTCTTGCCAAAGTGATTCTTGATTTAGAACTTCATGAAGATGGATTTCTAGTTGATTTCTAAAAGGAGGGGAAAAGCACCCCAGCCAAGCAGCTGGAGCCGGGTGCAGCAGTGCCCAGGCTGACCCAGCAAACTGATACCTTGCAGGGGAGCAGCTGGTGGGGGAAGAGGCATGGAAGGAAGGCTGGCTGTGTGAGGGGAAAACAACTCTCTGGGAAGAAAAGTAGCTCCAACCACAAGTGACATTTGGTATTTGCAAAGAAAGCAGCCATAGACAGGAGATCACAGCTGGTTTGACTTACAAATAACAAATCCAATCCTGTTTCTTGCAGGTTGTCTTCTCTCTGTAAACACAGACGAAGCAGTCCACAGATGCAGGTTCAAATTACCCTCATGTTCCAGAGCTTGGTGTGGAGGCCTTAGGGCTGGGGGATGTGGGGGGTGGTTCAGAAGAGTTACTGGATGGAGTGAAAACAAGGAGGGAAAGATTACTCTGCCATCCTTCTCACTGGCTTTTCCCTATAGACTCCAGGGCAATGCACTGAGAGGAGGGAATAGCATCAAAGAAGAAAAATCCAGGTGGAAGTGATGGTTAGGGGAATGAGGAGCTGACGCTGATCAAGAGAGTAAGAAGGGGGGCCAGATGCAGTGGCTCACACTTGTAATCCCAACACTTTGGGAGGCCGAGGCAGGTGGATCACTTGAGGTCAGGAGTTCGAGACCAGCCTGGCCAACATGGTGAAACCCGTCTCTACTTAAAAAAATATATATATATATATGTATGTATGTGTATATATATATATATAATTTTGTATATATTATATATATATATACATACAAAAAATTAGCCAGGCATGGTGGCAGGCACCTGTAATCCCAGCTACTCAGGAGGCTGAGGCAGGAGAATCGCTCGAACCCAGGAGGCGGAGGTGGCAGTAAACTGAGATCACGCCACTGCACTCCAGCCTGGGTGACAGAACAAAACTCCATCTCAAAAAATAAAAAGAGAGTAAGAAGGAGCAGCAAGACGAAGGGGCTTCTATCTCCCAGAACCTGTGGGGGAAAATAATTCTAATGAGTGTTTCTGGCCCAGACAGTGTCTGTGCTGCTCCACAGAGATGCTTGTTTTGACAGCTCCCCAAGATGCTGGCCACTGCCAAATGCATCCTGTGAAACCACTTACTGCATTTGTTTGGCTTTTCCTCTTTTTTTCTGATGGGGTTCAGAGAGGGATGGAACTGGCCTTCAGCCAAAATGACCCACTGTAGGTAGGAAAAGCGAATCAGAAGAGCAGGCGCCACAAGCAACCAGGACTCGTTTCCTAAACTTACAGAGCAAGCAAATACGGACTGCCCATCCCTGTTTCTAGAGACCAGATCCACACTTCCACCAAATTCTTCTCAAAAGACAGCTGATTTGGAAGCTGCACATATCCAGCTTCAGAGAGAGGAATTCTTCCCATTTTTCTTTTCCCCACTGGCCCCATAACTCTCAAGACCAAGTGGAGTAATTCCACTCACTTTTAGTCAGGGGTATAACTGCATCGGAAATTTGCTTTGGGAAATCCTGGATTCCTGATGTGACACCTGAGAATTTGTCAGTCTCTTGGAAGGAATAAACAAATTTCCCGTACAAGGTCAATCCTGTTGACCTCTGTGCTTCCCCAGGAACAGGCTGCAGCAGACCTTCCTCATTGCATGTGTCCCTTTCCAGCTCGATGACTGCCTCCCACTGGCTCCCAAGGCAACAGACTGGCCTTGCTAGTGCCTCCCGAGCCTTGTGACTCTAGGGGAGGCTGGCTGGCGCCCTGGAATCCTCCTGCATTGTCCAGAGCACCATCTGGCTAGGAGGTTTATCGCCTGCTATTATCTCAGCGTTCCTGGATGCAGCTTACATCTATTAATTCCTTATCTTGTCATCATGGGCTAAATGAAAGCATCCTCCACCAAGCTTCCTCCCTTCGGAACAAAAATCTTTTACCTCTTGTTCACCCCCACGTAGTTGGCTGCTGTATGTTTCCAAGGATTTCTTTTCTTGCTTCCTGTGAAGTACTCTGGTCTAAAGAGCCCCCAGAGAGTCTTCCCAGGCAAAGGCCTTAAGAAAATGAGGGCTCAATGGCTGTTCCCATGTGGTGTGTTTGAGGCCCACTGGGTGAATGCCTCAACTCCAGAGTGAGTCTCCTGGGGCCACCTTGGGGTCTAAATATCTTCCATTCCAGCGTCAATATTTTGGGCCTGGAACATTTCCCCAACTTTAGGAGGCCCCTTTTTAAACTGCAAAGAGGTTAGGAGGGGCAACCTTGAAGCAGCAGGACACAAGGGTCTATGGAACTGGGGCATGAGCAGAGTGAGTTTCCTAGATTAGAGGAGACCAGAAGGCCAGAGACCAGCGGGAGGCTGGAGGTGTGCTGGAAAGGTTTTCACGCTGTGATGTCCAAAACCTAGAGAGAGAATAGTCGAGCCTAGACCATCCACTTCTCTTGCCTCCTTCCTCAGGGCAGGCAGGGGGGTGAGAGTGAGGAGCATGGTGGCCCTTTCTGTGCTCAGAAGGAAAAGGGCTGTATTCATCTCATCAGGATGTCGTCTCCAGAGACCAAGAGAAAGAGGAGAATATCACTTCCAGATTTTTCTTTCTAGGCACAAGGATACATTTCCTCTTAATCCCCTCAGCCAACTTCCCCTCTGGTCTCATTGCCTGACATTAGGTCACTTGTCCCCTAGAGCTGCCACTAGTGAGTAGAGGGAGATGGTGGATGGGTTAGACCACCTGGAGTAGATGGGGCTGATCCCCTCACAGCTCCTTCTTCAGACCTAGAGTTCCTACAGGGCAGTCATTCAATTATGCTTTTATCCTCATCATACCACTGAAACTTATCTTGTAAGGTCACCAGGGACCCCCACTGTCCTAAGGCCGCAACTTTTTTGATCTATCACCCAATTTTGGCACAGTTGATCACTCCTCTGTTTTGAAACCTTCCTCCACCTGGCTTCCAGGACACCACTCTCTCTCGTTCTCTTTCTCTCCCACTGGCCACTCCCTCTCTGTTTCCTTTGCTGGGTCCTCTTCATCTTCCTCACCTATAAATGACACAGTGTCCAGGATTCTGTCATCAGACCTCTTTTCTTTATCTTCATTCTACTCTCAAGGTGATCCGATCAGGTAACAGGTCTTTAAATATGATCTAACTGTCATGATTTCCAAATTCATATCTCCAACGCAACTGCTCCCTTAATTCCAGACTTAGAAATCGACCACTCAGTATCTCACATGGGTGTTACAGGCATCTCAAGCTGGAACGGCCAATACGTGGCTTTACCTTCAGAATCTATTCAGACTCCAGTCAGATCCTGCATTTCCACAACTTCCAGCGCCCAGCGTCTTCCACCTGAGGTACTGCAGAAGCCGTATCACTCCCTCTCCTTTCACCCCTACTTCCTACGGCCAATTTCCTGCACAGCAACCAGAGTGAACCTTCTAAAATGTAACTCAGGCCGGGCGCGGTTGCTCAAGCCTGTAATCCCAGCACTTTGGGAGGTGAGGCAGGCGGATCACTTGAGGTCAGGAGTTCGAGACCAGCCTGGCCAACATGGTGAAACCCTGTCTCTACTAAAAATACAAAAATTAGCGGGCGTGGTGGCGGATGCCACTCCAGCCTGGGTGACAGAGCAAGACTCCGTCTCAAAAAATTAATAATAACAAAAAATAAAACATAACTCAGATCATGTTACTCTTTTGCTCAAAATCCTCTAAAGACTTCTCACCTCACATAGAATGAAGCCAAAATCATTACAAGTGGCCCGTAGAAATGCTGGAAGGAAGTGAGGGCATGTCATACAGACATCCAGGGACAGAAGAGCACCGAGTGCGCAGCCGCAAGGAGGGGATGCGCTAGCATGTTTCCGGAACGGCCAGGACCCTACTCTTCTCTCGGACTTCCTTTCCTACCACTCACCTGTACTGGCTTGGATAGTGTTCCCTAAAATTCAGGATGTGACTTTAACCAGGATGTGACCCAGAACCTCAGAATGTGACCTTAATTGAAAATGGACCGATGTAATTTGTTAAGTGTCAAGATGGGATCACACTGGATTGGGGTGATTGCTAAATCCAATGACTAGTGTCCTTATAGGAAGAGATAAGGACCCACAGGGAAACACAGAAGACGCCAGGGGAACACAGAGGTGGGTAGAGATTGGGGTTGTGCTGCTGCAAGCCAAGGAGTGCTTGGGGACACGCTTGCTGGAAAAGGCAAGGAAGGACTCTCCCCTAGAGCTTTCAGAGGGAGTGTGGCCCTGCAGGCACCTTGATTTCAGTCTTCCAGACCTTAGAACTGTAGGAGAATACATTTCCATTGTTTTAAACCACCGAATTTATGGTAATTTGTTACAGGAGCCCTAAGAAACTTGTATACCCTCTCTTCCTCATTTGGCTCCAGCCACACAGATCTCCTTAAATTCCCCATGTGAATATGGAAGATGCTGGCAGGATTATATCAAAATGTGAGGAGTGTGAACCTGTGTAACTTTTTGCAAATCCCTTGACCACTGTGAGCCTCGCACATTTTCTTTGTATAGAAGACAAGGTAATCTCGAGGTTTCTCAATTCTGAGGACGGAGAATTCTCCTAATCAATGATATTGCCTGCCTCAAATCAGTGGAGTGAAAACAATTCTCATTAGACAACCTTGGATTTCTCCACAACCAGGAGATCTGCCCCAGATGTGTGCAATGGAAAAATTCTCACCTCATCAGACACCTGAATGCCACAGGGAAGCTGCTGGAGCTAGACCAGTCCCTGGAAAGAAATGCAGTCCACATTTACTTAACAAAACTTTACAATCCTGTGCATGCTCCTACCATGGTATCAACAGCCATTCCTAATCAGCATTTCTTAATGGGAATGGGCTCTTAATGTGATGCAAACCACTTACACATGGAACCAGGAAATACAGCAAGCGAATCTCTTCAGTTACAGGCTTGTTATGCAACTCTGCTTTCCAAGAGCCAAATCTTCTGACTGGGGACTCAGTTCTGGACATCCTTTAATTTAATGGATGCCTCCCTCCAGACATGCTACTGATAGTTGTTCTGTGTTGTCCAACAGCTTGTAATTAGTTCGCAGGGTTGGGGACGTGGGGAGTAATCACAGCATTTTAGAGCCAGAAAAGTGATCTCAAACCTATCCCTCTTGCTTTACAAGGAAACTGTCGAGGCCCAAATTGCTAAGTTATCTGCCCAGGTACAATGAAAATGAGATTGGAAGAGACCCATCTCCATTCCCAGGAGCACTCCCTTACACCTCATCCTCGGTGTAAGCTTCCTGTATGTTCTGGATTGAAAAGGGATTTTCTAATCTGTGCTTTTTGCTTTGGAGCTGTTTCTTCTGCCCCTCCAATGGGGAAGCTGCCGATTTTGCATGGAGCCACCTTCTGTCTTCTAAACCACAGAAGTTAAGTTTGCAAGATTCTTTTTCTTTTCTTTTTTTATGGCTCTTCAAAGACAGAAAACAATAACCATTTCCAATCTGATCCAAGACCACAAGATTGTTTTTAATTCCATTCATCAGTATCTCATTCACCCCAAGAGACTATGGGATGTTTCCATATTCACATAATGGGCTCATCATTTTAAGCTCCGTAGGGCCCTCTTTGACATGGTGACAATTATGTTTCCCTGTGTGCTTCCAAGTTTACTGTAAAGGCCAACAAGGTCTCAGACACCCAGAAAACATACTTTTTAAGTTTTTATAAAGTCTATAAAATTGTAATTGGATCAAACTTTGCATTCAAAAGCACATTCTTCAGGAATATTTTATATGCACATAAAACATAGAGAAAATGTTAACATTATGATCTTAACTGTTTGCACATTGGAACCGGCTAAAAGTAGGAAAATGCAATCCATCTGTTCTCTCCTTTGAAACTAGATGATTCTGAGAGCACAAAAGAATGCCTCAGGGGAGTTTGACACTGCCTTCTCCCAACTCCTGTTATCAAGTGAAGTGGGGAAGGAAGGGTGGTCTCACTGGAAGTAACTTCTTTGCCATCTCTCTCTACACACAAGGTGTGGCCAGTCCAGGAGCCTTGGCTGTGAGGGCGAATCCTCCACCAGATTGGGCAGAGAAAGGGATGGTCCTGTGGTCCCCATGGCCCAGGCTGTGGCCTCGAGTGCCTGGAGCACTGCTGGGAGTCATTTCACCTGTCCTGGCTCCCAGCACCAGCCTTGTTCTTGAGGGGTGTGGGGATGGGGAAATCAGGTTTTGCTATGGTGCTTAAGGCTTGTTTGTTCAAGACTATCCATTAGGCGTTTATTAGCCTTCATTATGGAGTGCTAGCAGCCTAATTAGTTCAAGCTGAGTGGGGGGCAGCAGAGGGAAAGGGGAAATGAGGGAAAAACATGATCAACAGCTGACATTTGCTTTCCCAGGGAACCCTGTCGCTCCGCTCCCTTGTTTTATCTGTTAGCACAGCAAATTAGACCCCTTATTATCACATTTGCAAAGTGCTTGGCGCACAAGAGAGAAAAAACCTGGAAAGGGAAAGAATTAAAGAGCCGAGCATGTTGAGAAGAGAGGTTGCCCTCCTCCAAGGACACCTTTCTCCCTAGAGAACCAAGCCCATTTCCCCAACTGCACTCCCGTACCTCTTGGGATCTGCCCCTCAGGACCAAGCCAAATGCAAAGAGGAGATTCCCTTGGAGTCTTGGGTGGGAAGGATTACACAGTATCGAGAAACTGTCCTGGGAAAGCCACCAGATCCCAGTCATCCCCATCTTCCCCTGGAGGAAATTCCACAGTCAGAGAAATTCTTAGACAGGAGTTTTGACTGAAGTCAGTGCAACACAAGAGCACAGAGGATGTTCTCCGTCATTGATAAAACTAGAGCAGTTCTCAGTTTTCATTATGCATGAGTCACCTTGGATACCTGTTAAAATGCAGACTCCTGGGCCCCATCCCGGATCCAATTGTCTCTGAAAGTGGTGCCCAGGGATCTGCAATTTAACAACACCCATAGGTATCTTATGAATGACACATTAAGAAAGGGTGCTGCGGAATAAATTGCTTGATAAATATTTCATTCACCATACAGCGTCTACAGAGTTCCTACCGTGAAGAAGATACAGAGAAGTACTTAGGTGTAAGGGGCTGAAATGGGGTGGAGCCCTAGAGGAGAGGAGATCAGGGAACTTAGAAACCCGCGGGTCGGAGGATCACCAAGCTCACAGTTTACCAGAAGGGTCAATCAAGGAAACATATAGTCACCACACCAGCCGCAGTGTCACCAGCCCCGGTGCCACATCAGTGCAAGGTGGGGGGCATGGAAGCATGTGGGGTGGGTCTGTGATCCCATCTTAGAGGACAGGGAAGTTTCCCCAGAAAAGATAACATCTAAAGTGGGAACTGAAGAGAGAAGTTGGTCAAGAAAGGGAGTCCTGTGGATAAAGATTCTAGGCAGAATGTATAACTCGTGCATAGCTCCAGAAGGGAGAGACCGGCCAGTGAATCTGGGTCTTGAAAATGGCTCAGAGCCCAGGAGTTCAAGGCTGCAGTGATCTGTGACTACACCACTGCACTCCAGCCTGGGCAACAGAGCGAGACCCCGACTCAAAAAAAAAAAAAAAAAAAAAAAAAAACCTGAATGGAACCTAAAATGGCAAAGTACTTACATTATTAAAATAAATGAATTCAACGACAACAAAAAAGAGAATGGCTCAGAATTGTTGAGCAGTAGCGTGTAAAGACGGGGTTGTGGGAAATGGAGCTGACGCTTGCCACAGCTATTCGGAGTGGGGGTCTTCCTAAGGGAAGGCAGGAAGGCCCTGCGGTGCGGAAAGATCATGGTGGCTATGATTTGAAGAATTAGTTTAAGAAGAGCAAGACTGGAAACACGGAGAACAATTCGGAGGTTGTTCTCTGCCTCTTGAACACTTTCGGAAGTCGACGTGGTAGAATCGCTTCAGGCCAGGAGGTTGTGGTCATGCCTCTCCCCAAGCTCCAGTGAGGTCTGTGCCGGAAGCCCCGAAGCCCCACCACGCTGCAGATCTTCATGAAGCTGTGGCCGTTTCCAGGAGGCCACTCCGCTGGCTCTGGGTAGATCTGCCCCTGGACTGTTTGCCGACTGCCCGGAGCGCCCTCTGCCGGTCTGCAGCTTCCCACACCACACGGAAGAAGTGGGGAAACTGAGGATACATTCTTTCCTCCTCCAGGTAAAGGGATTCTCAATGAAGGGTGAGTAATGATAATCCTACTCAAACTGAGAATAAATACACCATTTCGCTGCTGCAGGTTGCCTCTGAGACATGCCCAGAGATGACCGAGCCCCAGGACGATTCTCATACCTGATGCTTGTTTGGTGTTTCTGTGATTATCTGTGAGTGACAGGATCCCAAGACCCGGCCTCCTCCGTTCCATGAATGCTCCAGCTCCCCTAGTCTCATCTTATTGCTGATTTGATGTGCTAAGTTTCTCCCTTAGGTGTTCCACACAAGAGCTATAAACACTCCCACCATTATTAACATCAAAGAAAGCATTATATACCATTGTGAGAGTGCGGAATTCCATAAGTCATTAACTGTAAGCCTCGGTTTCCTCATTCAAGACATGGAGAAATAGAGCCGGGCATGGTGGTTCATACATGTAATCCCAACACTTTGGGAGGTCAAGGTGGTAGGATCGCTTCAGGCCAGGAGTTCAAGACCAGCCTGAGCAACATCGTGAGACCCCCATCTCTATAAAAAAAAAAAATTAAAAATTAGCCAGGTGTGGTGGTGTGCACCAGTAGTCCTGGGTACTTGGGAGGCCGAGGCGGGAGGATCACTTAAGCCTAGGAGTTGAGGTTGCAGTGAGCTATGATCATACCTCTACACTCCAGCCAGGGTGACAGAGCAAGACTGTGTCTCAAAAATAAGAAAATAAAAAGAAAGAAATGGAGAAATATATCCATCTATTCTGTTTCACTAGAGAGCAAATAGATAATGTAGGTAAACGATATATATGTAATTATTAATCAAATGCCTATCTATAGATAATGCTACGTCAAATAAAGAAAATAAAAGTATCTAAATTTTAGGAGCATTGAAGCCAAACTAAAACACATTGAGAGGATATTCAAGATTTGAAGATTTGAAATGGTAATATTAAACAGCACTTTCTAGATCTTAATGGAATTTTTCTGTGCATCCCATCGTTCAAAAGATAGAGTGATACAATGATATAAAGTCATGCACACCCGGATTTGAACTATTATTCTACCCCTTATTGGTTTTATTACCTTGGGCAAATTAGCTAATATTCTCAAACTGAATTTCTTTTTCTGAAATAGGATTAGATAATACCTTCCTCACACAGTTATAAGCAGAGATAAGACTAGAGTGAGGTGAGTTGCCTCAGGCACAAAATTTAAGGGGGCACCAAAAAACTCAGTAAGCAAGGTAAATAATATTTTAATGCAATATTTTAAAAAATCAAAATGAATACAAAAAGACAATGAACAAAATATGAAATGAAGACAACCAGTAAAACAGATTTTTTCCTTTTGCCTTACATTCCAGGATGGCTCAGCATAGCACTGGGTATAGGTTAATAATACATTAAATGAGATAATATGAGTAAACATCTACAATAGGGCATGTCACATAGTACTGCTCCATGAATTTTTTTTTTTTTTCGAGACGGAGTTTTGCTCTTGTTGCCCAGGCTGGAGTGCAGTGGCACAATCTCAGCTCACCGCAACCTCTGCCTCCCGAGTTCAAGCAGTTCTCCTGCCTCAGCCTCCTAGTAGCTGGGATTACAGGCATGCACCACCATGCCCGGCTAATTTTGTATTTTTAGTAGAGACACGGTTTCTCCATGTTGGTCAGGCTGGTCTCAAACTCCCAACCTCGGGTGATCCACCCGCCTCAGCCTCCCAAAGCCTGGGATTACAGGCGTAAGCCACCGCGCCCAGCCCTGCTCCATGAATTTTTAAGAAAGGCAGGAAAGAAGGAAGGAAGGTAAGAAGAAAGGAAGGAAGGTAGGAAGGAAGGATCATTTCATCTCTGACTCTCAAAATTGTTACTAGAATAAGAGTTGATGAATATAAAGTTAGTGGTGCACAGTGAATGATATTAAATTGCAGCAATTTTTGTTTTATCTATAGAACATTCCCACATGCCTCCTCGGCTTTCATCTTCATCATGAGGTAGCTGGATGGGTATCGTGTACATTTCACAGGTAAGGAAATGAGTGTATTAAGTGAACACCAACAATAAGCTGGAACCCATATCCTCTTACTCCTAATTGCATGCTCTTCCAACACACCCCACTTTGCCTGTTTGAAATCTAACAAGCTCTGTAACATTGTGGCTCTGATTGACAAGACTGAGGATCCCAACTTTGACCTATCAGCTATCACCCTTCCTTTGCCCACTGCTTAGATTTTGGAGGGATTTGGAAACTGCTGGACAGACACTCCCACAGCAGTGGGTGGAGGCAGCTGATACCCATAGGGAAGCCCTTCTTTCCCAAATTCCCACTTGAGCAGGGCATCCTGCGAGAGCCGGGAAAAGGGTATGGAGAACATGAGGTTAGGGACAAGGGTTCAATTACTCTTTTGGGATGGAGTGAAAACCAGCAGCCTAAAACACAAAGGGGACAGCTGGAGAGAGGGAACTGTCAGCGTGTGAGAAGAAGCTATGACTCACCAGACCCCAGTGGGAAGCTGACCCTGTGTATTAGTCCATTTTCACGCTGCTGATAAAGACGTACCCGAGACTGGTCAATTTACAAAAGAAAGAGGCCTAATTGGACTTACAGTTCCACGTGGCTGGGGAAGCCTCACAATCATGGCGTAAGGCAAGGAAGAGCAAGTCGCATCTTACATGGATGGCGGCAGGCAAAAGGAGACAGCTTGTGCAGGGGAACTCCTCTTTTTAAAACCATCAGATCTCACGAGACTTATTCATTATCACGAGAACAGCGCAGGAAAGACTTGCCCCCATGATTCAATTATCTCCCTCTGGGTCCCTCTCACAACACATGGGAATTCAAGATGACATCTGCATGGGGACACAGCCAAACCATATCACCCTATGATAGGATACAGACAGACATGCTGACCGGTTAACTGTGGGACTGTTGTGCTTGAGGTTACTGTGAATCACCTATTACACAACAGAATGGGTTTTTTAATAAAAATATATACATATTATATTTTTAGTAAGAAGTATAGAAAAAGTTACACTGTCTCTTTTCATTCCATGCCACCCATGGTGCCACTTCATGAAGGCAAGCTCTTTGAAAGTTTCTGGAATTTTCTTCCAGTGGTTGGTTTACAAGGCTAGAGCATATGCTTCTACCACCATGTCTGAATGTATCAATCATAACTGATGTCTGTTGATGACCATGCAAGCCACATACACGAGGAGGCTTTAGCTCACCTGCTCTCACCCTCTCCTTTGGGGTCTCCTCCCAATACTTGATATTTGTTATTATTTTTATTCTTTATTTGATTACGTTTGTATCTCTAAATAATGGAAACATCTATTTCTTTTTCCATCAATTCTCCACAGTCTCTGCTGCCTTGGTGCCCAAGTAAAGAGGGTGTCAACACCCAACATGCTCCCCACTTACTCCCACTTCACCTTGGTTGGTTGGCTCAGACTTGGCTTTCATGGCAGGTCTGCCCCTGCAGGCTTGTGTGCACCTTCCACACTTAGATACCTCTACTACCTGAAAACCAGCATGCAGCATGTACATCAAGAGTACCAGGCACATAGTGCTCAAGTCTGGGCTAATATGCCACCTGCAGAGAGATGTAAAGATGAAGAAGACAAAGCCATGTTTTCAAAGTGATCACAATCTGGTAATGAGGACAGAACTTTTCTGTTTTACATCCTTAAGTCTTTGGCTAGAAGAAAATACACATTGCAGGGTCTATGTAAGACACCCAGGAAGCTATCTTGACTTTTAGCTAAATTTGTTAACCCTCCCTTGATGCATTTCAGAATTTAGAGTCATATTCATTCATGTAACAAATATTTATTGAGTAGCTATGATAGGCCAGACACCGTGCCAGGTGTGGGGGTTACACAGTCAACAGAAGAAGAACAAAAACAAGCATGGCCCTGCTCTTATTTAGCACAAGAGACATACAAACAAATAATCGCATATACAAACCTCCTAATAATTAATACATAATGCCTAATATAGTATGTAGACATTTTAAATAAAGTTATAAATTGTGATAAACACCATGAAGGAAAAGAACCGGTGTTAGGAGAAAGGAAGGGCTCCTGGGCTCCTGAATGGGAGCTTCATGAAATGAGTGGCTAAATTCCACGTTTGTTTTTTCTTTTCTTTTCTTTTCTTTTTCTTTTTTTTTTCCAGACAGGATATCGCTCTGTCACTCAGGCTGGAATGTAGCTCACTGCAGCCTCGACCTCCTCAGCTCAAGCCATCCTCCCACCTCAGCCTCTGGAGTAGCTGGGACTACAGGCATACACCACCACACCCACCTAATTTTTGAATTTTTCATAGAGATGGGGTTTCACCATGTTGCCCAGGCTGGTCTTGAACTCCTGGGTTCAAGCCATTCACCTGCCTCAGCCTCCCAAAGTGCTGAGATTATAGGGTGAGCCACCATGCCCCGCCTTTTCTGATCATTTTCTATGCTTTGGGGCTTACATATCATGGGGATTTTCTGTTTCCTAAAAATTTGAAAGAACTCATCTTTCAGAAGCATTGAACTGATTTATGGTTCCATCTGCCCCTTTCCACATCTCACAACTCTGAATATTATAATTTTTTAGTCATTACCAACTGGAGAGGCAAAAATAATAGTAATCACAATTTTATTTTTCACTGTATTCAACAATATGCATTTAACAAATACTGAGTGTCAATGCACTATATGTTAGGGATAAAATCATGACCAAAACCAACATGGTACCTGCTTTCATGGGACATTGAAGTTGGTGGCCATTTCTTTCATTTATTTTAGAGTTAAAACATTTTCTTGGCTGGATGTGGTGGCTCACGCCTGTAATCCCAGTACTTTGGGAGGCTGAGGTGGGCGGATTACCTGCAGTCAGGAGTTCCAGACCAGCCTCGCCAACATGGCAAAACCCCATCTCTACTAAAAATACAAAAATTAGCGGGTGCCTGTAATCCCAGCTATTCAGGAGCCTGAGGCAGTAGAATCTCTTGAACCCAGGAGGCAGAGGTTGCAGTGAGCCGAGATCACACCATTGCACTCCAGCCTGGCCAACAAGACCAAAACTCTGACTCAAAAAAAAAAAAAAAAATTTCTTCGCAAGTTTTATAAACTGGGTGCTCCAATGTTGGGTACATATATACTTAGGATAGTTAAATCTCATTGAATTGAACCCTTTATAATTATGTAATGTCCTTCTTTGTCCTTTTGTTATGGTGACTAGTTTGAAGTGTGTTTTGTCTGATACAACAATAATGACCTCTTCTATTTTTTGTTTTCCTTTTGCTTGGTACATCTTTCTCCATCTCTTTACTTTGAGCCTGTAGGTGTCACTACATGTGAGATGGATGTCTTAAAAACAGCAGAAGATTGGGTTTTTTTTTTTTTATTATTCAATTTGCCACTGTATGTCTTTTTAAATGGAGCAATTAGGCCATTTACGTTCAAGGCTAATATTGATATGTGTGGTTTTGTTCTTGTCGTAGTGTGGTTAGTTACTTTGTAGTCTCAATTGTGTAGTTGCTTAATAGGGTCTGTGGGCTTTGTATTTACTTGTGCTTTTGTTATAGCAAGTATTGTTCTTTCATTTCCATGTTTAGAACTCCCTTGAGCATATTGGCTATTCATTGCTTTTTGTTTCTTGTGGGAGCATTTCCATTTTTCTTACATTCATACATATGTGAAACTCATGCATATCAGACTGCACCCTCACTTTGATCTGCTGCCATGGAGCCATGCAAAGTGAGGACAGCCTATAAAATCTTACATACTTAGGAAAATAACATGCATGCCATTTTCTTTGACACCTTTCCCTGCCTCTGATCCCACTCTCAGCATCTCATGCCCAATTCCCCATTTCCCAGATAAGCCAGATTTTAAAAGTTATGAGTGTCCTTCTTCAGTTTTTTCATAATAATATATCCTATACAAACACATACATGAGGCAGGTTCACATGCACACACGTTCACACAGGACTTGCTTTTCTGGTATCATTTGTTTTATATACAATTTTCTGCACCTTAAATTAGTTACTGAAACATTTCCTCAGGGAATGGAGTGATTTGCTCCAAGTAATCCGATGTGACTCAATTTTTTATGGTTGCACAATATTTTATGGTGTGGCTGTATCATTACTTATTCTGCCATTTCCCTATACACAGGGAATTCTCTTTTTACCAGTTCTTGGCCACCACAAACAATGCTGCAACAAACATAATGCCTTCATGAACTAGATACATTTGTTTTTATGCAATAAACTCCTGGAAGTGCAATGCTGGTTCTCAAAGGGTATATGATATTTTGAATTTTAATAGATGTTACGTTCCCAGTTGTGTTTCAAGAAGGATGTAAGGTGTCACATTCCTTTAAGCAGTTATAAAAGTGTCTTTCACTCACACCCTTGAGAACAATGAGTTTGAGAGTTCTTTTTAATTTTGCTAGTCTGATAGGTGTATGCTGATATTTTATTGTTGCTGTACTTTGCATTTCCCTGATTACTAGTGAATTTGAGCATCTTTTCATATAGTCCCTAGCTATTCATTCTGTAAATTGTCTATTCAAACATATTGCCTAGTTTTCTATTGCTTTTTCTGTCTTTTGTCAATTAATTAGAGCTCTGTATATTACAGAAATTAACTTTTTGACATCTGCATTACAAATATTTTCCAAGATCTATTATTTATCTATAGACTTCTTTATGGAAATATTTTTTACACAAAAACCTTAAATTTTTGTGATGCTAGCTACATGTTGATTTTTGTGTTTGATATGACAATAGAAACTATTTTTTCTTCCAGATAGGTATGCAGTTATGCCAATGCCATTAATTTCCCTCTGAAATGAACCACCACACTTGCCTTATGTTAAATTCTCATTTATTCCAACATCTCTTTCTAGATTGTCAATTCTATTCCACGGACCTACTTATATAGGCAGAAATAAACCATAAAAAGGGAACTAATACATCTTAACTATTTGTAAATAAGAACCACAGTCCCAGATAACACCAGGATCAAAGAGGAAATTTAAAAAGAAATTACTATCTAGAAACAAGAAAAGGAGAATTACTGAAATGGGAAAATCAAAGGATATATGATAATGAAGTATACGATTAGAATAGTCTGTATTCTTATATAAATACCATTTTGGTTTTATTACAAAGGCTTTACTGTATATATTGTAGAGGAAGCAGATTATCTCTCATTGTTCTCTTTTCTCATAATTTTCTTAGTTATTCCTGAACATTCTACCATATGAAATTTAACATGTTTTCATCGAGTTCTAAATAAAAACTCCATCGAATTTGAAATTGAAATTGAAATATGTTATATATCAATTTGGGGGGATTGTCTTTATTATATAATCCTCCTATCCAAGAATGCATTATGCCTCTCTATTTAGTCAGATCTTACCTTATGTCTTTTTAGTAAGATATTTTAGATCTTTTCATAGAGATTCTGAGTTTCTACTTTTAAATACATTTGTCACTATTTTTAATGATACAATTTTTCCGTTCCCATTACTAGGTGCTTATTGCTAGAGTGGTGAAAAATACTGATTTTTATACAATTATCTTATATCCAAATTAATTTATTAAATCCAGTAGAGTTTTATCCCAAGATTCCTTGATATATAGGAATTCTACTATGTTATCTTATTAGTAGAAAAAAGAGATGGTTTTATCTATTTGTCTTCCAATGCTTATGCCAGTTATTTAATTTTCTTGCCTTATTACATTGCTAAAACCGCCCAAGTAATGTTAAGTAATAATGGTGATTGTAGGCTTTCCTCTTTCTAGGGTTTTCTGTAATTGAAGTTACCTTAGTGTCTTTCATTTTAGGATAATATTTACTGTTGGTTTTGATAGTCTTTATATTCAAGAGTTTCCTTCTTTTTATTCCTATTTTTATTAAGAATGATGGATAAATTCAAACTTATTGTCTGATGTTTTTTGACATTGACTATTGTGATCATATGGTTTTTCTCTCTTAATTTATTGATATGTTTATTTTCTTTTCTACTTTTTTGTTGGTTTCTTATTTCAGTGATTCTCCTTTTCTTTGTTTCTAGATAGTAATTTCTTTTTAAATTTCTTCTTTGATCCTGGTGTTATCTAGGACTGTGGTTCTTATTTATAAGTAGTTCAGATTTATTAGTTCCCTTTTTACAGTTTCTTTCTAATTTTATTGGCTCATGGCTGCAGAATGTAGCCTATCAAAGCTTTATTGTTTTTATCATGCTCATTTTTTATAAAGTTTTATGCATATTTTAAAAATAATGTATGTTCTCTATTTAAAGGATTTAACATTATGTATTGATTGTATCAAGGCTATTGATATTATTATTTAGTTCCTCTATGTTCTGACTTTGAAAATGTACTACATAGATTTGAATTTATGAGAGACAAATCTGGACATCCTGCAGGCTCATTGCCTTCTCCCTCTTAGAAGCCTAGTAGAGATTTGACTCCAATGGACTGAGCCAGCCTGGCAAGAGACAGGCAGTTGTCATCATTCCCAGCAAGCAAAGCTGTTCCCAGGGCCCTCCCCATGCAGACTGCTAGCACTGATCTTGGACCTGGAAGATCTCAAGACACATTTTAGTTACTCAGAAAAACCAGGTTCCCTAGCCTCTGTTGGACTTACCCCATAAATATGTAATGTGATGGGCAGTGGGGCTTGTTCTCTGTGGAGTGCCCTGGGTGGAACATTAGTCCTCTGGCCATGCTGCACCTAGGATGTTTAGAACCAGACTATTCTGTGGGATAACAACCGTTTCAGGGCAGTGCTCTGCTGCTCTCTGCTTATAAGTTTTCTCCCAACAAACCCAATGTCACCGCAGCACAGGGCATTAGTGATGTGTGCTCACGGCCCTGGCATGACACAAGTCTACCCCTCTTTAGAGGGATAATTAAGCCTCCCACTAAAATTTTGGGTTTTTTTTAATCAAGTTCTCTTTTTATTTTGTTTTGGATTTATTGCCACAGATGGCATACAGTTTGGTGCATAAATGTTTATGACTTTTTTCATCAATTGTGTAGTTAATCATTATAGAGTGTCTCCCTTTATTCCACTGAGTGTTTTAGTCCTAAATTCCACTTTATTTGATACTAATATTACTCTTCCTGGGTGATTTTGGTTTCCATTTGTTGCATTTGTCCATTCCTTTTATCATTCCTATTGTTATCTTGTAATTGTATTTCTTCTAAATAACATATATTTGAGTTTTTCCTTATATGCCAAAATGATTAGTAATATTTATTTATTTGTTTGTTTTAAAGACAGGGTCTTGCTCTGTTGCCCAGGCTAGAGTGGCACAGTCATAGCCCACTGTACCCTCAAACTCCTGGGCTCAAGCTATGCTCCCACCTTAGCCTTCCAAGTAGCTGGGACTACAGGCGTAACCACCACACCTGGCTAATTTTTAAAAACTTGTTGTAGAGATGAGATCTTGCTATGTTGCCTAGGGCTGGTCTCAAACTCCTGGCCTCTAGCAATTCTCCTGCCTCGGCCTCCCAAAGCACTGGGATTACAGATGTGAGCCACCACACCTAGCCAATTTCTTAATAGATGATTTCAAATTATTATATTTAATGTGATAACTAATGCATCTTGTATGTTATATATGTATACATAATAAATGTGTTACTCTATATTTATTACTTACTTTAGATTGTTGTGGGGTTTTTTTCTGTCTTCTTTTTTACTGGTTTGATGTATTGGCCTTTCTTAAAATCTTGATAGTTTAGAGATTCTGCTGTGTGTCTGCATCCCACTGCTAGTAACTGTCCCTTTCTCTATTGTCTTAATCAATACATATGAAGCTAGTGTTATTTATAAGCAAGATATCTACTATTTTCCGGTCGATATGTAGTATTCTCTCACAATGACACTGTAATTTCTCACAATCTCCTATCTTCACCCTTTCTTTTCCTGTTGCCCTTTGAGTTTTTGAAAGCTTTTAAATCCTCCTCCTACTCAAACCCACCCCCAGATTCTAGGTTTGGCTGAGATCACTTAGAATTTCCTTTTCAGTATTTCTCCCCTGCTTCAGAATGGCTCATTCACCTTTCATAATACATATTACCAAAACCAGGGGGTTGTCCAAGGGGATTCAGTGGAAGCAGAGAATGTCACAGAGAGTTCACAAAATGCCTCGTGAAGAGGCTAATATTTGTTTGTGAAATTTCTATGTAGTCTAAATATGCTCAACTTTAATTATTTCCCCAAAAACGTCCATGAGGATAATGCCATTTAATAGAAGATCAGAGGAACATATTAGACTGAGAGAGAGTGGAGAACGTGGCCATTTCAAACTAGCAGTTTACGCAAAAGGGCACAGAAGTGGGAAAGAACAAAGAGGTATGTAGGGAAGGCAGAAGTAGCCAATATTTTTTCCCAGGAAAAAAATGGGGACAGAGGAACTGGTAGAGAAATTTTACATTGCCTTTCATACATTTGTTAAGTCAATTCAATATTTATTTTTGCTCTGTTACATGCTAGACAGTCTTCCGAGTGCACGCTGCTAGATCTAGGACATGAAATTCCCTTCATGCAGGACAGACAGCAAGGCCAGCAACATGACACAGAAGCACAGGGGGCTGGGAGAGCGCAGAGCAGGCACTTCTAGCCTGGTCAGGCAGGAGTTTGGGGGTTGGGCTTGAGACAAAGCATCCTCAGAGGAAGTAGCATTGAAGCTGACAATCGTAAGCTGAAAATGCAGCAGGGAACTAAAGGAAGATAGGGAAAGGAGGGCCAGCGAGGGTTTCAGACACGTGCAAAAGCCTACGATGAGGGAAATCTGGGGGCATCCAAGGAAATTCAAGTAATTTTTACCTACTGATGACCATATAGACTGTCTTCTCTTGAATTATTCTACTTTTTCTTCCTATAATTTATTTATGTATTTAATATTTTTTAGAGACAGGGTCTTGCTATGTTGCCTCAGCTGGACTCACGGGCTGAAGCGATCCTCCCACCATAACCTCTTGAGTAGCTGAGATTACAAGTGCTTGCCACCACACCTGGCTTTACAGAATTTTTTCATGTGCTATTTATTGGGCTTGGCTCAATTATCCTTGTGCCTCCAGTCACAACTGGACTCTAAATGCTGTTAATCCAGAGACAAAATGGATTCCAAGTGAAGGGTCTCTTGCTTCGCAGCCAGGATTCAGTACCAGCCGTCTCCCTCCAAACGGGGCTATATTCATGAGATTTTGCTGGGATTCCTTATTCCTATTTTGTATTAACACCTCATGTGTTTCCCAGGAATGGAATCATGAGTCAGCCTTCTGTGTCTTCTCCCAAGTCCAATCACCCTTCTCCCTGTGGGGTCTTTCAGCTTCAATTCAAAAAACTTTTTCAATTTTATGGAATAGTTTATTCGTGTGTGTGTGTGTGTGTGTGTGTGTGTGTGTGAATAAGGTGATTGCTTAACTTGGTAACACGGCTGTTATTCACATTGCAACACCCTGGCCTTTGACTTCAGAGCTTGTGTGTCCTGAGAACTTCCTTCCTGAGGACTTTTGGTATTTCACCAGAACCCTAAGCCAGCTGCTGTGGAAATGTAGACAACAATTTCCCTAAACCATCTCAGTGTCTTGCTAGATCACAGCCACCCGTCTAGGCAAGAGATGAAAGAGACTTACCCTGGCAAATTGATAGCCTACCTACCTGCTGAGAAAGAGAAGGAAGGGTCTTCACCCCAGTCAGAATGATTCTAGGACCAGGAAGGGCGGAACTCAAGGATGTTTAAGGAAAAATATATTGACTTAGGAGAAATCATCCATGAATTGGGACTCAACCTAGCAAGGCCATCTTGAGCTGGTTCTCATACGCTACTGTGATGGCTCCTTAAGGGTTGGAGGTGATGTCAATGGCAGATGGGACAGAAGTACTGGGACAGCCTTGGCAGAGCCTTGAGGAAGGAGTCAGAGGCTGGCAGAGGTGGGTGTATCAGAATGGATGTCTTACGTGACTCGAAAGAACAAGTCACTTGATGTGTTTTTCAAGAAGACCCAGAGGATACCCTCTCTGTAAGAGCTCTTTTAATTCAATAACATTTCTTCAGTTAAGAAAAGACTACTGGTAAAAGCCTTTTTTGTAGACCTGGGTCTACAGTAGATAATGCCCCATGGTACTGGGGTCTCTGGCATAAACAGAGAAGGTAGAATTCTTGAATGGCAGAGGCCAGATGTCAGGCATATGGTCAGCAAGGCAGGAGTGGCCACCAGGAATCTGACCCACAAGAATCCATGGCTATAACAAATAGGCCAGGGTATCCAGGGCAAGAAATATGAGTAGCCAGCTGGGGTGTCACTTAACTTGTATGACCAGAAAAAACATCAGAAGCTAACACTAGTGCCACAGTGTAAAATTTTAATCCCACACCAATTTTCTTTCCTTTCCTTTTTCTTTCTCGTTTTTGTTTGTCTGCTTTGTTTTTGGAGATAGGGTCTTACTCTGTCACCCAGGTTGGAGGGCGGTTGTTCCACCATGGCTCTGCAGCCTCGAATTCCTGGGCTCAAGTGATCCTCCCACCTCAGCCTCCCAAGTAGCTGGGACTACAGGTGCATGCCACCATGCCCAGCTAATTCAATTTTTTTTTTTTTTTTTTTTTTTAGAGACAGGGTCTCACTATGTTGCCCAGGCTAGCAGGCTAGTCTTGAACTCCTGGCTCAAACAATCTTCCTACCTCAGCTTCCCAAATTGCCGGATGGCAGGCATGAGCCATAGCACCTGCCGCACACCAATTTTCATCCTGAAGCCAGTTAATTGACACAGAAATTCTGAGTCAAGGAAGTACCCTGTCATGGCACCACAAGCATATGTGATACATATTTCCTCAACTTTCCCCCCAAAAGACCTGTGGCCACTTACCAGAGTCTCTGGGTATTGAGGAAAGGGGAATAACAAATATTTAAAGGTTTACCAAATACAGATCAGAACCAATGCTGATAGCAAGGACACAAAATGTCATGTATGGCCTCCCACTTAGAATGGGGGCTTACGCAGGCCAGGTGGGAGACACAGCCCCAGCGCAGGCATATCTCACAGGGAACTCATGGTTAGTTCCTTAGCCTCTGAGTGCATACATGCAAAGGGTATATTTAAAGCTGGCAAAACCTTTTCATTGCTTTCCTGTTCAGTGAAGCAGCAGCCACTTTGGTAAGAAGAGCCAAGTAGAAGCTCCTGAAACTGTTCCCACTCCCAACAAGAGTATTAATCAGAGGGAAGCAAAGCTTTGTGTCAGAAGGAATTGCAGACATTGGCATCATCATCAAAGACTTAAAGGTTGCAGAAAAGTGGTTGTCATCATATCCCTGTTTAATTATTTATATGGCCCCTAAAGAAATCGGATTAATTATGGCAGATACACTACTGTAAACCTAACCAAGTAGTAGACTCAATTAAAACTGCTGGTGTGCCATCTTTACTAGAACAGATTAATACAGCCTCTGGTACTTGATTTAGCAAGTAGCATCTTTTAAACCCTAGCAGCAAGAAAGAGAAAAAGCAATTTGCTTTTACATAGGAATGACAGCAATATACTCACATGTCATTCCCCAAAGTATCTGAAACCTCTACTTTCTGTCACAGTAAGGTTGCAAGGCAAGACTAAATGAACTTAAATATAAGACAACATTTTGTCCCAAAACATCCCTCAGAAAAAAGGAAGTTACCTTACATTCAACTAACTCTTTACAAAGTCCCTCATTGTGGAGTTCTCTCTCAATTACTTTATTTTGAATAACAAAGTACTGCTTGGGGAAGGCTCATGAGTCAGAAGGGACATAGTGCTGGCGTGGTATTCTATCAAGAGGTCACTTGATAGAATCAGTTTAAAATGAAGCAAAACAGATGTAGCACCCATTTCGTAATTATAATTACATTATAATATATAATATAATAATTAGATAAATATATATTCTTGATCTGTCATTCTTCACTAGAATTTTAAGTTCTAAAAAGACAGAAACTTTGTTCACTTTTATATTTCTGTGCCTAGAACAGTGGCTAGCACATGGAAAATAATAAATATTCTTGAATGAATAACTGAGTTTGTATTCCTGGGGATATGAACACACAATTGCAAGTGCTGGAAATTGATGACCTTCTAAAGATCACCTTAAAAAAGAAAACAGTAGAATAAGTCATTTATCCTGGAGAAATAACAATTTATTTTCAGGCAAAAACCTGTACATGCATGTTCATAGCAGCTTTTTTTATAATAGCTAAAAACTGGAAACAGCTCAGATGTCTTTCAATGGGTAAATAGCTAAAGAAACTGTAATACATCCATGCCATAGAAAGCTACTCAACAGTCAAAAAAAAAAAAGAACTATTTGATACACGTTTTGGATGAATCTCTAGGCAATTACGTTGGATTTTTTTTTAAAAAACTGATCCCAAAAGTTTACATAGCATCTGATTCCATTATATTATATTTTTGAAATGACAAAATTATGAAAGTAAAGAACAGATCAGTGGTTTCTAGGGGGTTAGGTATGGGTGGTGGGAGGATGGGAGGTGGGTATGGTTATAAAAAGCAGCAGCAGGGATCCTTGTGATTCAGTATCTTGACTGTGATGTTGGACACACGAAACTACATATGTGGTAAAACTACATAGAGTTAAACACACATACACACACACATGCACATACAAATGAACACATGAAAATCTGGAGAAATCTGAGTAAGATCGGATATATCCATGTCAGTTTTCTGGTTGTAATATTGTACTATAGTTTTGCAAAATGTTACCATTGTTGGAAGCTAGGTAATGGGATGATAGTACGGTAGGGTCCTTTTGTATTAATTAAAAAAAAAAAAAAAAAAAAAAAGACAGGGTCTCACTCTGTCGCCCAGGCTGAGTTCCCTGCAGCCTCAAATTCCTGGGCTTTTTAAAGTGATCCTCCCACCTCCATCTCAGCCTCTTGAGCAGCTAGGACTACAGATTATTTCTTTCTTTTTTTTTTTTTTTTAACAGAGTCTCACTCTGTCACCCAGGCTAGAGTGTAGTGGTGCGATCTCAGCTCACTGCAACCTCCACCTCCCGGGTTCAAGTGATTCTCCTGCCTCAGCCTCCTGAGTAGCTGGGATTACAGGCGTGCGCCACCACCACACCTGGCTAATTTTTGTATTTTTAGTAGAGACGGGTTTGTTTCACTATGTTAGCCAGGCTGGTCATGAATTCTTGACCTCAAGTGATCTGCCCACCTCAGACTCCCAAAGTGCTGGAATTATAGGCGTGAGTGTATCTATCACTTCTTAAAACAGCATATAGCTGTAAAATGGTTTCAAAATAAGAAGGTTTTACATAAATTAATATAACAAGTAGTTAAGTATATATGTGTAAAGGACATCTGCCTTGCTATTATGGGAAGGGGAAACGTACCCTGGATAGAATTTCCAGCAACAGTATTAACTCATATTCAAAAGGTGCTGCACCTCACACAACCTAGTGACAGTGAGGATGATGTGCCCCTACGATCATGTTAGGTAACTCAAAAAATGGCTCGAGTTGATGACAGAGACATTAAAGTAAAGAGACTTAGAGAAACTTTGAATAAAATTATTTCTTAAAATGTGAGAATTGAATAAAGTACTACTTCCAAATTAATGTATTATCTAATATATGAAATTTTAAATGTGGAAAACTAAATTAATAAACAATTATAGGTAGACATTTGACCACTGCACTTACTTTCCTAAAACTTTACTTATTCAAGTTTTTAGAAAACTTTTTGTTGGGAAAATGGAAGAAAATCACCTTGTGTTCAGGATGACCTATATATTTAATATGGACTATTACTGGTGAGAAAACTTAGGCTCAAAGAGGTTGTGTGACTGTTTAATGCCACAAGGTTTGAAAGCGGCAGAGCCAGGATGACAGCCCAGTGAGTTTAACTCAAGACACAGAAGGAATCTCATAGGCCTTTGATTTCCTTACCAACAAAATCTGACCAAGACGTTCTCTAAATCCCCTCTCAATGACAACTCAAAGCAATTCCCTCCTCTTCGTTTGCTGAGCCACAGTGCAGCCTGATTTTAATTTTCATATTGGATCATCGGGTTTTTTGTTTTTTTGTTTTTGTTTTTGAGACAGAGTCTCACTCTGTCACCCAGGCTGGAGTGCAGGGCCGTGATCTCGGCTCATGGTAACCTCCGCCTCCCAGGTTCAAGCAAATTCTCCTGCCTCAGCCTCCGGAGTAGCTGGGACTACGACTACAAGCACGTGCCACCATCCCCAGCTAATTTTTGAATTTTTAGTAGAGACATGGTTTCCTCATGTTGGCCAGGATGGTCTTGAACTCCTGACCTCAGGTGATCTGCCTGCCTTGGCTTCCCAATGTGCTGGGATTACAGGCATGAGCCACCGCGCCTGGCCATATGGGGTTTTCAGCTGCGTTTCCATTGTGCTGCACATGTCTTTCATGTTTCCCATGCACATTTCACGTGGAGTTACAGGACCTTTTTTTTCTTTTTTCTTTTTTCTTTTTTTTTTTTTTTTTGAGACGGAGTTTCACTCTTGTTGCCCAGGCTGGAGTGCAATGGAGCAATCTCGGTTCACCACAACCTCCGCCTCCTGGGTTCAAGCGATTCTCCTGTTTCAGCCTCCTGAGTAGCTGGGATTACAGGCATGGACTGCCACGCCCAGCTAATTTTGTATGTTTTAGAAGAGACAGGGTTTCTTTGTGTTGGTGAGGTTGGTCTTGAACTCCTGACCTCAGGTGATGCGCCCACCTTGGCCTCCCAAAGTGCTGGGATTACAGGCGTGAGCCACCCCGCCCGGCCAGGACCTTTGAATATAGGTACACGCTTTGAAATATATTGTGCAAATGCCAGAGTCTTCCTGGAACCATGGGACCTCGTGGAACTCAAAGCCAAACCAAACCCCAACCGAAGACGCTCCTCACAGGCTCCCCCTGGAGGCCCAATGAAGAATTTGATGTTTTGACATCAACAAGAGTAAAAACAATGCGTGATGTAGGGTAGGTATCGAGCAACTTTCCTATAAAGGGCCAGGTAGTAAATATTTTAGGATTTTGGGGCCATACAATTTCTGTCACAACTGTGTAACCCTACCATCATAGCACAAAGTCAACCATAGATAACACATAAATGAATGAGTGTGACTGTGTTCAATAAGACTTTACTGACACTGAAATTTGGATTTCATATAATTTTTATGTATCATAAAATATTACTTGGATACTTTTCCAACTGCTTAAAAATGAAAAAAAAAATTGGCCCATGGGTCATATAAAGATAGGCGGCAAACCAAATTGGCTCTCGGGCCATAGCTTGCTGACCCTCATACAGAAAAATGAACACTAGATTTAGAGAAGTCCCAGGCTGGAGAACCGCTACTTTTGCTTGTACAATGTGAGACACTGGGCGAGTCAAATGAGTTCAAATAAATTCTTAGGGCCTTGATTTACTGTTAAAGCATTGGATTAGATTAACCTTAAAAGGGCCGGGCGCGGTGGCTCACGCCTGTAATCCCAGCACTTTGGGAGGCCGAGGCGGGCGGATCACGAGGTCAGGAGATCGAGACCATCCTGGCTAACACGGTGAAACCCCGTCTCTACTAAAAATACAAAAAATTAGCCGGGCGAGGTGGCGGGCGCCTGTAGTCCCAGCTACTCGGGAGGCTGAGGCAGGAGAATGGCGTGAAGCCCAGGGGGCGGAGCCTGCAGTGAGCCGAGATTGCGCCACTGCACTCCAGCCTGGGCGACAGCGAGACTCCGTCTCAAAAAAAAAAAAAAAAAAAAAAAAAAAAGATTAACCTTAAAAGCCCCTTCAGCCCTAAAAACTCTCTAGTGGCTTCTGTTTCCAGTGGCTTCTGTTTCCAGTGGCCTCTGCATATGGCAGACTGGTTGAGCTTTTAAAAAATTCCTTTCAATACAAAATACATTAAAATTCTGGGTAAAATAAAATGTCGTTCAAAAAACCCTCACTAAGGCCGGGCATGGTGGCTCATGCCTGTAATCTCAGCACTTTGTGAGGCTGAGGTGGGTGGATCACAAGGCCAGAAGTTCAAGACCAGCCTGGCCAACATGCCAAAGCCCCGTCTCTACTAAAAATACCAAAATTAGCCAGGCGTGGTGGTGGGCACCTGCTACTCGGGAGGCTGAGGCAGGAGAATCGCTTGACTCTGGGGGACAGAGGTTGCAGTGAGCTGAGATTGTGCCACTGTACTCCAGCCTGGGTGACAGAGCAAGACTCCGGAAAAAAAAAAAAAAAACCCTCACTGAGCTGGCAAGAGCATAAAGAAATTCCTCAGAGGTCAAAAATGACCCCAAAAGCAAAAATTCAGAGTCCTCAAAAAAGCCTTTAGTCTCACAGCATTCCTGGGAATGCCTGCACATCTCTAAAACCCTAGAAGTTCTTCTTCAAACTGATAAAGAGAATCCACTGCACATCTCTAAAACCCTAGAAGTTCTTCTTCAAACTGATAAAGAGAATCCACAAAAATCCAGCCAGGTGCAGCGGCTCATACCTGCAATCCCAGCACTTTGGGAGGCGGAGGCGGGTAGATCATTTGAGGTCAGAAATTCAAGACCAGCCTGGCCAACATGGTGAAACTCCGTCTCTACTAAAAATACAAAAATTAGCCAAGCATGGTGTTGGGCACCTGTAGTCCCAGCTACTCAGGAGGCTGAGGCAGGAGAATCGCTTGAACCCAGGAAGCGGAGGTTACAGTGAGCCAAGATGGTACCACTGCACTCCAGCCTGGGCAACAGAATGAGACTCCGTCTCAAAAAAAAAAAAGAAAAGAAAAAGAAAAAAACAGAATTTTTTTACTTCTTACTAGCCAATCTCTCATTATTCTAATCCCTTGTTATAGTGAATAATTTTTAAATTTTTAATATTAAACTTTGCCTGTTTAAATTATTGTACAGTTGCCTTCTCCTGATCGGACTCAGATATATAAACTCAGGCTATCCTTTTATAAACTCTGGCCTAACAACTGTATTTTTATATCCTAGCATCAATCAATAGGAAAATAAAAAATTGAAAATTCCATTTACAATCATACCAAGAAACATCAAATGCACAGAAATAAATTTAACCAGAGATGTACATGACCTCTTTGCTGAAAACTATGTAACATTGCTGAGAGAAATTCAAGAAGACTTAAAGAAAGAAATACATTACATTTCTAGATGGGAAAACTCAATACTTTTATTTTATTTTATTTTTGAGACAAGGTCTTGCTCTGTTGCCAAGGCTGGAATACAGTGGCACAATCATAGTTCACTGCCGCCTCAAACTCCTGGGTTCAAGCAATCCTCCCACCTCAGCCCCCAGAGTAGCTAGGACTGCAGGCATATCCCACTGTGCCCAGCTAATTTTTTTTTTTTTTTTTTTTTTGTAGAGATGGGGTCTTACTTTGTTGGCCAGGCTGGTCTTGAACTCCTGGGCTCAAGTGATCCCTCTGCCTCAGCCTCGCAAATTGCTGGGATTACAGTCATGAGCCACCATGCCTAGCCAAAAACTCAGTACTTTTAGTTGTCAGTTCTCTCCAAATTCATCTATGGATTTAATGCAATTCTAATCATAATTTCAGAAAAGGTTTTTTTAATAAATCAAATAGTTAATTTTTAAATTTATATGAAGATGCAGAGGCCTGGAATAGCCATAGCAATCTTTAAAAAAAAAAAAGGCCAAAATTTTACATGACCTGAGTTCAAGACTTATTATAAAATTATACTAATCAAGACAGGGTAGTACTGGTATAAGAACTGACAAATAGATCAATAGAAAAAGAAAAAATGAGCCCAGAATAGAACCATGCCTGTACCATCATTTGATTTTCAACAATGATGCCAAAGCACATCAGTGAGGAAAGGAAAGTCTATCCAATAAATTATCCCAGAATACTTGATATTCATATGGAAAAAATAATAACAAACCTCAGATCCTACCTTATAGTATACCCAGAAACTAACTCAAGATGGATCAGAGACCTAATTATAAAAGCTAAAACCATAAAGCTTTTAGGAAAAAAAAATTGAGAGAACATCTTCATGACTAGAGAAGAGGCAAAAGTTTCTTAGGACACTGGAAGCAGTCATCATAACAGAAAATATTGATAAATTGACTTTACCAGAATTTAAAACTTCTATTCATCAAAAATCACACTTATGAAAACAAATAGGCAGGCCAAAGAATGGGAGAAAATATTTACAAAACAAATATCTGACAAACGGACTGGTAGTCAAGATCCATAAGAAACTCCTAATACTTGCCCGGGCGCGGTGGCTCACGCCTGTAATCCCAGCACTTTGGGAGGCCGAGGCGGGTAGATCACCTGAGGTCAGGAGTTTGAAACAAGCCTGGCCAATATGGTGAAACCCAGTCTCTACTAAAAAGACAAAAAAATTAGCCGGGCATGGTGCAGGCGCCTATAATCCTAGCTAATTGGGAGGCTGAGGCACGAAAATCGCTTGACCCTGGGAGGCGGAGGTTGCAGTGAGCTAAGACTGCGCCATTGCACTCCAGCCTGAGCAACAAGAACGAAACTCCATCTCAAAAACAACAACAAAAAAAGACAAACAACCCAACTTAAAATATGGGTAAAAGATTTGAACAGATTTCCTAACTGTGTATGAATGGCAATAAACACATGAGAAAGTGCTCAATATCCTTAGTCATCAGGGAAAAGCAAGTTTAAACCAAATGAGATACCACTCCATGCTAAAATTCAATAGCCAAAATTTAAAATGCTTATGACACTAAATGTTGGCAACAATGTAGGAAAACTGGAATTCTTGCATTATTCGTGGGAAGGAAAAATGTTGAAACTCCTTGATACGGTTTGGCTCTGTGTCCCCACTCAACTCTCATCTCAAATTGTAATCCCCACATGTCAAGGGAGGGACCTGGTGGAAGGTGATTGGATCATGCGGGCCGTTTCCCCCATGCTGTTCTCGTGATAGTGAGTTCTCACGAGATCCAATGGGGTTTTTCTCTCTCTCTCTCTCTCTCTCTCTCTCTCTCTCCCTCCCTCTCCCTCCCCCTCCCCCTCCCCCCCCCCCCTTCTGCTACCGTGGGAGATATGCCTTGTTTCTCCTTCACGTTCCACCATGATTGTAAGTTTCTGGAAACCTCCCCAGCCATGCAGAGACTGTGAGTCAATTAAACCTCTTTTCTTTATAAATTACCCAGTCTCAAGTAGTTATTTTTTTCTCTTTTTTTTTTTTTTTTTTGAGACGGAGTCTCACTCTGTTGCCCAGGCTGGAGTGCAACGGCGCTGTCTCCGTTCCCTGTAACCTCTTCCTCTTGGGTTCAAGCGATTCTCTTGCCTCAGCCCCACCAAGTAGCTGGGATTACAGGCGCCCGCCACCACGCCCAGCTTATTTTTGTATTTTTAGTGGAGACGGGGTCTTCACATGTTGGTCAGGCTTGTCTCGAACTCCTGACCTCAGATGATCCACCCGCCTCGGCCTCCGAAAGTGCTGGGATTACAGGCGTAAATTACCACGCCCAGCCTTCAGGTAGTTCTTTATAGCAGTGTGAGAATGGACTAATACACCCCTTCAAAAACATGTAAAACATACACCTATGCTGTGACTCAACAATGAGAAATAAAAACATGTTTATGCAAACACTTATATAAGAATGCTTATAGCAGCTTTGTTCTTAATAGTCAAATCCCGAGTATTAATAGGAGGCTGGAATAAACAAACTGTGGTTTATAAAATTACCTTCATTAAAAAAGAATGAGCTACTGATACATGAAGCAGCATGGATGCCTCTCAAAACTCTTATGCTAACTGAAAGGAACCTCGCACACAAGCGTGCATGCTGTACAACTCCACCTATGAGAAATTCTACAACAGGCAAATCTAATCTATGACGGAAAAAATCAGAATAGTCGTTATGTCTGAAAGGGTAAAGTTAAGAATTGACTTGGGACAGCCAGGTGCAGTGGTGTGCACCAGAGTCCCAGCTACTTGGGAGGCTGAGGTGGGAGGATTGCATGAGCCCAGAAGTTTGAGGCTGCAGTGTGCTGTGATCACACCACTACATTCCAGCTTGTGCAACAGAGCGAGACCCTGTCTCTGAAAAACAAACAAACAAACAAATAATTGACTAGGGAGAGCATAAAGAAAATTTCTGAAGTGACGGTGATGTTTTATCACTTGATATGGGTTTGCATTACATAAAAGAATGCATTTTTCAAAATGTACACTTAAGATTTGAACATTTCATTGTATCTGAAGTTTACATTAAATGAAATATATATATATATACACACATACACATATATACGTGTGTGTGTGTGTTTGTGTGTGTGTGATGAAATCACCCCAAATAGCTGGAATTACCAGCAGATTGTGTAGTGGTGAACCTACAATTTTCTGAAGAAAAAGAAATATACTCAAAAATAAATATTGAACTCAATAATACGCATGTTTACATATGCACTGATGTCTTATTTTACTTTGAAATGGATGGATAATGGAAAAATGCATATTGAAACACATGTAGCAAACTGCTTATGGTGAAATCTTGGCAGTGGGTTTATGAGTTTTCATTGTAAAATTCTTTAACTTTTCTACATACTTAGAATTTTTCATAAGATATTGAGAAAAACCTTGAAAAACAAAAATACAAGAAAATGGGACTTTGAGGTAATAGAAATTTTCTTAAGACAAAAATGCACAGAAGATACATTTTACCACATTAACACAAAGAAACATTGGTCAGCAAAAGACATCGTGAAGAAAGGGAAGAGTGAAAATAAGCACCTGTAATCCCAGCACTTTGGGAGGCCAAGGCGGGCAGATCACCTGTGGTCAGGAGTTCAAGACCAGCCTGGCCAACATGGCGAAACACTGTCTCTACTAAAAATACAAAAATTAGCCAGGCGTGGTGGCACACACCTGTAATCCCAGCTTTCAGGAGGCTGAGGCAGGAGAATCGCTGAAACCCGGGAAGCAGAGGTTGAAGTGAGCCAACATCGCACCACTGCACTCCAGCCTGGGTGACACAGCAAGACTCCGTCTCTAAATAAATAAATAAGTAAATAAATAAATAAATAAATCTGAATGATCCATGTGGGTCCAATGATACCATCACATGTCCTTATAAGAGGGAGTCAAGGGAAACAACTACCGAAGTGGAGACGGTGCTGCGATGTTGCCAGCAGGTGCTGGATGATCACTGTCAAGGACTCCAGGCAGCATTAACAGCTGAAGGGAACCGACGGTCCCCTCAGAGCATCCAAAAGGGGTCATTCCTGCCAAAATCTTGCCCTTCACACAGGAAAACTGCTGTCCCAACTTCTGACTTCCAGAGCTTAAGGGAATACATTTGCATTGCTTTCAGCCACGAAGTTTGTGGCGATTTGTCACAGCAGCAATAGGAATCTGACACAGGGAAGAAGTGGCTCTGAAAGTTCTACGTTGCTGCCAGGGCTATACATTGGTTTAACCATTTTAGAAAATAGTTTGTAATTATCTGGATAAACTGAAGATGTGTGTACCCTATACTCAGCCATCCCATGCTAAGACAAATACTCCGAAGAAATTATTGCATATATGCACCAGGAAACAGGCAAAACAATGTTTATAACATCATTACCACAATAGCAAACAAAGAAACTACCTCAATTTCATAAGCAGGCAAATTTATATATAAACTATGGTGAAATCCTATAACGGAATATTTTACAGCATGGAAAATTAGTGAAATACAGCATTAGTACTGATGACTCTCAAAAACTTAACTATAGGAGGAAAAGCAGGTCTGGGAAAAATGCATACTTTATTAAAATACGTTTATATGTATTCATATATATTTACCAAAACAGGCAAAATTTTAAAAAATATTACTTAGAGATACATATATATAGAGAGAAACTATAACAAAAGAAACAATGAGGGCCGGGCACGGTGGCTCACGCCTGTAATCCCAGCACTTTGGGAGGCCAAGGTGGGTGGATCACTTAAGGCCAGGAGTTCAAGACCAGCCTGGCCAACATGGTGAAACCCTGTCTCTACTAAAAATACAAAACTTAGCTGGGCATGGTGGTGCACACCCGTAATCCCTATTCAGGAGGCTGAGGCAGGAGAAGCGCTTGAACCCAGGAGGCAGAGGCCTCAGTGAGCCGAGATCACACCACTGCACTCCAGCCTGGGTGACAGACTGAGACTCCATCTCAAAAAAAAAAAAAAAAAAAGAAACAATAATTATAAAATTTAAGAGTAGTAGCCTCTGAGGAGGGAAAAAGAAAGAAGTGACAATAATGTCCTATTTTCCACACCCAGGTACTCTTTTTCTCTTTTTATCCCTTAACTTGCCAACTCCATTTAAAAAAAAATAAGAAATCTTTAAAATTCATCTCCTTTCTCTCCCAACTCCTCTTAAAACATGGTAAGATAGTGCATTCTTAGGATTCTTTTTCTTTTCTTCTTATATTACACAATTCCAGAAAATTTATTTATCCTATTCACTTGTTTCAAATATACATATTTTTTCCGACTTTTCTCTCCCTTAAGAGTTTTCTGTTTCTTTATTGTTTTGTCTTGATCTTTTCTCAATATTTTCTTCAGACAAAATAAGGGATTACATACTCTATGAATTCTTGTCCATACACAAACATCTTATTTCCTGTAGGTGAATCATGTCTTCGCTAGGTATGGAATTCTTGCTTGGAAGACCTTTATTTCAATGGTCTACACAAGTTCACAAGTTCTTCTCCTGTCTTCTTTTTTTTGGAGACGGAGTCTCGCCCTGTTGCGCAGGCTGGAGTGCAGTGGTGCTATCTTGGCTCATGGCATCCTCCACCTCCCGGGTTCAAGCAATTCTCCTGCCTCAGCCTCCGGAGTAGCTGGGGTTTCAGGCGCCCACCACCACGCCCGGCTAATTTTTGTATTTTTGGTAGAGACAGGGTTTCACCATGTTGGTCAGGCTGGTCTTGAACTCCTGACCTCAAGTGATCCACCTGCCTCGGCCTCTCTACTAAAAATACAAAAAAAATTAGCCATATTTGGTGGCACGCACCTGTAATCACGGCTACTCGGGCCACAGAGGCATGAGAATCCCTTGAACCTGAGAGGAGGAGATTACGGTGACCTGAGATCGCGCCACTGCACTCCAGCCTGGGTGACAAAGTGACTCTATCTCAAAAAAATAAAAATTGGTCAAAGGATATGAATAGGCAATATGGAAAAAAGCAAGTCCGAATGACCAGTGAGCATATTAAAAAGGTGGTCAAATTCACTAGTAGTTAGGGAAGTATAAGTTAAAATAACAAGATTTTATGTTACACCCATCAAACTATAAAAAATTCATAAAGCGCTGTAACACCTATTGCTAGTAGGGATGTAGGGGAAAGGGTGCTTTCATATCTCGTTCCTTGAAGTGTGAAGTGTTACTGCTTTATGGAAGGTGATCTGACAATTTAAGTTTTTTTTTTTATTTTAAAGTTTAAAATGCATATTCCAGCTGGGCACGGTGGCTCACACCTGTAATCCCAGCACTGTGGGAAGCGGAGTTAGGCAGATAACCCGAGGTCAGGCATTCGAGACCAGCCTGGCCAACATGGCAAAAACCCTCCTCTACTAAAACTACAAAAATTAGCCAGGTGTGATGGCAGGCGCCTGTAGTCCCAGCTACTCTGGAAGCTGAGGCAGGAGAATTGTTTGAACCCAGGAGGCAGAGGTTGCAGTGAGCCGAGATTATACCATTGCACTCCAGCCTGGGCGACAGAGCAAGGCTCCGTCTGAAAAAATAATACTAAAATAAAATAAAATACATATCCCTTCAACCCAGCAATTCTGGTCATGAGGATGGGTCCCACAGAAACACAATCACCAATTTGAAGGGCGTAGGCAAGAACGGTTACTGCAGCGTGTTCATACTGGAGAAAACCCTGGAAACGAAGTGACTGTCCTTCCACCAGGGGGCGCTGCAGTCAGGGTGCAGACTCATCAGGAAATACCATGCAGCCACTTTAAAAAGTGTAAAAGGTGACACCAGTGTTTCTCAGCCTTTTTCTATTATCACCTTCTAGGAGCCTCCTTAGACATTTTCCCCCTAATTGCTCCTCCATGGAATTCTAATACCACAAACATACAGAAACAAACAGCATATCTATTTAGGTACTGTATGTGTCTCTGTGCTTTATACGTAAAAAAAGAGTACGATTTTTTCATACATCCTCTGAGAAGCAATTTTCACCCTCTCTGGGCACGCTGTCACTCCCGTTGGGAATGCATGAACTACATCCATTGAGTTGGAAAGATTTTCTCAGGACATTTTTAAGTGAGAAAAGCAACATGCAGAAAAGTGTATATGATTCCAACTGTAAAATTAATCAAAAAAGCTTCTATGAGTATTTGTGTGTGTGTGTGTGTGTGTGTGTACATGAGATTAAATGAATAGGAAAAAATATGGAAGAATACATTACAGGTTGTTAATATAAGATTACCTTGGAAGGCCGAGTGCGGCAGTTCATGCCTGTAATCCCAGCACTCTGGGAGGCTGAGGCAGGTGGATCACCTAAGGTCAGGAGTTTGAGACCAGCCTGGCCAACATAGTGAAATCCCATCTCTACTAAAAATACGAAAATTGGCCAGGAGTGGTGGCACGTGCCTGTAATCACAGCTACTTGGGAGACTGAGGCAGGAGAATCGCTTGAACTCAGGAGGCAGATGTTGCAGTGAGCCGAGATTGTGCCACTGCACTCCAGCCTGAGTGATAGAATGAGACCCTGTCTAAAAAAAAAAAAAAAAAAAAAAAAAAGGATTACATGGGGTTGGGGAGACCTGATGTAATTGGGGACATGGGGTGGGGGGACAGAAAAGGGAGACAAGCAAAGGAAAAGGGAGAAAGGGAATGTACATGTAATCTCATGTACACACACACACGAAATAAAAAGTACAATATAATCAAATTTATATCAATTATACATGCAGAAAAGATTTGTTTTATTCTTCAGAGAGATGTTCCAAGGCTCTTGCCCCGTGAGAATGAAAAGGAAGAGAGTGATCTCAGCCTACTCAGAAGCAGGGAGCGAGCAGCACCCGTTCCTCCCGCAGGACAGGCTGCAAACGCCCACGCTGCTGCTGTGCGCCTCCCCCAGCTCTGTCCACCCTCTTTCCAATGGAAAGAAAACAAGAACATACTCTTCTGACATTTTTGACTCTTCCAATTTTTTATAATATAGCAGATTCAGTTGCGGACATGAAATATCTCATGTAAGAGAGGCTTTCCTTGGTTCAAGGAGAAAGGGGAGCAAGTCATATGAACACTTCCAGGATCACCCTTCTTCCCAAAACTTTATGCTCTGTTGGCCTAGAGTTCTTAGTTCCAGAGGGAGGAACACTTCCACCAGGAGAAACAACAATGATTCCACTGAGCTGGAAGTTAACATGCCACCCAGCCATTTTGGACACCCCATGCCTCTGAGTCAACAGGCAAAGGGAGTTATGGTGTTAGCTGGGGTGATTGATCTAGAGCACCAAAGGGAAATTGGCCTACTACTCCACAATGGAGGTAAGGAAGAGCATGTCTGGAATACAGGAGATCCCTTTGGGCACCTCTTAGTATTTCCGTACCCTGTGATTAAGGTCAGTGGGAAACTACCATAACCCAATCTAGGCAAACTGGCCTAGATTGGCCAAACCCAAATGGCCCAGACTCTTCAGGACTGAAAGTTTGGGTCACCCTGCCAGGTACAGAATCATAACCAGCTAAGGTGCTTGCTGAGGGCAAAAAGAATACAGAATGAGTAGTAGAAGAAAGTGCTATAAATACCAGCTACAACCACATGATCAGTTACAGAAATAAACACTGTAATGGTCCTATTTTCTAAATATTTTGTTAAGAATATGTTTGTTGGCAGGGCATGGTGGCTTACGCCTGTAATCCCAACACTTTGGGAAGCCCAGGAGGGTGGATCACCTGAGGTCAGGAGTTCATGAACAGCCTGGCCAACATGGTGAAACCCCATCTCTACTAAAAATACAAAAATTAGCCAGGCGTGGTGGCAGGCACCAGTAATCCCAGCTACTAGGGAGGCTGAGGCAGGAGAATCACTTGAACCCGGGAGGTAGAGGTTACAGTGAGCCGAGATTTTGCCACTGCACTGCAGCCTGGGCGACAGAGCACGACTCCATCTCAGAAAAAATATATATATATTTGTGTGCATAGGTACATGTATCAAGCCAATATAGTTTTTCCCTCTGATTGTCTTATAATGTAACATAAGATGTGTTGACTTTACATCACTATTTAAGTATTGTTAATTTTACATCATAGTATTTAAGTTATGAGGTATCAGTAGAAGAATAATCGTTACTCAAAAATTTTACCTCCTCTGCTGGGGAAGAGGTTAGTGTGTTTTCACTTGTATGCAGGCTAGTTGTATCATGTTAGGTAGGATTACGACCTTGTTATTGTCTTTATTTGGAGATTAAGTATGGCTTAAGAAGATGCATCCAGGTGCCAAGTTGATAAGGGATGGACTGGTGATAGTTATTTTCATGTATTAACTTGACTGGATGAAGGTACCAGACAGCTGGCAAAATATTATTTCCTTGTGTGTGTTTGAGGAAAGTCTGGAAGAGATTCGCTCCTGAATTGGTGAACTGAGGAAAGCAGATGCTCCGCCCACCAACGTGGGTAGGCACCATCCAATCTACTGAGGGCCTGAATAGAACCAAAAGGCAGAAAAAGGAAGGATTCATTCCTTCTCCCTCTCTCTGTCTCTCTCTCTTTCCTTGTGCTGAAAAACATCGATCTCAATCTGCCCTTGGACATCGGTGCTCCTAGTTCTTGGGCCTTTGAACTCGGACTGGGACTCACATCATCAGCTCCCCTGGTTCTCAGGCCTTCAGATTCAGATTGAACCGTACCATCGGCTCTCTGGGTTCTCCAGTTTGCAGGCAGCAGACTGTGGGACATCTCAGCCTCCAGAATCCTGTAAGCCAATTCCTATGATAGATAGATGATAGATAGATAGATGATAGATAGATAGATAGATAGATAGATAGATAGATAGATAGATAGATAGACTGACTATTGGTTCTGTTTCTTTGAAGAACCTGCTTAATTCAAGCCTGTGATGGTTAAGTTTAGGTGTCCACTTGACTGGGTTAGGAATACCTAGAGAGCTGGTAAAGGATTGTTTCTGGATGTGTCCATACAGGTATTTCCGGAGGACATTGGCAAGTGAGTCAGTGGACTGAGTGGGGATCTGCCCTCAATGCACCTGAGTGCAGATCACCAATTCACCCCTATCAGCTGGGGGCCCAGATAAAACAAACGGGCAACTTTCTCTCTCTCATGTGGCTGGGCTACACTCTTCTTTTCTGTCCTTGGACATTAGAACTCCAGGCTTTCTGGCTTGTGGACTCCAGGACTTATACCAGCGGCTCTGTGGATCCTCAGGCCTCTGGCCTCAGACCAGAAGTTATACCATGGGCTTCTCTGGCTCTAAGGCCTCCAGACTTGGACTAACCATGCCACTGGCATCCCAGATTCTCCAGGTCACAAATGGCCTTCATGGGACTTCTCAGCCTCCATAATGGCATGAGCCAATCCTTGTAATAATTCCTCTCTCATCTATCTATCTATCTATCTATCTGCCTAACTATATCTCTATTTATTTACCCATCTCTCTATCTCGCTATTCATCCTATTGCCTCTATCTCTCCAGAGGACCCTGACTACTACAAAGCCCCATGATTTTTGGTTGCAGGTTGTCACAACATGAGCAGTTACCGCTTGCTACTTAGTGTGGCTCAGGTGAGCTGTCTTCCTTCTCTATAAGTCGCAGCCTGTTGCAGAGGATGGCAAGCTGCCTGGCCCTCCTTAGGAGAAGGCTTGGCTTTTTCTGCTCATCACATCACCAGCCTCAAGGCTCAGCTTTCTTTCTATTCCCTGGTGGCTGTCTCTCTGCCTCACACCTACTGTTGTCTAACTCTAAAAACAATCATATTTTGGGCAACATTAGTTTAATTTCATAAACATTGCTGAATTCTCAGCAGAATGCTAAGGATCATTAGGAATAATAATAATAAGGTTGATGCAGCCTACACAGAGATGACAGGAGGGCAGGAAAGAACCCGGATGGGCATGGGGTAGAAATGGAGGAGAGAGTTGGCCAGAATAGGAGGTCCAACCCTTGCCAAGGTGGGATCAGGGTCAGAATCACAGAGTCCACTGAGCATTGTCAACTAGGGTTAGATCTGAGTCAAGCTGATGCGCAAGGGTTGGAGCCCCAAGGGCGGGGCAGAGCCATGCAGCAGCATCTAGGAAGCCGCAGTGCTTCTCTGCATCAGACAAGTGGCAGTAATGTGGAGGTCAACACAAAAAGACCAGCATGAGGATCCAGGGACAGCAAGGAGCTGGCAGGAGTGAGGTGGTGCGGTGACCAGGCTGGGCTCAGGGAAGGCTTCCGTCCCAGTGGACGAAGCCCAGAGCCAAGACACAGCCTGGCCATCGCTGTGGAGTTCACATGGGCTTCTGGGGCACCCAGGGGTCCTCAAACACCAGGAGGTCCACCACAGACGAGGGCTCTCCTTGGATCAGGGCAGAACAGAGCCAGTCTACAGAAAGAAACTGACACCAGAAAGACGAAAGGGCTGACACCAGGTTAGTGGGGAAGACAAAACATCTAGGCATGAAACTAGAGAATCATTTGGAGCAGAGTGAATTAAACGCCAAAATGTGTGGAGCAGATGAAGACGGAAGAGGAGAGACCAGTGGGTGCCAATTTGTCCAAAAAGCCTTCAGATCACTCCCTTCATGTCAAGGTTTCTATTTTTTGCCTTGGGGAGGAGACATGATTATGACATTTCTACAATCACTGGAAAATAACATCGCTAAAATTATATTTCTTGGAGGCTTTGGGGTTTTTTTTTCCAAGATGCACATCCTGTGGCTGGGTCCTGCCCAGCCGGCCCCATGTGGCCTGAATTCTTTTGTGCAAGGCCCATGGCTTCCTCCCAAGGGAAGCTCCGTGTCCCTTTCTTGGAAAGCAGACTTGGCTTGTTTGGCAGGATCATGGCCAACTGTCTGGAGGAGGAGGAGAAGGAAGAGGAGGAGGAGGAGGAAGAAGACTTCTCCTAAGTTCCTGACCCCCACCCCATAGCTACCTGCTCAGTACCTGGGTAGGCAGGCACTGAAGATCAGCACAAAAGATGAGCCCCTGACTCTTCCAGGGCCAGGCCGGCTCAGGGACCCCAAAGCCTTTTTTCTTCCAACAGCACAAATGAGAAGCCACATTGCAGTATCAACCTTGAGAATTTCAAATACCTTTGAAACAGGTAAGTTCTGTGAGGGAACATTCCTTTTTCTCTCTTTTCACACCATCTTCTTTTACCTTAAAACAATTTAAGAATGCACTGCACATTTAAGAATGCTTTTTCTCAGAAGGAGGAAAATTAATTTAAAAATGAAGGGCAGAAGTTGGGAAAAATCTAAAGAGCATCCCCAAAGTCACAGGAAAATGCTACATTTTTTAATCTACACCTCATCACCTTGGCACTTTCTGGAATGTGATGAAATTATTTCTTAGATTTGCAAATAGGCATGACCATTTTGAATTTTGAGTATAGTAATTTATTTTTATATAATATATATGTATGTGTGTACAAATGAATGGATAGGTAGATAAATACATGGATAGGTAGAAGACAGATAGATAGATAGATAGATAGATAGATAGATAGATAGATGATAGATAGATAGATAGATAGAAGAGATAGATAATATCGAATAGTAATACACGCGTTTCCCCCACTCCTAAAAGACCTAGGCATAATCTGAGACTTTGGGCCCAGCCTGCAGCAGATAGGCCATGGGCACTCAGCCGGCTGTCTAAGCAGCAAGCCAGCTTTCTCTCCCAACAGTGGCTGTCCTTCCCGCCCTCTCCCCTGCTGCCTGCCTCTGTCCACTGTTTTGAGTCCAGACCAAGCCTTTCCAAGCGATCACAGCCCTTTCAGCCCATTGAGACCGTCAGGCTTTTCTCCTTGCTTCTCCATTCCTTTGGGGACTTAAGAAAATCCCCCAGGGATTGGTCTAACACCACCCATCCTTACCACAGCCAGTAAGCCCACACCATGCTTTTCTGCTGTCTCCAAGATTGATATCCATTCCATAATTTTTCAGTAACTTTTTCCTACCTGGCTACTTTCTCCGCACAAATGCCCAGGAATTCCACAGTTCCTCCTGTTTGTTTAGAGGTTTAAGCCTGGTGCCCCTGAAACCAGACTGACAGCTCTTGACTGTCTCCCAGGATGGGGGGTTGGGGGAGGTGGCAGTGAACCCTCATGAAGGCTGAAGTCCTGAGAGCCCCAGCTGACACCTCAGGGTTCCTGAGGAAGATGTGCAGTCCTCCTCCTCCACCAACACTACACGTTTCATACACAAAAACATTCACGGTGTACACGTGCATGTGCTTATTCATTCATCAGACATTCATGAAGGACTTAGTACGTGCTGGGTATAAAGAGAGAAGAAGGTAAAAATGCTCATGTGCCCACATAATAGTGATTGAGAAAGAGCGTGATCTTAGCCAAGGCATCAGCAAGAAAACACTCAAAAAATAACACTCTTAAGCCCCATAATATAGCTGCTCCTTCAGCTCTGAATTCAGAGAAGCCTGCTCTCACCTCCCCTCCAACTGGTCCCACCTCCACCACCTGCCCATGAGCTGCCTCTCCATCCCTGGCCCCAGGGCCTGCCCAGTTACCTCCTGTCTGCCCAGCCCAACAAGTTCAGGAGGCTGCTATCTTCTTGAGGCTCAAGAGGACCTCAGGACTCTCAGGACCTCTCTTTTCCACAGCCAGGCTGGCCTCTGTGTTCTCTTTTATTCCCTGCTAGGGGCACTGGTTCTCTGCCTACATCCTCTCCTCCTAGGCTCTTCCACCCACACCAGCACTTGAAGCTGCCCTCCTCGACACCAGCTTTTCTCTACCCTTCTCTCTCTACCCTTCCTCCATGAATATGAACATTTTAAGAACTGCATGCTAACCATTCCAGGGAAACAGAGATTAGCAAAATCCAAAGATTCCAGAACTGTACACAGTTCTCAGCCTGCAATCCCTGATCTTCATGTTTCTATCACAAAGGGAAGACCCAAGGGGCTGTTCCTGACCTGAAGCTGTGATTTGTTTGCTGTTCTACAGTAATTTTTAAAAACAAGTTGCCAGCATTTAGAAAGTGAGAGTTCACATTGAAAATGTGAATTTTGAGCTTCTCTTGAAAAATTGCCAACTCTGGGCACACTGGGCCCAAGCTCCCATCCTGGGGTCTCAGACCAGCATCTCTACCCTTCCCCATGTGATATAGTTTGGCTGTGTCCCCACCCAAATCTCACCTTGAATTGTAGCTCCCATAATTCTTATGTGTTACGGGAGGGACCCAATGGGAGATAATTGAATCGTGGGGGTGGTTTCCCCCATACTGTTCTCATGGTAGTAAGTAAGTCTCATAAGATCTGATGGTTTTGTAAGGGGAAAACCCTTGCACTTGATTCCCATTCTCTTGTCTGCCACCATGGAAGACATGCCTTTCGCCTTCCGCCATGATTGTGAAGCCTCCCCAGCCACGTGGAACTGTGGGTCCACTAAACCTCTTTTCCTTTATAAATTATCAGTCTCGGGTATATCAGCAGCATGAAAACGGAGTAATACACCATGGGAGGCTGATTTGAATTAAATTCGTTTTCTCCAGCTGCCAGGGCAGAGACCAATGCATAGGAGCAGGACAGACCAACCCAACATGAGGAAAAACGTCTTAACAGTTAGAGAGGTCTGCACTGGGATGGGCTGCCTTGGCAGACAATGAGTTCTCTTCTCAGTGGAGGTTTCTAGGACCTTGAAGTGCATGTTGCTGTAAGACAGATGCCCCAGGAATCAGGTGGAAGAGACAACACTGAGGGCTGGAGAGCTCAAGGCAGACCCCAGAGCAGGGAGAATCCCTTCTGGATCTAAACCAGCAGATCATAATGCCTATTTGATGGTGGAGTAGATTAAGAAAGAGTTTGATTTAGCTTAACTTGCACAGCCAACATGCTCCCCTAACTCAGTTGACTGATGCTGAGTCAAAGCTGTGCAGTGAGGGGAGGTCGGGCTGGGTCCAGTAATGAAGGAAGGCCAGCTGCTCCTCCCAGCCCCGATGGGTGGCAAAACAAGAGTTAACTCCCTTCCTAAGGAGCAACTCCCTATTGCAACTGGAGGACTGGAGGTGCCCTTTGCAAGCAGCAGAATCAAAGTGGAAAAATTACAAGGCAACTTTTCTGGTTTCAACTTGTCCCCTGCAGAAAGGAAATAGATTTTAATATAAGATCTAAGAGGCAACATATTTAATAAACTGCAAAAAAATCTACTTTTGGCTGGATGCTCGCATGTTGAGCTTTAGGATGAAAGGAGATTTTTTTTCCTTGACAAAAAAAAAGTTAGACATGGATCCAAAACAAGGCTGGAATCCACCTCCCACCATCCCACTGAAATGCTCTCTAATCAGTTGGGAGCAGTCACCCTAACCCCATCACAGATACCACACAAAAGACAAGATGAAAGGCTTTTCCTTCTCCCTCTTGACCCAAATTGGAAAGTTTATTGCAAAAAAACTCTTTGTGCAAGCCAAGCAATATACAGTCTCTCCCGGATGGGACGGCGCTGAGACACTGACAAACCCCATGCCCCAAGCTGTGGGGCCTCGAGCTGACTGTGCAGGGAGTCAGCCCCACAGGTCAGCAATGGAAATATTTCATCGTGTCCAACCCCACCCCCAAGTGGAGAAGTATTTCATTGTCCTTCTCCTTTGCCCAGCTTGAATCTAAAGTCTAGACAGTTTTCAGATAACAACCTTCAGAGACAGCAAAGGGGAATGTGTATGCCTCCCAAAGATAAGCAAATGCTTGACTCTCTCATAAGTTTTCTGGAAAGCTCTCAGAGGGCCCCTCTGATGAGCAACTGAAGGGAGAGTGTCTGGAAATATATGCCAAGATGCTGGGACACCTTTTGCTTATCCCTGGAGCCCTCACCTATTTCCTAGAGATACAGCAGAAAGAGGTCATCCCCTTCCCAAAACTCATTCAGAAATAAATGCAAAGGCAGTCTATGGGAATGGGGGGGCCTTGTACCGTGTCCACCTCAGTCTCTCATTAACTTGTTTTTTTCTTTTTGAGACAGAGTCACTCTGAGTCACCCAGGCTGGAGTGCACTGGTGCAATCACGGCTCACTGCACCCTCGAACTTCTGGTCTCAAGCTATGCTCCTGCCTTAGTTCCCCAAGTAGCTGGGACTACAGGTACACACCACCATGCCTGGCTACTTTTTAAAAATTTTTGTAGAAACAGAGTCTTGCTGTCTTGCTCTGGCTGGTCTTGAACTCCTGGGCTCAAGCGATCCTCCCACCTCTGCCTTCCAAAGAACTGGGATTAGAGGCATGAGCCACAGCACCCAGCCTCCGATTAACTCATGTAGTGGATAATTATCAAATGTCTACCACTTAGGCATCTCACTGGACACAGAAGACACAACTGTGAACAAGTCCAAGAAAGACCCTGTTCTCAGGAAACTGAAATTCCTGCTAGAAGGTCTGGCAAACCTTCGTTCAGAGATATGACAAAATCAAGGGTATGTTTTTGTTTGTTTGTTTGTTTGTTTGTTGAAACGGCATCTCACTCTGTCACCCAAGCTAGAGTGCAGTGGTGCAATCTCGGCTCACTGCAACCTCTGCCTCCCAGGTTCACGCGATTCTCCTGCTTCAGCCTCCCAAGTAACTGAGACTACAGGCATGCACCACCATGCCCAGCTACTTTTTGTATTTTTAGTAGAGACGGGGTTTTGCCATGTTGGCCAGGCTGGTCTCGAACTCCTTACCTCAGGTCATCCACCCGCCTCGGCCTCCCAAGTGCTAGGACTGCAGGTGTAAGCCACTGCACCTGGCCTGTGTTAGTCAGTTTTGCATTGCTGTGAAGGAATGTGTGAGGCTGGGTAATTTATAAAGAAAAGTTTATTTTGGTTTCTGGTTCTGCAGGTTGTGCAAGAAGCATGGTGCTGGCATCTGCTCCTGGTTGAGGCCTCAGGAAGCTTCCAGTCATGGCAGGAGGCAAAGAGGGAGCCGGCATGTGCAGAGATCACATGGAAAGAGAGGAAGGAAAAAAGAGAGGAGGAGATATGAACTAATAGAGCGAGTACTCACTCCACCAAGGGAATGGCACCAAGCCATACATACATGAGGGATCCGCCCCCATGAACCAACCACCTCTCACTAGGCCCACCTCCAACATCGGGGATCACATTTCAACATGAGATTTGGAGGGGACACACATCCAAACCACATCATGCCCAACCTTGAAATACAGTGAATCTCACTTTATTGCTTTTACTCTCAAGCAACCAAATCCTTTACCCTCTTTCCCACGTCCGCTATAATCTAGGGTCATGAGAACGCCTTATCTTCATTCCAGATCACAAGAGTGTCCCATTCCACTAAACCACAGGCACTCCCATGGCAGAAACATCCTCACTCTCAAAACTTCCTTAATATGAAGCACGGTTCTAGGCACAAAACAGGCACACAGAAAATACTTGTGTGGTTATTGATTGAGCAAAGAATTTTACAAACAGTAAAAGGGGTACTGTATGCCTGACAGCTCAAGGGTTGTTGTAAATGCAAACTTCATCTTTCTGCCTTTGGGGAAAGGAGTACTGATGCTGGTTTAACTCTGTTCCCTTTAAGAGTGTCTGGTTGAAGCTGAAACTCACACCATCAACTTCTGATAAAGCAACAGAAATTTGACTGGGTTAGGCCTGACTCCAAAGCAGCTTTTAAGATGGTTATGTTGCTGCCACTTTTCTCACACAAGGAGCTGGAAATTCTACCAAGCCTCTGATCTGACACCAGAGCCTAGTTCTAAACGTTCCCTGGGTCTGCCCCAATGGTATACACAAGCCCTGGGAAGAGGAAGAAACAGCTTATGATTGCTGTGTCTTCCCCGACGCTGGAAAGAATGGTGTTCCTTGATCCCAGTGCTTCCATGACCCTGATGAAAGCCTCAGCCCTGGATCCCAGAGTGATCGCCTAGAGCAAATGCTTGAGTGAGATTTCAGCTCTTCTCTTGCCAAGATGTGGCTTTTCAAGGCTGGGCTGCCAATGAAAATGTCAACAATGCTCAGATCAAGAGGAAAATGCTCATTTCACCCTCAGAGGGCATCCAACATTCCAGCAGATCAGTGGTGATCCAAGGTGCCCTTTGTTGATCAGGGCAGAGAATACATTTCCTTTCCCAAGACAGAGCAGTCCAGTGTGGTTAGTAAATGGGCCAGCACCAAAGAGGCTGCATGCAGAGTGGAAGCTGAGGCAGGTGATGCCCTCCTTCCTCCACAGAGAGGCTTAGATCCCTTAGAAGAGGCAACTGGTCTTGGGGACATATTCTGAGTCTCTCCTGAAGCAATGGAAATGGGATCCAGCTTTGGAATCTGATCCCCTCCCTTGCAAATGAAACTTGGTTCCAAGGAGCAACCAACTGAACAAATCCCAAATGCCAGACATTGAAACAATGGCAGAATTAGCTAGAGGAGAGCTAATGTCCCTATGAATCTAGCTAGCCCTAAGCCCAAGCCTCACAAGTCAAAATATAAATGAATTATCTAAAACTAAGAGACCTGATTGCTGAATCTTGATTAAGATGAGCATTCAAGATGAGGATACTGAATGTGTTGAAATAGCCAAGGGAGGGCTGGGCTTGTTTCAACTAAGGTGTCTACGTGCCTTATTAACATTACTAACAAAGGAGAAAAAAAGATGTTAAAAAGTAGCAATGATGCAATAACTGGCTTTGAGTGATTCTAGAAAAGGAGCAGGCATTTGCTTTGAAATGAACTCTCAGAATTAGCTTGTTCTTCCACAGGATCATAGACTCGTCTAGTTTTGTGTTTTCCAGACTGTGCTGTGAGGAGAACAAGCAATTCCTGAGAGATCTCAGGCTCCATCCTCCTACCCTGCCTGAGCTGAAGAAGCTCTTTGTGCCCCTTCTGAATATGATTGGGTTTCTGAGTAAGAAGTTGTTGGGAGAAGTCGTTCTGCTGCTTTGTATCGGATAGGACTCTCAGTTGTGAAAGACAAAGACCCTGATTAACACAAAATTCATTTAGGCAAAAGTAGTGTCACACATAAACTGAAAAGTTAAAAGCTGTGAGCTTCAAGCACAGCCAGATACAGTGGCTTCTTTGATGTCAGTGGGGCTGAGGGAGTCTCTGTTTCCTACCTTGCCTCCTTCTATGTCAGCTTTATTCAGGCAACCTTCCTTCCCATGCGGTGGCAAGATGACCATCCGGCGGGTTCAGGCTTCCAGCCGGTCATCTCAGAAGCCCAGTGGTTGTCCTTCCCGATAGCTCTCTATCAATCAGGATTAGGTTAAGCTGCCAAGTAAAAGAAAACTCAAAGTGACAACAGTTTAAACAAGCTAGAAGTTCATTCTGTCTTACATAAACAAAATCCCAAAGTAAGCAGTCCAGGACTGTGTAGTTCCTCCACAAACATACATACGCATGCATGTATCTTTATGATAGAATGAAGGAGAATAGTGCTACAATGAACATACGCATGCATGTATCTTTATGATAGAATGATTTATATTCCTCTGGGTATATACCCAGTAATGGGATTGTTTGGTCAAATAGTATTTCTGTTTCTAGATCTTTGAGGAATTGTCACAGTGTTTTCCACAATGGTTAATTAATGGTTAAATTAATTAATTTACATTCCCACCATCAGTGTAAAAGTGTTCCTATTTCTCTGCAACTTCACCAGCATCTGTTGTTTCTAGACTTTTTAATAGTTGCCATTCTGACTGGCATGAGATGGTATCTCACTGTGGTTTTGATTTGCATTTCTCTAATGATCAGTGATGTTGAGCTTTTTTTCATATGTTTTTTGGCTGCATGAATGTCTTCCTTTGAGAAGTGTCTGTTCATGTCTTTTATCCACTTCTTAAAGGAAAACCCCCGTCTCTTAAAAAGAAAAAAAAAATCCTTGGTCAAATGTAATCATATGCCCACACCTAGTTGTAAGGGAGGCTAGAAGTGTAATCTTTGTTCCTGGAAGATATAAACCCAGCTAAAAGTCAAGAGTTCTGTTACTAAGGGAGATGGAGAAAATGGATTTTGGAGGGAGACTAATAGCATCTCATCTGCCATGTTAAACTAATAGTTCCAACAAAAGTTTTCTGGGTTTTTTTGTTTGTTTGTTTTTGTTTTTGAGATGGAGTCTCACTCTGTTGCCCAGGCTGGAGTGCAGTGGCGTGATCTCTGCTCACTGCAACCTCCATCTCCTGGGTTCAAGTGATTCTCCTGCCTCAGTCTCCCAAGTAGCTGGGAATACAGGTGTGCGCCACCACACCTGGCTAATTTTTGTATTTTTAGTAGAGATGGGGTTTCACCATGTTGGTCATGCTGGTCTCAAACCCCTGACCTCAGGTGATCCACCTGCCTTGGCCTCCCAAAGTGCTGGGATTACAGGCGTGAGCCACCACACCTGGCCAAAAGTTCCAGAATTTCAGACTTTAATCATATGTCCATTCCTGAACCAATTCTTCTGGCCAGATAGAGGAAATACAAAGATTTATCAGGTCTGATTCTTCTGGCCATGCCTAATCCTAGACAGAAAGGATGCTGGGCAGATAGAAACAGCAGAACACTCTCACTCCAGTGTAATCTCTTAATGTTTTTATTTTTCAGCTGCAGAAACTGAGGTCCCAAAAGGTGAAATGACTTGCAATGGGTACATAGTGATTACTTCTGGGGCACAAGATCAAGACTCCACTTTATTGCTCTCCACTATCAGTCAAATATATTTCATAGAAATGTGAAATGAAAGGTCTGTAATTTACACCATATTTGGCTGAACACAAGGATTTCCAATAAATTACTCCTAATTATTTTAAACCTTTGTGAAAATTACACCTAACTTTTTAAGCTCGTGCACAGTTACATAAATAAAGAGAAAAATAAGATGCCTTGCTTTCTTCCTTTGATGAATCCTAATTAGCTTATACCTGTGTTTTCAACCACCGTGAGCAGAAGTGTCAACATCTTGGAACACTCTCTTCCTCCTTCACCCCTCTATCCCTCCTTTCATGAAGCTGCTTGCCAAGCACTGGTAGACAAAGGTGAGAGAGGGTCCTTTCCCTCAAAGGGCTTACATTCTTAAAGGAAAAACAAACAGGTAAACAGACAACGCCCTGGTAGGAGGCCAGGCACTATGGCTCATGCCTGTAATCCTAGCACTTTGGGAGGCCAAGGCAGGTGGATCACTTGAACCCAGGAGTTCAAGACCAGCCTGGGCAACATGGTGAAATCCCATCACTACAAAAAAAAATTAGCTGGGTGCAGTGGCACACCTGTAATCCCAGCTACTCAGGAGGCTGAGGTGGGAGGACTGCTTGAGCCTGGGGAGGTCAAGGCTGCAGTGAGCCAAGATCACACCACTGCATTCCAGCATGGGTAACAGAATGAGACCCTGTCTCAAAAAATAAATAAAATAAAACAAGGTAAATAGGTTTGCATGCTTAGGACGTCAAGAACAGAGTGGGGGATCTCACTGTCAAAGCTTCACAGGGAGGCAATACTTGAAAAGCCAGCGCAGGCAGGAAAGAGCTTGGGCATAGAGATCAGAATATGCAAACACACATATGCATAGGAGGAAACTACACGGAGTTCAGTATGGCTGGAGCTAGACTGGGAAGGGCATGGAGGAAGATAGGGCAATGAAGAGAACAACATGTCAGATCTGGAAGGTCTTTGTATACCTTGCAAGGCGATAGCTGGACAGTACCATTGCTTACCTAGACCAGTACCATTGCTTACCTAGACCAGTACCATTGCTTACCTAGACCTGAGGAGACAGAATGGCTTCAATTAGTTATCAACCTAAAATTAAAGTTAAAATAAATGCTAAGTGTCAGGGGCAGTGGCTCATGCCTGTAATCCCAGCACTTTGGGAGGCTGAGACAGGAGGATCACTTGAGGTCAGGAGTTCAAGACCAGCCTGGCCAACATGTGAAACTCCGTCTCTACTACAAATACAAAAATTAGCCAGGCATGGTGGCACATGCCTGTAATCCCAGCTACCTGGGTGGCTGAGGCAGAATTGCTAGAACCCATGAGGTGGAGGCTGCAGTGAGCCAAGATTGCACCACTGCACTCCAGCCTGGGCGACAGAGTGAGACTCCATCTCAAAAAATAGTACATAAATAAATAAATGAATAAATAAATGCTAAGTTCCCAGGCAAGTTCCAAAGCAAAGGAATCCTGTCAATTTATTCTGTGATTGTCTTCCCTGAAGTCTGGTTTTGCCAAAAGCACTTGGGGGTGTGGGGGAGAGGGAAGATGGAGGAAGAAAAGTCAAGTTGATCCTCATTATTCACAGATTATATGTTTGCAAATTCTCCTACTCACTAAAATTTCCTTGTACTCCGCAAGTCAACGCTCATATATTGGTGTTCATGTTCATTCAAGGAAACCTGCACAACAGTGAGAAATTCAAGCTGCCCAATGCCCACATTCCCAGGTGTTGAATAAGACAGCATTCTGCCTTCTTGTTTCAGCTCTTACTCTGTAAATAAATGCTCTTTTTGAAGTCATTCTAGTGCCACGTTTTCACATTTTTGTGCATTTTTTTGGTGATTTCACTGTTGCCCCCAAGTGTAGGGCTGAAGTACTTTCTAACACTACTAAATGCAAGAAAACTGTGATTTGCCTTATGGAGAAAATACATGTATTAGATAAGCTTTGATCACGCATGAGTTCCATGTTAATATTCAATGGTCATTAAACAATTACATATTAAATAAGGCAACTTTAAACAGAAACACATATAAAACAAAAGTTACATACTGATTGGTTGATGAAAACGCTGCGACCAGAAGCTCGTAGGAACTTAACCCTGTATTTCTTCCAGGAGCAGTGGTTCAGTGTTCACTAATTCAGTGTCCACTGTGACTTAATAGAGCATAACTACTTCAAATAACAAGAACTATATATCAAGTGCCATTTTACTCTTTGATGTGTTTGATTTTGAAAGAAAAGTTATTCAATAAAATTAATATAAGGAAAGATTGCATGGGTTTTTTAAGTTGTCTTTAAACATGCAGCCTGAATCTGGATTCGAGGTTCATGGAAGGTGCTACATTTTGGGGAAAGTGGAGGAAGGCCTAAAAGGTTCTGTTCCTCTAAAAATATACCTCTCAGAGTTCATGACCAGCCTGGACAACATAACAAGCCCCTGTATCTACAAAAAAGTTTTTTTAAAAATTAGCCAGGCATGGTGGTGCACACCTGTAGTCCTAGCTACTCCCAAGTCTGAGGTGGGAGAATCACTTGAGCCCAGGAGTTCGAGGTTACACTGAGCTATGATTGTACCACTGCACTCTAGCCTGGATGACAGAGTGAGACCTTGTCTCTAAAGGTAAAAAAATAAATAAACAAATATATAAACCTCTCAGTTCCTATCCCACCTATCCTGACTTCTTTCTGTCTACCTTGAGGAAAGGAAAATAAACAAGTTCCCAGAAAAAGCATCAGCAAACTTCTAAATGAATATAACCAACTCCTCTCAGGAGATGGAACAGGCTCAGTGATCACGTGTCTTGGGTTTCCTGGCATGCTCCTGGTTTCACATATTCTGTGCCATTTCTGCTGTGAGCTTACTTGTATCAGACCATGTGTCCTGACTTGGAATCCAAAAATACAGAGATGCAGTCTTTAACCACTTCTATGCACAACAACCTCCAAGTCCCTGGAATGACATGGTGCCTGTCTTACCTCCCAAACCTATGCAGGCCAAATCCTAGGTCCCCCACCCCCATCCCATGCAGGTCAAGTCCCAGCCTCCCCCCATCTCATGCAGGTCAAGCCCCAGTCCTCCCCCAACCCAGACACAAAGAAACACACTGAGTAACTGTCACCTCCCCATTCATAGCTGATGGTGCTCCCAGCTTGTCCCCATAACCCACCCACATGTGCCCACACCACAGGACACCACGGGTCTCCCTCCACTGTGCCAGAGAGGAACACAAAGCAGCAGAGACTGACGCTGAACCCGAGCTCTCACCTGGACCCCCCGACAGCCTCTGCACCAACCTTACTCAGCCTTCCACATCCAGCCTTGTGACAAAAGGCACATGCAGAAACTCTGCCTTGACAACCTTGCCAGTGGGTCATCCCAGTTCAGGTAGAGCTGCCAGGGGTGCCAGACTGAAAGGGCAGACAGCAGGAGTGAAGTGGACAGAGGCAGAAAGGAAGGGGACTGGCACCTGTCGAGCACTTGGCATCGGGCCAGGCGCTGTGTGGCACTTGATGTATCAGATGTCACTTAATCCCTGCCTGAGGATAATCCTCACTGCACACAGAAGGAAACTGAAACTTAAAAGAGTGAATAACTCACCCAGGTCACGGCTATTAAATCCAGAAGAAGAGTCAAACCCCACGTTCACTCGATGCCAATCTCAAGTGATTTCCACCTCATCAGGTCACTTCTGTTTGCTTCCACAGAAAAGTCAGGACCAGGAACTTTGTGAGAATTCAGCAACAGGGATTATGAAAGTGCTTTAAGAATGAAGTTTGCACAAACACAAAAGGTTATTATTAAAAGAAACCCCAAGGGATCGCCCACATTTTCTCAGTGTCCCAGAATCTGGTTGTATCAAATGCTGCTGCCTACAGGGGAAGACTGGGCTTGACTGTGCTTTTGGTGTTCCAGGAATTCAACTTCTGGGTGTAACTCTATTTAGAGGCAGAATGTGTGAGAAGCCCCTGACATCCACACCTGCGCTCGTCATCCTTGCTTAGTACAGGGGCACAGGACCTTCAAACGGAAGCCTTGATCTTACTGGGTCTCCAATTTCATTCTGACCCCTGGGTGCCCAGCCAGCAAGGACCAAGACCTCCTGGTCTTGGTGCCTGGCACCTGGTTCTGGTGCAAGCCCTGGAATCTGTGCTCCTCTCAGTTAGCAAGCCTTTTCCTAACCCTCCCAGAGTGCACACGACAAACTTCAGCCTGGGTTTTCTGCTTTGGGCTCCAGTTCTCCTCACTGATTGAATCTTTTCAATTAAAAATCTCAGAATTTAGCTAAGTATATGAAACCGATGAGTGGAGCCAAGGACCCTCCAAGAGCAGCCTGCCCCCTTGTGAACTGTCTGAAAGATAAATGGAGGAGTCTCTTCTGGAATGAAGAGTAATCGTCAGTGTGGACAGCACCATGCCTCTAAACTAAGACCCCACTCCTCAAGCTTTAGAATGCAGTCATTCGGATTAGGGTTCGGAGCTCCACCATCCACTAGCTGTGTGACCGGGGCAACTTGTTTAATCTTGAGAAATATCATTTTTCTCCTCTGAGAAACTGGAATCATCACCTCTGCCTGACAATACTGTTGGATGGATTATGTGAAATCATGAATATAAAACATGTGGTTCAATGTCCGCACACATAGAAGGTCCTCAATAAATAGAAGTTTAGATAGGTAGGTAGGTAGGTAGGTAGGCAGGTAGGTAGATAGATAAAGAGAGAGATTAGAGATAGGGTCTCACTCTGTCACCCAGGCTGGAGTGCAGTGGCACCATCCATAGCTCACTGCAGCCTTGAACTCCTGGGCTCAAGTGATCCTCCTGCCTCAGCCTCCCCAGTGACTGAAACCACAGGTGAATGCCATGACACCTGGCTAATTTTAAAATTTTCTGTAGAGACATAGTCTTGCTATGCTGCCCAGGCTGGTCTCGAACTCCTGAGTTCAAGCGATCCCCCTATCTCAGCCTCTCTAATTATTGGAATTACAGGCGTGAGCCATTGTGCCCAGCCCAAACAGCAGACATTGATTTAAATGACAGGAGAATGAAGACGAATCGTATTCTCTTGACCACTGCCTGCATGAAGATGTCTCTGACTCCCCCGATGGGAAAAACCATGGCCCCTCCCTTCTGCCTTCCTCAGCACATTGTCAGGTCCTCATTTGTGTAATTTTCATGTCCTGACTTGTATTTGAGCTATCTAAATAATCACATAATAACAACACTTTCACTTGTTGAACTCCTATTTATATGTGTATACATTACTTCTCATTATCTCCTATTCAACTGAGGAAACAGATCAGAGAAGTCAAGTAACTTGCCTCACACACAAAGCTCCTAAGCGGTAGACCTCAACCTGGAACTCAAGTATTCTGATCCCAAAGCCCATAGTTTTCCCATGAGCTCTGCTGTTTCTTTTCTTTCCTGTTAGAGTGTGAGTTCCTGGACAGGTCCAGTGGCTCATGCCTGTAATCCCAGCACTCTGGGAGGTCAAGGTGGGTAGATCACCTGAGGTCAGGAGTTCAAGACCAGCCTGTCCAAGATGGTGAAACCCCATCTCTACTAAAAATACCAAAATTAGCTGGGTGTGATGGCACACCTGTAATGCCAACTACTCAGGAGGCTGGGGCAGGAGAATCACTTGAACCTAGGAGGCAGAGGCTGTAGTGAGCCAAGATCACGTCACTGCACTCCAGCCTATGCAACAGAGCAAGACTCTGTTTAAAAAAAAAAAAAAAAAAAAAAAAAGAACCTGAGTTCCTTAAGGATAAGGTATGTGTTCCTTGTTTTGTATCTCAAAACCAGTGTAAGCTGGGATTTTTTAATACCTTACTTTCACTGCACTTTTTTGATGCTCTTCCAAGCATTATAAATACATCTATTTATGTAGATTCCAGTTTCTGACCTATATCATTTTCTTGCTCTCTAAAAAACTTCTTTTAACAGTTTTTTTTTTTTTTTTTTGAGACGGAGTCTTGCTTTGTCACCAAGGCTGGAGTGCAGTGGCGCGACATCAGCTCACTGCAACCTCCATCTCCCAGGTTCAGATGGTTCTCCTGCCTCAGTCTCCCAAGTAGCTGGGATTACAGGCGCATGCCACTGTGCCTGGCTAATTTTTGCATTTTTAGTAGAGACGGGGTCATGTTGGCCAGGCTGGTCTCGAACTCCTGACCTCAAGTGATCCGCCTGCCAAGGCCTCCCAAATTGCTGGGATTACAGGCGTGAGCGACCACGCCCGGCCATCTTTTAACATTTTTTCCAAGGTAGAGCCACAGTAAAAAAATTCCCTGGATTTTTTTTTTTTTTTTTTTGGTCTGAGAAAGTTATTATTTCTTTTTTACTCTTGAAGGATAATTTTGCAGGATTCTAGGTGCAGAATTCTAGGTTAGTAGAGTTTTTTCTCTCAACACTTTAAATATTTTATTACACTCTCTTCTTGCTTGCATGGAGGAGAAATCAGATGTAATTCTTATCTTTGTTTCTCTCTAGGTAAAATGTCTTCTCTCTGGCTTTTTCAGGATTTTTTTCTTTATCTTTGATTTTTTGTAGTTTGAATATAATAATGTGCCTAGGTGTAGGGATTTTTTGGATTTATCCTGCTGGTGTTTTCAGAAATTCCTGGATCTGACATTAATATGGAGAAATTATCAGTTATTATTGCTTCAAATACAGTTATGCATTGCTTAACAATAGGGATGCATTCTGAGATATGCACTGTTTGATGATTTCGTCATTGTGTGAATATCATCGAGTGTACTTGTACAAATCTAGATGGAATGTCCTACTACACATCTAGGCTACAGAGCATGGCATATTGCTCCTAGGCTACAAACCTGTACGGCATGTTACATTACTGAATTCTGTAGGCAACTGGAACACAATGGTATTTGTGAATCTAAACATATCTAAACATAGAGGTTGGGCGAGGTGGCTCACGCCTGTAATCCCAGCACTTTGGGAGGCCAATGCAGGCAGATCACTTGAGGTCAGGAGTTTGAGATCAGCCTGGCCAACATGGTGAAAACTCGTCTTTACTAAAAATACAAAAATTAGCTGGGTGTGGTGGCAGGCACCTGTAATTCCAGCTACACGGGAGGCTGATGCAGGAGAATCACATGAACCCAGGAGGTTGCAGTGGAGCCAAGATCATGCCACTAGGCCAAGATCTTGCCTGGGCGACAGAGCAAGACTCCATCTCAAAAAAATAAATAAATAAACAAACATATCCAAACATAGAAAAGGTAATACATTGCACTACAACACTATGACAGCTACCACATCACAAGCAATAGGAGTTTTTTGGCTCCATTAAAATCTTACAGGACCACCATCTTACATGAGGTCTCTCATTGACCAAAATATCAATGTATTGATTCCAGTTTCCGACCTGTATCATTGTCTTGCTCTCTAAAAAACATCTTTTAACATTTTTTTTTTTTTTGAGAGGCTTGCTTTGTCACCCAGGCTGGAGTGCAGTGGCGCGATATCGGCTCACTGCAACCTCCATCTCCCAGGTTCAAACGATTCTCCTGCCTCAGCCTCCCAAGTAGCTGGGATTACAGGCGCCCACCACCACATCCGGCTAATTTTTGCATTTTTAGTAGAAATGGGGTTTCACCATGTTGGCCAGGCTGGTCTCAAACCCCTGACATCTTCTTCTCTTCTACTTTTGGTATCCCATTATACATATGTTATGCTTCTTGTAGTTGTCCCACAGTTCTTGAATACTTTGTTCTATTTCCTTCTCTTTGCTTTTCAATTGAAGAGGTTTATATAAAGATATCCTCAAGCTCAGAGATTCTTTCCTTAGCCGTGTCCAGTCTACTAATGTGCCCACCAAAGGCATTCTTCATTTCTCTTAGAGTGTTTTTTTGTTTTGATTTTAGAGACAGTGTCTTGCTCTGTTGCTAAGGCTGGAGTGGAGTGTCACAATCATAGCTCATTACAGCCTCGACCTCCTGGGTTCAAGCAGTCCTCCCACCTCAGCCTCTCAAGTAGCTAGGACTACAGAAACACACCACCACATCTGGCTTTTTTTTTTTTTTTAACTTTTTGTAGAGACAGGGTCTCACTATATGCTCAGGCTCATCTTGAACACCTAGCCTCAAGCAGTCCTCCTGCCTCGGCCTCCCAAAATGCTGGGATTATAGTGCTTCTGATTTCTAGCATTTCTTATGGTTCTTTCTTAGAATTTCCATTTCTCTGCTTTCATTTCCCATCTTTTGTTGAATGCTATCTACTTTATCCATTAGAGCCTTTATGCATATGAATCATAGCTGTTTTAAATTCCCAGTCTGATAATTCCAACATCCCTGCCATGTCTGAATCCGGTTCTGATGCTTGCTCCATCTCTTCAAATGTGTTTTCTGCCTTTTAATATGCCTTATAATGTTTTGTTTAGTAACATGGGAGTGAGGCGTCCGTGTGTCTTAGGTAACCCCCAGCAGGTTTCCATGAATATCAGACCCTTCACATCCTCTCTACTCTCTATTCCTGCCTACCTGGCCCAGGTCTTCCCGCAGTGATTGGCTCTGAGCTGGCTCTTACCCAGCATAGCAGATGTAATGCTCCCTCTAGCCCATATCCCTGGAGTAGGGTAAGATGGATCTTCTTGCTCAGATGTTTGGGTTAGCAAAGGCACCCCTAAAGGAGATGGATGGCCCCGCCATGGAATGTGTCCAGAGCCCTGGATGTTGTCCAGGTGCCTGGGGAGCTAAGCCATTAGTTCCACTGTCTGACTTCAGTCTCTCCCTGGTGCCGGGAGAGATTGATTGAGCCCATGCCCTCGGGATGGGGGTGGCAGAGTGGGAGTGGAGAGGGAGGAGGAGCTGCAGTAAGTCAGACAGATGGGGTGTCACAGGATTGGCAACTTGCCTTTCCCAAGAGGGAATGTGGTGGGGTCGGGGAGGGAGCCCAAGGAGAAGGAAGCTTCAGCCCTGTTGACCCTGTCTCCAGCAATTACCGGAGGGGCCGTGATCCCTCTGATACCTGCACAGGGAACAGATGCAGTTGTGGCCAGCATGCTAGGTCACTTTCTTCTGCCAGTGCACTATGGGCCCTAAATGGATCCCAGATGCTCTGCTGCAAAAGGGGGCTTTCTTCCAGCATCCCAGCCTATCTTGAGACAAAGAGAATGAAGAATGGGGATGGGGATATGCTGGGGGGATTCCCATTTCTCTGATGCAATCTAGAAAAACAAGCCAAAGTTATCCAAACATTACCCAATGGCAACAACACACATTGGGGACTACTAGGGGGGCGGGGGGTGGGGGCCAGGGCTAAAAAGTTTCCTATTGGGTACCGTGCTTACTACCTGAGTGATGAGATCAGTGGTACCGCAAACCTCAGCATCATGCATATATCCATGTAACAAATCTGCATGTGTATCCCCGAGTATAAAATAAAAGCTGATTTTTTTTAAGTTATCAAAGAAAGTCCAGGAGGCACATGTAGTGCAAAATAATGTTAGTGCACGGGGTCAAAGTACTGGCACTCAGTAAATCAGTGGCTACCTAACTTAGCATTTCCTACAAAGAGCTAGATTAGCAAGTCTCAACCAAGAAAGGGACTTTTCTTTTAATTCTGGAAAGTAGGAGGTAGCTTGAAAACACTATCCTCCCTCCCTCCCATGCCCAATGGCAGAGGATAACCCTGTTCAGTGTTACAGAAGGGGAAACCCTTTACAAATGATTTAGCAACTCTAACCTTAAGGAGCTCAGCCTCATTAGAGAGATCACTTTCCCACCCTAAATCATAACCATGGAAGGTAGAAAAACCCCAGAGATTCAGTCTCCTTGTTTTAGATAAGAAACCTGAAGCCCAGAGAAAGAACGAGAGTTGCTGGAAAGTCCAGCTTTGCTTATGGGAAGGATTACAGGTTTAATATAAAACAGATGAAAACCTAAATCTGAATCTGAACTGGTCCCCTCAACAGAGTGTGTTTGCATGTAAGTGTGCAAGTGCATGCCCATCTGTGTGTCTTGTGTAGCACTGTAGTTCTGAGTCAGTGTACTTTGACACAGTGGTGTGTGGCTCACCTGCAAACCATAGCAAGCAATTAGTGATCAATATGTAAAATGCATTTCTTCGACATACCATTACAAAATATGTGTTGGCTAGAACATGGAGCTGAGAGGGTCCTGTAACATGGCATGGATATAACCTGCAGTTACATGCATGAGGGTCTGAAGTGAATGCACCACAAAAGAGCTTTATCTCATGAGTAATTCAACCAGCACGATGGCGCAGGAAGCAGTTCTGTTCCAACAGCATCATGATACCCAAAGATGGCCAAAAGAATAAGGCAATAAGAGTGAATTTGAAAGTGGGTCACAGGCATGAAAAACCTAAGCCCACTTCCTAATTGATAGAGAAAGTTCAAGATATGGCCGGGTGCGGTGGCTCATGCCTATAATCCCAGTACTTTGGGAGGCCGAGGTAAGCAGATCACTTGAAGGTCAGGAGTTCAAGACCAGCCTGACCAACATGGTGAAACCCCGTATCTAACAGAAATACAAAAAAAAAATTTAGCTGGGTGTGGTCTTGGTGTGGTCTTGGGCGCCTGTAATCCCAGCTACTCAGGAGACTGAGGTGGGAGAATCGCTTGAACCTGGGAGGCAGAGGTTGCAGCGAGCCAAGATTGCACCATTGCACTCCAGCCTGGGCAACAAAGTGAGACTTTGTCTCAAAAAAAAAAAAAAAAAAAGACAGATGGAACCACAAGGCTACATCCCAAAGTGATGAGCTATGGAGCTATGGCCAGGGCAGAGGCTGGAATGGAGGAGACCCCTAGGACAGCCCTTAGCTATGCTGTGGGGCCTCTTTGGACCTCTCATTTTGGCCGTCCTCATCGCCAGTTCTCTAGAGCACAGCAAGCTGCCGTCTGTCCCTGCAGGCTCCCTCTGAGGCTGATCTCCTCCATAATCCAACCCTGCTTGCCCTCGTTGTCAATCGGAAAAAGTTCATGCATGGATTTACACTGTGTATTGGATTACTTGTATTTCAAGTTTGTAATCTAAAGAAATAAATTTATGACCTGGCAAGGTGGCTTTCACCTGTCATTCCAGTGCTATGGGAGGCTGATGTGGGAGGATCCTGGAGGCCAGGAGTTGGACACCAGCCTGGGAAACATAGCAAGACCCCATCTCTACAAAAAATTTTTAAAAATTAGCCAGGCATGGTGGCATACATGGTGGTGTACAGCTGCAGTCCCAGCTATTTGGGAGGCTGAGACAGAAGAATCACTTGAGCCCAGGAATTTGAGGCTGCAGTGAGCTATGATCGTGCCACTGCACTCCAGCCTGGGTGACAGAGTGAGATCATGTCAAGAAAAAGAAGATAGAAAGAGATAAAGATATAAAGAAAGAGAAAGAAAGGGGAGGAGAGAAAAAAAAGACGAAAAGAAAGAAGAAAAGAAAGAAGAAAGAAGGAATTTCTAATACCGACACATAATACTGGAACTTCAGCCCTTAAGTCATCACACAGGAGGTCACTGTCTCTCTCCGTGAGTGCCAGCATATCCTCAGCTCTAGAGCAACTATGATGTCCTGTGTTTTTGAAACTGCTTCCTGCACTCCCTGTATTGTTCGCTTACTTGTGGCCTGCGTTTATGCCCTTAGTGTCTGTTTAAACTGGAGCCATATTCCAAAATCTGCCATTCTCTCTTTTTCTAAAAAATAATAACCTTATTGAGATATAATTCACATAGCATACAATTCACTAATTTGAAGTTTACCATTCCATTGTTTTTAGTAAACTCAGAGTTGTGCAACCATCACCACAATCAAATTTAGAACATTTGCATCACCCCCAAAAGAAACTCCTCATGCATTAGCAGTCATTCCCTCATCCTAGGCAACCACCAATCTACTTTCTGTCTGTCAATGTTCCTATTCCAGACATTTCATACAATGGACTCATACAATATGTGCTCCTCTGTGACTGACTTCTTTCCAGCATGATGTTTTTGTTTTTGTTTTTGTTTGTTTTTGCTTTTGTTTTGAGACAGAGTTTCGCTCTTGTTGCCCAGGCTGGAGTGCAATGGCACGATCTCGGCCCACCACAACCTCCACCTCCCAGATTGAAGTGATTTTCCTGCCTCAGCCTCCCAAGTAGCTGGGATTAGAGTCGTGCACCGCCATGCCTGGCTAATTTTTTATTTTTAGTAGAGACAGGATTTCTCCATGTCAGTCAGGCTGGTCTCAAACTCCTGACCTCAGGTGATCTGCCCACTTCAGCCTCCCAAAGTGCTGAGATTATAGGCGTGAGCCACCGTACCCGGCCTGATGTTTTCTTTTTTTTCTTTTTTTTCTTTTTTTTTCCCTGAGACGGAGTGTCGCTCTGTCGCCCAGGCTGGAGTACAATGGTGCAATCTTGGCTCACTGCAACCTCTGCCTCCCAGACTCAAGCAATTCTCCTGCCTCAGCCTCCTAAGCAGCTGGGATTACAGGCATGTGCCACCACACCCAGCTAATTTTTGTATTTTTAGTAGAGACAGGGTTTCACCATGTTGCCCAGGTGGGTCTCGAACTCCTGACCTCAGGTGATCCAACCGCCTCAGCCTCCCAAAATGCTGGGATTACAGGTGTGAGCCACCACACTCGGCCTGAGCCACCACCCCCAGCCCAGCATGATGTTTTCAAGGTTCATCCACACTGTAGCATGTATCAGTAGTTGATTTATTTTTATTGTTCAGTAATGTTCTGATGTGTGGCTATGACATATTTGATTTATCTTTTCATCAATTGATGTATACCTGGATTGTTTCTAGTTTTGGCCTTTTATGAATAATGCTGCTATGAACATTCTTGTGCAAGTTTTTGTGTGGACATACGTTTTCATTTATCTTGGGTGTATACCTAGAAGCGGAATTGCTGGGTCATGTAACTCTATGTTTAACTTTTTGAGAAACTGCCAGACTATTTTCCAAAGCAGCTGTACCATTTTGCATCCCTGCCAGTTCCAAGTTCTCCACAACCTCACCAATAGTTACTATCTTTTTTACTCTGGCTGTCCTAATGGATGGGAAGTGGTGTCTCACTGTGGTTTTGATTTGCATTTCCCTAATGGCTAATGATCTTGAGCATCTCTTCATGTGCTTATTAGCCATGTGTATCTTCTTTGGAGAAATGTCTATTCAAATCCTTTGAATGTGGCTTTCTTTTTACAGAAGATTTAAAAGGAACCTGAAATATGTTTCTGGCTTGAATACACTTTAAATGGCAAGAAAATTAAGAGATTCTTCCGGAGATGGATAACAAACCCACTTGTTTATTCAGTTCCATTCCGCCAACCCTTGCTGTACTCCCAAAATATAGTGTTTTAGAACCTGTGGAGATAAAAAGGAATAAGTCAAAGATTCTGCATAGACTTTTTACTAATTCAGATGAGCTTCCTCTGAATTAATTCAAGTAGTAAAATTTCTTTCTATTGTTTTAATTTCTTCAAATTCCTTCTGTTTCCCTATGCTCATTTTTTTCATTTCTTCCCCAAATTATAATTTAGGTAGCTGATGCTCATGTAAAAATACGTTTCTTTAGTTACATCTCTAACATGGTCAAGAATATCTAAAACAAACCAAGAGTCGACGTCATAATAGCAAAATACCAGAAAGATTCTCATTTAATTAGAATCAATTCTCTCCCCCAACCCCTTCATCCTTCAGTGTATGCTGGACTTAGTGACTTGCTTCCCAAGAACAGAGCATCAGTTGGGGAGAAAGTAACTTTACAGGGTAGAAACCTGGCAAACACTACCTTGGCCAGATGATCAAGGTTCACATTGCCTGTACTAAGTCATGACAACATGTATCCCATGATGAGATGCGATGGGATGCAAACTCTCATCTGTAGTCTTCCCAAAACCACAGGCTAGTCATGAGAAAATCCAAATTGAGGGGCATTCTACAAAATACTTGACTAACATCTCATAAAAAAAAAAAAAAAGAAAGACGGAGAAACTATCACAGATTGGAGGACACTAATGATGTCAGAGGTATTTGAACCAGAGCAACTCCATCTTGAATGGCGGCTAAGTAAAATCAGTCTGAGACCTGCTGGGCTGCATTCCCAGGAGGTCAGGCATTCTTAATCACACGATGAGACAGGAGGCTGACACAAGATACAGGTCACAATGACCCTCCTGATAAAACAGGATGGAGTAAAGAAGCTGGCCCAAAACCCACCAAATCCAGGATGGTGAGGAAAATGACCTCTGGTTGTTCTCACTGCTCATTATATGCTAATTATAATGCATTAGCATGCTAAAAGACACTCCCACCATCCCCATGACAGCTTACAAATGCCATGGCAACATCAGGAAGTTATACTATATTATCTAGAAAGGGGAGGAGCCCTCAGTTCCAGGAATTCCCCTCCCCTTTCCTGGGAAACTCATGAATAATCCACCCCTTCTTTTTTTTTTTTTGGAGATGGAGTCTCACTTTGTCACCCAGGCTGGAGGGCAGTGGTGCGATCTCGGCTCACTGCAACCTTCATCTCCTGGGTTCAAGCGATTCTTCTGCCTCAGCCTCCCAAAGTGCTGGGATTACAGGTGTGAGCCACCCCGCCTGGCGTCCACCCCCTCCTTTAACATATAATCAAGAAATAACTTAAGTATAATCAGTCAAGCAGCCCATACCACTGCTCTGCCTATGAAGTAGCAATTTTTTATTCCTTTACTTTCCTAAAAGACTTGCCTTCACTTTACTCTGTGGACTTGCTCTGAAATCTTTCTCGCTTGAGGTCCAAAAACTCTCTCTTGGAGTCTGAGTTGGGACCACTTTCTGGTAACAATGAGACATGACAACTAAATGAAACATGGTATCCTGGATAGGTTGCTGAAATAGAAAAGGAATATTAGTGGGAAAAAATAGTAAAATTCAAATAAATTCTGGAGTTTAGTTAATAGTTAAATACCACTGTTGGCTTCTTAGTTTTGATGGTTATGTAAGACTACAATGGGGGAAAATGGGTGTGGGATATATAAGAATGCTCTGGACTATTTTTGCAACTTTTCTGTAAACCTAATCCCAAATTAAAAAGTATTATTTTTAAAGAAAATACAGCTTTATAGAATAATCCAGTGCCATTGCATGTCCACAGCTGGAAAACAAAAAAAGTAGAATCGAAACAAATATGTCGGCTGGCCGCGGTGGCTCACGCCTGTAATCCCAGCACTTTCGGAGGCTGAGGAGGATGGATCACTTGAGGTCAGAAGTTCGAGACTAGCCTGGCCACCGTGGTGAATCCCCATTTCTACTAAAAATACAAAAATTAGCCAGGCCGGAGGTGGCAGACGCCTGCAATCCCAGCTACTCAGGAGGCTGAGGCACGAGAATCGCTTGAAGCAGAGAAGCGGAGGTTGCAGGGAGCCGAGACTGCACCACTGCACTCCAGCCTGGGCAACGAGAGAGACTCTATCTCAAAACAACAGCAACAACAACAACAACAACAACAACAAAAAAAAAAAAAAAACCAGAAAAAAACAAATATAACCATTTAAGCACCATTAATTCATATTGTTCTAGAACTTTTTACCTTTGCAACAAGATAACGAAAACAAATAGGTAATCAAACCACGACTATTATTTCTGTTTAAAAGGTACACTAGTAATTGTTATATTATGACTTGTGTTTTTCTATATAAAAATAACTTCAATATAGCTATCAAAAAAGAGAAAAAATCATTTACATAGGTAGTGTTATTGTATAAAACAACAGAAATAGCTAAAATTCTCATGATTAGTAATAATTAGTAACATGACTAGTCATAAAATAATATACAACAAAACAGTGGTTTACCTACTTTACAGCAATAACTAATGAGAAAATATAACAGGAAATAATACCATTCTAAAATCTAATAAAAGTCCAGGCACAGTGGCTCATACCTGTATTCCCAGCAGTTTGGGAGTCCGAGGTGGGTAGATCACCTGAGGCCAGGAGTTCAAGACTAGCTTGGCCAACATGGTGAAACCCTGTCTCTACTAAAAATACAAAAATTAGCTGGGTGTGGTGGCAGGCACCTGTAATCCCATGTACTCAGGAAGCTAAGGCAAGAGAATTGCTTGAACCCAGGAGGCGGAGGTTGCAGTGAGCCAAGATCACACAATTGCACTCCAGCCTAGGCAACAAGAATGAAACTCTGTCTCAAATAAATAAATAAAATCTAATAAAAGATAACATCCCAAGGAATAAACTTTTTTAATATGAAGGCCCTATATGAAAATAACTGTAGGCCGGGTACAGTGGCTCATGTCTGTAATCCCAGCACTTTGAGAAGCCAAGGCAGGCGGATCACCTGAGGTCAGGAGTTCGAGACCAGCCTGGCCAACATGGCGAAACCCTGTCTCTACTAAAAATACAAAAAAAAAAAAAAATTAGCTGGGTGTGGTGGCACACACCTGTAATCCCAGCTACTCGGGAGGCTGAGGCAGGAGAATCGCTTGAACCCGGGAGGCGGAAGTTGCAGTGAGCCAAAATCACACCATTGCACTCCAGCCTGGACAACAACAGTGAAACTCTGTCTCAGGAAAAAAAAAAAAGAAAAAGAAAATAAATGTAAAACTTTACTGACGTACATAAAAGATATTCAGATAAATCAAGGGATGTGATTTGTTCTTAGATGCACAGACTCAAAAATAATAAAGACAGCAATCCTTTCTCAAATTATCTCATAAATTTAAGGCAATTCCAATTTTTAAAATAAGAAAAAGTAATCTAAAGTTCATCAGGAAGAAATGAGCAATTATTTGTGCTAACAAAAAACTAAAAGTGTTAACATTAACAGTGTTAACTGCAGAGAAGAAAGAGAGAGAGCCTATACTTTTTATTTTACACCCTATTCACCGCATATAATATTGGCCATGACATGCATTGCTTTTCTTTTTCTATTATGAAATATTTTTGTGTTGGGTTTTAGAAAAAAACAACTGAAAATATACAATAATAGTAAAGAAAAATTAAAACAATAATGGCATCTCATCAGTTCTTAAAATATATAATGAAGTTAAGATAATCAAAAGTTATAATAATTAGCTCATGAAAGTGATATGCTGTAAATAGACTAGAGAGTACAAGAAAAAAATCTAAAATGTATGTAAGTATTTGGTATAAGATAAAAGTGGTATCTGAGACCCCTGGGGACATCATAGATGCCTAGTAATATTGGGGTAGCTGAATAAGCCTGAGAGGGAAAAAAAACTTAAGAGTTCTTGCTCACAATGTATTCCACATTTTTAAATAGATTAAAAATGACTGGAAGAAAATATAAGAATAGATTTATATAATTTTAAGATAAGGGAAGTTTTTCTAAACTTAACACCAAAAGGAAAAAGCACAAAAAAGACCAATATAGCCGGGCGCAGTGGCTCACGCCTATAATCCTTGGGAGATCAAGGTGGGAGGATCACTTGAGCCCAAGAGTTTGAGACTAGCCTAGGAAACACAGTGAGACCCCATCTCTACAAAAATAAAAATAAAACATTAGCAGGGCATGTGGTGGGTGCCTGTAGTCCTAGCTACTGTGGAGGCTGAAGTGGGAGGACCACTTGAGCCCCGGAGGTTGAGGCTGCAGGGAGCTGTGATTGCATCACTACACACCAGCCTGGGTAACAGAGCAAGACCCTGTTTCAAAGGAAAAAAAAGACCAATAGATTTGACTATGTTTACACTTCTGTTTTTTGAAAAAGAAGAAGAAATAAAATTGAAAGATAAATAAATGCAGATAATATTTGCAACATGTATAACATAAACAGTATTTATAAATCAACAGCAAAATAATATTCCAATACAAAAATAAGCAAAGGAAATAAGCTGGTGAATCACAAAATCATGTTTATTAAAGGGTCAATAAACATGATTAAATTTTTAACTTCTTTAGCAATCAATAAAATGAAAATTATAACTACGATAGAATAGCATTTTATGTTTATCGTATTGTAGAAGGAAAAATCAAGATAATACCCAGTGATAACAGGAACGCAAAGCACAGGGCATTCTCATACATCTCAGGGGGGGCAGTTTGACAATTTGTCTGAAAAGCCTTCGAAAGTATGTTTAATCACTGACTAGCAATCCAATTCCTAGGAATTTATATTAAGAAAGAAGTTAAGAATGTACATAAATATGTATGTACAAAATGTTTATTATAGTTTGACTCATAATAGCAAAATATTGAGTAAAATGTCCAGAAACAGAGATTAGTTTTTAAAATTATGGGACAATTATACTCTTTAATTTATATGGAAATACAAAGGGCCTAGAATAGTCAGTCTTGAAGAAGAGCAGCTGTATCACCTGCATTTAGAACACTTTCTGTTTTAAAGAGAATGTTAAAGTAAATATAACAGAATATTAAGATTTAGTAAATCCAAGTGGTAGGAACACAGGTATTGTATTATTTTCTGCATTTTTGTGTTTTTGAAAGACTTCATAATTTTTTAATATCTAAGGAAACTAGACTTGCTCTCAATATAACAGCTTGAAAGATCCAGCAATGGGACCAGCTACAGTGGCTCAGGTCTGTAATCCCAGCACTTTGGGAGGCCAAGGAAGGAGGATCACTTTGAGTCCAGGAGTTCAAAACCAGCCTGGGCAAAATAGCAAGATTATGTCTCTAAATTAAAAATACATTAAAAATAAATTTAAAAAAAGAATGACCCAACACTGGAACCAGACACATCCTAGAGAGATGAACATCCAGCTTTTTTCTTTTTTTTTTTTTTGAGATGGAGTTTCACCCTTGTTGCCCAGGCTGGAGTGCAATGGCGCAATCTTAGCTCACTGCAACCTCTGCTTCCTGGGTTCAAGCAATTCTCCTGCCTCAGCCTCCTGAGTAGCTGGGATTACAGGTGCCCACCATCATACCAGCTAATTTTTTTGCAATTTTAGTAGAGACGGGATTTCACCAGGTTGGCCAGGCTAGTCTTGAACTCCTGACCTCAGGTGATCCACCCACCTCAGCCTCCCCAAGTGCTGGGATTACAGGCAGAAGCCACCATGCCCGGCCATATCCAGCTATTTGATGATCCTTGGTCAAGTGTCAGTCTGCTGTGGATGGACCGATGGGCCTGGTGACCTCCAAAGTCCCTTTCAGCACTGAAAGTCCTGATATCTGTGACTATGGAACTGGAATTCCTGGAATTGGACAAAGGTATAAGGAAACTTAGTAACTGCTGAGGGAAAATGGTGAACCTGTGTTCTTTGTCTCATAAATACGTAGAGAGACCCAAGCTCATCTAGAAGGATAAGTAAGGTTTACACAGAGAGAGTTAAGGGAGAAAGTAGCTCCAGAAAAAATTGAGCAACACCACCTTGGACCCTGAAAATCCAAAGCAGACCTGGGAATAAAGTAAGCAACAACATAACAAAGACGAAATGGGTGCGTCTGGGTCACAAAGCACTCCATTGTGAAATACTTGACTTAAATATTGACAGCAACCAAAGTGCTACAGACCAACTGGCCTTGCTCCATTAAAAAGTTTTCCATGGGCAGTCTCATACAGTGCTGGTGAGAATTTAAATTTGTACAATTATTTTGGAAGGCAATTTAGCAACACATATTTTTTAAAAATACTTTTCAATTGTACATAGCCTTTGACCCAGCAATTTCACTTATAGGATTTTTTTCCTAAGGAAATGGTCAAAAATGTCCTCAAAAATGTATTTATCAAGGCTATTGATTGCAGATAACATAAATATTTACAAAAATCAGAGAAAACAAATCTCCAATAATCTAGTACTAATCAGGTTGTATACAAATAAAGGAATATGAAGCAGCAATTTTTTTAAGAGATAAGGTCTTGCTCCGTTGCCCAGGCTGAGGTGCAGTGACACAATCATAGTTCACTGCAGCCTTGACCTCCTGGGGTCAAGGGATCCTCCTGCTTCAGCCTCCCCAGAAGCTGAGACTATAGTTATGTGCCACCACACTCAGCTAATTTTTTGCAGAGATGGAATCTCACTATGTTGCCCAGACTGATGTCCAACTCCTAGCCACAAGCAATCCTCCCACCTGTGCCTCCCAAAGTGCTAGGATTACCGCACCCAGCCAGAAGCAGCCAATTTAAAAAATGACATTCTTACTTGTAGATTATTGCATGATCATTGTTCTAGTCCTTTAAAGTGCTTTTACACAATGCGTATTTATTCAGTTTAGTCAATTAATTAAAAGTTATAGAATCTCCTGTGTCAAATCTCTTAGCAGATAGAAAATTAATAATTCTTTGTTCTATACTTGTCATACTTTTTGTTACAAAAGTAATAAATGCATTGTAAATCTGTTTTTAAAAAAGTCATGTACACCACATTTAGCTGTCCATAACTAGCGGTGACACTTTAGCATGAACACCCTCAAATCTTTTCCTGTGCACATCACATATTTATGTTTTAATAACTTCAAGATTACACATTTAAAATGATCACGGTAAGAATAAAGAAATAAAAAATGACATGCTTGAAGAATATTTGGGAATGTGAATAAAATACTCAATGATTATGTTACATGAATAAGGCAGGTTATAAAATAGTATCTGATTTCATTTTGTGACCAGTGGGAAAAAGAGTCTCTACTCACCCTGAAACCTTTCACAAGTAGCAAAACTTCTCTAAATCTTCTCTTCTATAAACAGTGGTCTACTCTTACGTCTTGAAAGGATTAAATGGATAATATTTAGGTGAGGGTTCTCATAAACTTCAAATGATAGTACAAATTAAAGGTGGTAAGAGATGGTGGAGAAAGAAAAAAACATTTTAAAGAAATATTATTATTATTATTTTGAGACGGAGTCTCACTCTGTTGCCCAGGCTGGAGTGCAGTGGTAACATCTGGGCTCACTGCAACCTCTGCCTCCCGGGTTCAAACCATTCTTGTGCCTCAGCCTCCTGAATAGCTGAGACTACAGGCATGCACCACCATGCTGAGCTAATTTTTGTATTTTTAGTAGAGACAGGGATTCACCATGTTGGCCAGGCTGGTCTCGAACTCCTAACCTCAAGTGATCCACGCACCTCGCCCTCCCAAAGTGCTGGGATTACAGGCATGAGCCACTGCACCCAGCTTTGCCCTCCTATTTTGGTACCATCAGATGCAGAGTGTCCGGGACAAAAGAGGGGCTCTGCTGGCGCCCAGCTCCAAAACATGCCTGTAGTCTAGCTTACTCAGGAGGCTGAGGCAGTTGAATAGCCTGAACCTGAGAGGCGGAGGTTGCAGTGAGCCGAGATCAAGCCACCGCGCTCCAGCCTGGGTGACAAAAGTGAAACTCCATCTCAAAAAAAAAAAAAAAAAAGAATTAGAAGGCACATGGGCTCTGTCTGCCCTGGAGGAGTTTCCTTGGGAACCTAAACATTTTGAAAGATATTTACACAGCTCCAAACTAATAAATGCCGGATCCCCAGCTTGGTCCCCAAGGCTGGCCCCTTCCACCCAGGAGGCTCAGCTGTCCCCTCCTGTGTCCCACGGCCCCAGCGAGGCCTCTCCTCAGTTCCTCTAATCCACCATGCACCTCCTTCTTCCAGGCCTTGACACTCGCTGTTCCCTTGGCCAAGAGCAATCTCCCCCCATTTCTCTCCCTGGATAATTCCTACCCATCTCCCAAAACTCTGTCCAAATGTCACTTCTACAAGGCTGCCTCTCAGGCTGGGTTCTGTTCCACGGACGCGCTCTGTCTGGTAGCATCCCGTACTTCACCTTTATAGCTCTCAATTATGACTGAAATTCCTAAGTTTTATATTAATAACTTGTTTTTTTGTATCTTCCCTCCCAGTTTCTGGCCATCTTGTTCTCTGCTGTCTCCCCTGTGCCGAGCACAGAGCCTTGCTGTTATTTATAGACTGAATGTGTCCCCCCAGAATTCATCATCCCCAATGTGAGGATATTTGGAGCTGGGTGCTTTAGGAGGTGATCAGGTCATGAGGCAGAGCCTTCATGAATAGGATGAGCGTCCATAGAGACCACAGAGAGATCCCTCACCTCTCCAAGTGAGGACACAGGGAAAAGATGCCATCTGGGAACCAGAGCCCTTGCCAGACACTGATCTGCCAACAGCTTGATCTGGGACTTCCCAGCCCCAGAACTGTGAGAAATAACTTTCTGTTTACAAGTCACCAGTTTATAGTATTTTGTTACAGCAGCCCAAATTGACACTTTCATAGTAAGGACTCATAGTAAACATGTGCCGAACAAATTATACAGTCTACTACAAGCTGGATAGCCACAGAACCTGCGAAGTGTCCTTGGTATACACTGGAATTACCTGAAGAAATTGAAAACATACCCTTGCCCAAGCCCCACCCCAAGAAAAATTATTTTTAATTGATCTGGTGAAAGCCTAGACACAGGTACCATCTGAACCTCCCCAGATGATTCTAACAGGCAGCTATAGGTGAGAATCGCCACTGAGCATCCAAGCCCAGTCTCTGAGCAAGTACGCATCCCAGGGTGGTCAAGTGGACTCAGCACAGAAAGCCTTGGTCTTTGTACACACTTCTCCTTCCTGCCCCACCCACCCTGTGTGGAGTGCAAATGCTCAGTGACAAAGTTGACACAGCCCAGACCTCAGGGCCAGGCTGAGGAGGGGTTTGTTTTTCTAGTACCAGCACTTGACAGATTAAAATCTGAAGTTGAACACTGTTTACATCCTTCTCACTGTTTTCCTGGCGTTTTGGTTTGCTGAAAGGGCGCTGTCCCTTTTCAGAGGTCTTGGGAGGCCGTATTAACACTTGTTATACTAAACAGAAGCATTCCAGGGTGCAGGAGAAAGCTCACAGGTCTGGCTGCTGCCTTTCATTTAGTGAAACTGTTTCTAAATAATGTCATTAGATTCATTAGATCCCATTTATGTGCAGCATATGGACTTTCCCAATATATAAACCACCTCCAAACTGAACTGTCTCTCAGCAAAAGCCATTTCCTGTTAAGATGTTGTTTCTACCTCACTCCATCACAGCCTGCAGCCTGGCCACTGCAGGAGAGTGAATAGGATGATGTAAGAGCTCAGGAGGCTGTGCAAGGTCATCCAGGCCCTAAGACTTGGTGTGGGCCTCAGACCAGCTGCCTCAGCATCACCCCGGAGATAGACGGTTAGAAATGCAGAGTCTCAGGTCCCGTCCCGGACCAAATCGGAATCTGCATTTTCACACTGATCCACCTGTACATTTAAAGTTGAGCACTAGTCTCAAACTCAGTGTGCGCTGGAATCACCTGGATAGTTTTTCAAACACTATTAATTCCTAAATCCCACCCCTGAGAGATTCTGGTTTAACTGATATGAGGCATGGCCTGAACAATAAGAATTTCAATTTTTTTTTTTTTTTCTGAGAAAGGGTCTCACTTTCTTGCCCAGGCTGGAGTGCAGTGGTGCAATCTCAGCTCACTGCAACCTCTGCCTCCCAGGTTCAAGTGATTCTCCTGCCTCAGCCTCCCAAGCAGCTGGGATTACAGGCACCTGCCACCACACCTGGCTAATTTTTGTATTTTTAGTAGAAACGGGGTTTCACCATGTTGACCAGGCTGGTCTCAAATTCCTGACCTCAAATGACCCACCCGTCTCAGCCTCCCAAAGTGCTGGGATTACAGGCATGAGCCACCGCACCTGGCCAGATTTTCGAATTTTTATGTAAAGCAAAATGTAAGAACCACCTCTTTTTTATTGAACAAACTGAGGCGCAGGGAGGTCAGTGACCCCTCCAAGGTCTCACAGTCAAGATCCGAATTAGATATAAGGGCACAGCAACAAGAGATCGCAGGTCCACAGTATAGACATAAATGCCACACTGTGCGATATTTTGTTTAGACCCTGTAGGGGGTTGAATAGTGTCTCCAAAAAAGGTATGTCTAAGTCCTAACCTGCTGGTACCTGTTACTATCACCTTATTTGGGAATAGGATTATTGCCAATGTAATTAAAGATATCAGGAAGAAATCATCCTGGGTTTAAGGTGAGCCCCACATCTAATGACTGGTATCCTTATGGGAAGAGGAGAGAACACAGAGAAGAAGGCAATGTGAAGATGGAAGCCAAAATTGGAGTGATGTGTCTCTAAGCCACGAATGCCATGGACTCCTGCAACCACCAGAACCCAGGAGAAAAGCAGAGCCCAGTTTCTCCCTCACATCCTCCAGGAGGAACCAAATCTTTGACACCTCGATTTCAGACTTCTAAACTGGAAGGGAAGACGTTTCTATTGTCTTAAGCCACCCAGCTTGTGGTAATCGTTAAACCAGCCCAAGGAAACCAACATAGTCCTCATTAAGCTTGCAAACTCATCTGGTACCACCCTGAACACTCCAAAACATCTGCATTCATCCCGGAACCAAACAGTTCTTTCCAACATGGCAGCCCAGAGAATCCCCCCTGCTTAAGAACATGCAAGGCTAACGAAGCTTGAGCTTCATGGCCCATCATTTGCATATGCTGGGAGCCCTGGCAACTTTGTTTTCATAATTTCACATTCTTTTTCTTAGAGTGCCTACCGCCTCCCCTCAAATTCTTTTATTTTTATTTTTTATTTTATTTTATTTTCAGAGGGGGGTCTCACTCTGTGGCCCAGGCTATAGTACAGTGGAGTGATCATAGCTCATTGCACCCCCAACCTAAATTTTATTTATAAGCTTCAAAAAACATGAAACATGAATCCACCCCTGCCTTTACGGTAAAATGTAAGTTGTTAGCTGGATAGCCAGAGGACTTTGCCCCCAGCCTCACCCTGTCTCTCCAGACCCCACTCCCACACGCTGCCTGCCCAAGCCCTCCCTTCTGCTCAGATGACCCCTTGGGGCTCCCTGCCCATGCTGCCCACGTTCCCCCCTCCACACTGCAGCTCAGGGCAGTCCTGTGCTTCTCTACTTATAGATTTTTCTTCCCATAATACCTAGTTCAAGCCTGGTTCTGCTTGGACGGTATTTCTTGTCCTCCCTAGCCAGTGGAAGTCAGCTTCCTCCTGCAGAACTCTCTAGTTTGCATTGCTTTTACCTTTTACAAACTCCTCTCCCCGCCATCATTGTCCATCACTTTCTCTGATGCTCCAGGCATTTAGAAAAAGAAAGGGGCCAGAGAAACAGACCTCCTAGGCACAGCCCACTCCCCTCCCTCCTTTTCTTCTTTCTGCCTCTCCCAAATCTGTATGACTCCACAGTCTCATCCCAAATGCAATCCTAAGGCCCCCCCAAAAGTCAGGCCAGTCATGTTCTGATTTTCTCTTTCTTCTCTTGGAGAAGTTTATATCCTGGGCTGCATGGAAACCTCAGTATCTATCTGAATATCTCAGAGCTATCTAAAATCTTCCTAAAGGGTGTGGTCTGGCCATCCCATATGGGAGCTTACATAGTCTAAATCTCCCCTGCATGTAGATCCAGATTCCTCTGTCTGGTTTGGAGACATAGAGCTGGCTGTGGTGGGGCCTCATCCCTCATCACCACCCCCGCAAGTTTGATAAACTTCAAAAACGACAAAACATGAATCCACCCCTGCTTTAGGGTAAAATGTAAGTTCTTAACTGGACAGTCAGAAAACCCCACCCCCAGCCTCGCCCTGTCTCTTCAGATCCACCTCCGACCTGCTCAGCTGACCTTCTCAGAGCTCCCTGCACAGGCTGAACACTTTGATGGTGTAATGAACACACCATCTCTAAGTGACTTCAAAGAGAAAGCTGGCTTAGACAGCATCCCGAAAGACATTTGCTTAATGTCTCAGTTCTTGTAGGAACCTAAGCATTTCCTGTTGTGCACATCACTTTATTTGGATAGTAAAGGAAAAGATGACTGTGCAAAGCTAGAATACTTGGGGACTTTTGGGATGACCCAGGCAGAGTTTCATTTGTGGTCACCTATGAGTTAGCTTATAAAAGTCCAGATGGGGTTACACCTTGATAAACTCATCATAAGCCAAAAATCTAATAAGTTAAAGATGCATTTGATATACCTAACCTCCCAAACACCATAGCTTACCCTTGCCTGCCTTAAAAGTGCTCAGAACACTTATATTAGCCTACAGCTGGGCAATGTGATCTAATAAAAAGCCTATTTTATAATAAGGTGTTGAACATCTCATGTAATTTATTTACTACTATACATTACATTGAAATTGCAATGGTTTAACACCATCTTAAAGTTGAAAAATCATTGAGTAGGAGACTGTGTAGAAAAGAGGATGGAGATAGATAGCGAGCTTAAATTTTGCATTCCTTGTGGTTCTATAGTATTTCCTTAATGATTTAGATCAGAATGTCTTCTTTAGTCCATATTCATCAAGATAGATGACAGTTTGCTTTTTTATCGCATGTCAACATCCTTACAGATATCCACATGGGATTCTTGCTGATGGTACCCTTCTCTGTTTGGAGTGATCCTGAAATGTTACAGTTTGCTTCAATGCGTAAGTATAAATGCCCCAGGAAGAATAAGCTTAAGGTGTCATCATTCCTTCATTTGTGTCCGCATAGTGTGCTAGTATAAGGACACAGCCACCTCACAGGCAATTAAGGGACCTGACGTTATGCCCAAGAGTGTTGAGTTTGTGTATGTAGCCTGGCCTGAAATAACCGGTTTTCTAGAATCGGGCCTCCTGCTGAGCTTAAAGGAAATCCCATCATTTCTCAGTACCTTAATTTCCCTTTTCACAAAATTGAAATTAGAACTGCTTGCCTCACTGGAGGACTCTCTGAGGACTCACTAGTTGACATCTGTAAATATTTTGAGGCTGAAAATGATTATGAAAATCAGATGTGCAACTATCCACATGTGCCTGACGTATGTACTGAAACCAGAAAGGGTCTTCCACAAATCAGGGTGTGGGTGTGAAAGGGACTTAATACAAGTCGGCCTTGGTGGTTCCATGAACATCTTGAGAGGTTCTCTCTGGAACTCACCCTTCCAAGGGAATGACTGGGGAGAGAGATGCTGTGGGCAACACATTAACATTCAGAGAGAGACGATGAATGTGGGGAAGGAGCCCCAAATTACAGGGTCAGAAGACCTGGATGCGTATTCTAACTCTACCACATTTTTGGCCGGCAGCCTTTTGTAGGGTAAACGCACCTGACAACAATAATTAAGCATATCCCTAGAATGGCCCTGTATGGCAGATGCACCTGAACATGTGTTCTGAGCTAAGGAATCCAGGGTGGCCAACCTGGAGATTTGTTCCTTGCCTATAAGGAATGTGTAAGCCCCTGGCCTGGTCCGCGGGACACGGGCCAAATAGAGAATTGAGGGCCTGAGTTTTGGGTTAAGTGAAGGTTTCCAGGTGGAGGTCATTAAGAAGAGGTTGTTAAGTGAAAGTGATATATAAACTGCATGCTGTTTACCAGCAGTTGGGGTTCTCCTGTCCAGCCCACCGCCACTGGAGTCTCTCCCTATCTGTAAGCCCCTAATAAAACCTCATGTCTCGGCCGGGTGCAGTGGCTCACGCCTGCAATCCCATCACTTTGGGAGGCCAAGGTGGGTGGATCACCTGAGGTCGAGAGTTCGAGACCAGCCTGACCAACATGGAGAAACCCTGTCTCTACTAAAAATACAAAATTAGCCGGGCATGGTGGTGATGCCTGTAATCCCAGCTACTCGGGATGCTGAAGCAGGAGAATCACTTGAACCTGGGAGGCGGAGGTTGCAGTGAGCTGAGATCATGCCATTGCACTCCAGCCTGGGCAACAAGAGTGAAACTCTGTCTCAAAAGAACAAAAACAAAAGCAAAACCTCATGTCTCGTTTGCTATTTCTGGGTCTCTTCTTCAGCCTCTTGAACCTGGAGCCTTCTCTCTTGAGGTTAATAGGAGTTCGGCAGGACACCTTTAAACTAGTATTTGGTAGAGTAACTCATTTTCCCTGTACTGAATTCAGAGCCATTTCATTTTATCACTCGAGCCAGATTCTTGGCTAGGCATTAACTAAAACTGCATAGTTTCATTAAATATATTTCAGAAAATGTGGTTAAAACTAGCCAGTTCAAGCCCGGGTGCAGTGGTTCACACCTGTAATCCCAGCACTTTGGGACACCTGAGGTCAGGAGTTGGAGATCAGCCCGGCCAACATGGTGAAACACCATCTCTAATGAAAATACAAAAATTAGCCGGGAGTAGTGGCATGCACCTGTAATCCCAGTTACCTGTAATCCCAGATTACATGGTGGCATGCATGTAATCCCAATTACATGCACCTGTAATCCGGAGTCTGAGGCAGGAGAATCACTTGAACCCAGGAGGCAGAGGTTGCAGTGAGCCAAGATTGCGCTACTGCACTCTAGCCTGGGCGACAGAACAAGACTCTCTCTCGAAAGAAAGAGAGAGAGAAAAGAAAAGAAAAGGACTTTTTGGGCTCTCTAAGCACCCTCTTTGTAGAGGTGAGATCATGGCTCACTGCAACCTCAAACTCTTGAGCTCAAGTGAGCCTCCCGCCTCAGCCTCCCAAGCAGCTGGGACACGCACCACCAAACCCCGCTAATTAATCGCCTCCTTAAAGATCCAGTCTCCAAATACAGTCACATTCTGAGGTCCTGGGAGTTAAGACTAAATTTTAGAGGGGACACAAGTCAGCTCTTAACACTATCCCTACTTGAAGGTGCTGAAATTGCTATTTGATTTAGATGAAAATCGAGGCGATTAGGAAATAGAAATAGAGCTTTCAACTCAAATATTAGTGAAGCATTTAAAAGGTCCAAAATGTCTCTGAGTTACTAATACAGGGAAGTTTTTAAGAAATGCTGTTTTTGAGCCTAATGGCTTAAAATCCCTATTTCAAATTTATTAGCACAGAGTGCTCTAATTCACAAATAATTAACATTGCCTCTTTTTATAAAACACCGATAAATTTTATTTTAAAAAGGAACCCTCTAAAAATAGATATAAAAAGGGAAGAAAGCACTACATATAAAAAGGGAAGAAAGCGGCTGAGCTGGAGTAACAACCATCCTGATCTTTCATTAAACAAAGTAACCTTTGACCTTGCTTGTGCTTGTGAAGGCAGGATGCTGGAGGTCAAAGGTTAGTTGGTCTCTAAATGATAATACGTTTATCAGCAAAATAAACTGAGAAATAATATGCACATAAAGGCCAATATGTTCTCACTGTCTCAAATTCCTACAAAAACACAATGAATTTGACAATCCATGCCACCTTTGCACAAAAAAAGGACTTTTTTTCCTTTTTTGTGAGCTGAAGAAGACTGTGCCAATATAAACGTCTGCTTTTCATCCTCTGAGCAGCCCAGGGCAACAGTGTTATCTCTGACCCAGGGACATGTTTTTAGAAGCATTGGAACCCCTTCACACAAAATTAATGAGCAGTGTATTTTCAAATCTTTTCTAAGTGCTCTCCTCTCGGTTGCTCCAACCCTACTTCCACCCCATTTGCTAAATGAAATGGTTGCACAAGATCAGGCTATGCCACGATACTGGGAGGAGCAAGGGCGGGGTGGAGGGATTATCCCATTAGAGGTCTGCAAAGTTAGGTTCTAATTTCAGATTTACCACCCTCTGTATGATTTGGGGCAAATGAATATAACCCTCTGAGCCTCTTTCCCCATAAGCCTGCAAGGTAAGATCAGTGACCCCTTAAGTCTTTGCAATGACCTTTTTATTCTTATTCTTTAAAAGGACAAAATATGAGATCTTAAAAAAAAAAAAATATATATATATATATATATATATATATATATATATATATATATATACGCCTTCTCTGGCTGAGAGAAGGAAAAGGAGAACGAGGAGGATAGCAGCAAGTAATAAACTTTGCTCTATGCAAGCATTGCTGCCACAGAGGTACCTAGAGCACCCTACAAGGGAGCACCTCACAGGGGCTCCCTCAGACTCACATCACAGTTGGAGAGGAGCCTAGGCTAGTAGAAACAGAGCTGGGACTACAACTCAGGTCTTCTGACTCCAAGCACAGAGTTGTCACTATCTCGCTGCATGACCTTTGGGAAGTCACACTAACATCTCTGACTCAGTTTCCTCATCTGCAAAAGGAAGGAGTGAGATTAAATGGTCTCTGTCTTCTCTGGGATTGCATTAGTAAGACAGCTGGGTATTGTTAATTGATAAGGGAGCATTTCAAAGAGGATCCATCTGTTTTTAATTAAATTCCATTTGCAGCATCTTTGTAAATGCTCTGGGTCTCGAGATCACATATTAGGAGATACTGAAAACATACATATTGAAGCCATATGGCAGTGTATAAAGGACAGACTCAATTGCATAGAATTAAACGAGTGACTGGTAAGGACCAGGGAGCCTATGGTCTGAAAGACCTGAGAAGGGAGTTAAAGCTTATTGGGCACCAGAAAAGGAAGAGAATCTTTTCAATGGAAATTGGATGCTAGTGGGAACATCATTGTAATAGGAAACTGGCATTCCGAGGACTCTGACAAAGTAGGGAAAATACGAAAACAGAAGCCAGAGGTGGAACAGGAGAAATGGCTGAGAACGTCACCCGTGGGGTTGTGGATTGGAAGGAAGAGGCACAGAACCTGAAGCAGATGACCAGTCTCACCCACAACCCTACATACAATCATGTTTTTGTTTTTAATCATTGAATTTATTTTTTAGAGCAGTTTTAAGTTCACAGCAAAATCAAGCAGGAGGTACAGAGATGCTGTATATCCCGTGTCCCCACACACATGCAACCTCCTCCAATGGGGACATCCCACACCAGAATGGTACATTTGTTGATACTGATGAGCCTGTGTTGCCGCATTATCACTCAAAGCCCATGCTTTGCATTTGGGCTCACTCTTGGTGATGTACACTTCATGGGTTTGGACAAAGGTATAATGATATGCATCCACCATCCCAGTATCATGCTGAATAGTTTCACTACCCTAAAAATTATCTGGGCACCACATGTTTATCCTTCCCTCTCCCTCATCACTGGAAACCATTGATCTTTTTTCTGTCTCCATAGTTTTGCCTTTTCCAGATTGTCATATAGTTGGAGTCATAAAACAGCCTTTTCAGATTAGCTTCTTTCACTTAGTAATAAGCATTTAAGTTTCCTCTGTGTGTCTTTTCATGCCTTGATAACTCATTTCTTTTCAGCACTGAATAATATTTTATTGTCTGGATGTACTACAGTTTATTTATTGATTCACCTACTGAAGGACCTCTTGATTACCACTACTTTTGGCAATTATTAATAAAGCTGCTGTAAACATCTGTGTGCAGGTTTTTTTGTTTTTTTTTTTTTTTTTGGAGGGCATACATTTTCAGTTCATTTGAGTAAATACCAAGAAGTGTGATTGCCAAATTGTATGCCAAGAGTATGTTTAGGTTAGTAAGAAATGGCCAAATTGTCTTCCCAAGTGGCTGCGCCATTTTGCATTTCACCAGCAATGAATGAGAGTCCTTGTTATTCAACATCACTGCCAGCATTTGGTGTTGTCAGTATGCTAGATTTTGATCATTCTAATAGGTGCAGTGATATTTCACTGCTGCTTTAATTTGCAGCTCCCAACTGACACGATGTTACACATCTTTTCATATGCTTATTTGCCATTTGTGTATCTGCTTTAGCGAGGTGTCTATTCAAGTCTTTTCCCATTTTTAATTGGGTTGCTCATTTTCTTATTGTTGAGTTTTAAGAGTTCTTTGTATATTTTGGATAACCTTCTTTTTTAGGTGTGTCTTTTGCAAATATTTTCCCCCAGTTTGTGGCTTGCCTTCTCATTCTCTTGGCCATGTTTCAAAAATAGTCAACATCTGGTTAAAATGAATAAGGTCAACCTTGAAAGAAAAAATAAATCACAAAGCGTGCCCCCTGAAGGGAACATAATGGAAGGGTGGCCAGTTGGGAGAGAAAAGGAGGGTGGTGCTTAGCACAGTTCTATCTTGCTACACGTCCTAGTATACATACCCAAGATCTGGTAAAGTACTAAAACAGATTTCTCACACAACACTGGAACACTCATTTGAGAAAGTATGTAAAAGTCTCGGGGATGACTGGGATGATCAGCATCATTTGCCATAGCTTGCCTCTCCTTCTTCCCATTCTTTTAATAGTTCATCTGAAACATCTTGTACAAGAGAGAGAGTTCTTATTATTTCTAAGCTGAAATGTCACTTCTTCCAGGAAGGCTTCCCAGCCTTCAAGTACTGATTTTGTGCCCTGTTTTTGTGTACTCTGGACCATACTAATGAAAGACTTCTTGCTACATTCTGATGGCCTGGCCTGGGTACTTGTTGCAGCCCTCCCTAGAGCCACCTGTCTTGTCTCCAGCTATATCTCAAAGTCTAACACAGTATCTGAAATATTATCAGCTCTCAACAAATACTTGCTACATGAATAAATGAAGAAAGTACTGAAAGATGTGGCAGAGACTCATTGTATTAGTTTGCTATGACTGCTGAAACAACGCACCACAAATTAGGAGGCTGAAACTATAGAAATGTATTGTCTCATGGTTCTGGAGGCTACCAGTCCGAGATCAAGGCATCAGCAGGGCCGCGCTCCCTCTGAAGGTGGGAGGGAAGGGTCTGTTCCAGGCCTCTCTCCTGGCCACTGGTAGCGCCTCGGCTCGTAGCAGCAGAACTCCAGGTTTCACATGCCTTTCTTCTATGTATGCACCTCTGTGTCCAAATTTCTCGTTTTTATAAGCACATCAGTCCCACTGGTTTAGGGCCCACCCTAATGACCTCATTTTACCTTGATTACCTCTGTAAACACCCTATCTCCAAAAAAAGTCATGTTCTGAGGTCCTGGAAGATAGGACTCTCACATACCATTTTGGGGAGTCCCAATTTAACACATAACACTCATCTAGGAACTTTGAAACTTATCCTGTAGGCAAATAGGCCCCTTTTTTTTTTTTCTGAGACAGAGTCTCACTCTGTCGCCCAGGCTTGAGTGCCGTGGCGTGTTCTCAGGTCACTGCAACCTCTGCCTCTTGGGTTCAAGTGATTCTCCTGCCTCAGCCTCCCAAGTAGCTGGGATGACAGGCGCCCGCCACCACACCTGGCTAATTTTTGTATTTTTAGTAGAGATGCTCCCTTCAGAGGGAGTGTGGCCCTGCTGATGCCTTGATCTTGAACTGGTAGCCTCCAGAACCATGAGACAATACATTCATACATTCATGATGGCCAGGCTGGTCTCAAACTCCTGACCCCAAGTAATCAGCCCACCTTGGCCTCCCAAACTGCTGGGATTATAGGCGTGAGCCATGCCTAGCCAGATAGGCCCTTTAAACAAGAATGTGACACAATCAAATTTGCCTTTTGGAGAGAACAGTCTAGCAGAAATGTGAAAGGTAGAACAGAAGCACGCCATGCAGGCCTGAGGAAGGAAGCCAAAGTGGGTCAGGGTGGGAGGTGGCAAGCCTCAAATGTGAACATGGCAGCGGGAATGGAGAGAGAGCAGAGTTTCAGAGATAGTACAGAGATATATAGACAAGGCTCCAATGACTAACTGATGATGACTAATTAGACTGGGTGCCAGGTACTAATTTAGGAAATACAGAAAGGAGGGCAGACAAAGGAAAAAGAGAATTAGCTGAAGTTTGGGACTGCAGACTTTGAGGTCTTTCACCCCAGTATCTGTCTCCCTGAATCTCTACCCTATATGAAATCCAAGATAATTTACAGTGCCCTCATTCAGCATCATCTATTGACAAAGAGATAAATACATGTGGATTGCTACATAGCAAAGAGATCCTAGTAATTTTTTTTAAGAGACAGAGTCTCACTCTGTTGCCCAGGCTGGAGTGCCGTAGTGGTTCAATCCTAGCTCACTGCAGTCTGTAACTCCTGGGCTCAAGTTATTTCTTAACTCAGCCTCCCAAGTAGCTGGGCTACACGCTCGCACCACCACACCTGGCTAATATTTTAATTTTTTGTAGAGAAGAGGGTCTTGCTATGTTGCCTAGGCTGGTCTCCAATTCCTGGTCTCAAGGATCCTCCCACCTTGGCCTCTCAAAGTGGGCTACCAAGGTAGATGTGAGCTACCAAGTCCAGCCCTAGTAAATTTTTTAATTTTCAACTTTTCATTTTGAAATAATTACATCAAAAGTTGTTTTAAAAAGTCTTATATATCTTTCACTTTTCTTCCTCAAATGTTACCCTTTTACAGAACCAGAGTATATGGCTGGAACAGTGGCTCACACCTATAATCCCAGCACTATGGGAGGCCAAGGTGGGCAGATCACCTGAGGTCAGGAGTTCGAGACCAGCCTGGCCAACATGGCAAAACCCCATCTCCACTAAAAATACAAAAAATTAGCCAAGGATGGTGGCGCATGCCTGTAATCCCAGCTACTCAGGAGGCTGAGGTAGGAGAATTGCTTGAACCCAGGAGGCAGAGGTTGCAGTGAGCCAAGATTGTACCACTGCACTCCAGCCTGGGCGACAAAAGCAAAACTCCATCTCAAAAAAAAAAAAAGAGAACCAGAGTATAATTATCAATCATGCTATTAATTAGTTTTTTGACTATCAATTGTACTATTAATTATATGATTAATAATTGTATTATTAACTGATCATATGAGTGATATATAATGTTAACTAATCCATAGGCAACCCAGTACTTTAGATTGTTTTCAAGGCAATAATTATTTGAAGAAATTCATAATAGTGATGATATGTAGTATGCACTCAGTAAATACTGGTAAAATAATGAATAAATGAAAAGAAATACTAGAAGGAGAAGCAAACTAACATCTGAGAGTTACACCACCAGAAGCTGAGTTAAGAACTTTACCTGGGTTATCTCATCTTATCTTATCTCGACTGTGAGACCTCTGATTTCATACAAGGAAATTAAACGTATAGCAATTTTGTCCATTAAAACATGCTAGATGGATTGAAAAGATTAAAAGAAAGAAACATCTCAAGGGATAAGTACAGCTTAGAGACCGACTACCAGGAAGGACTTATCTCATTCCCAGAAGCGTGGAATGAAGGACTGTTTTCCACATGGACACTTCTCACCTGGCAGGATATATGACCTACCACAGAACACCTGGGTTCTCACAACTGCAAACCCAGCCACCCGTCCACATTCCCATTAAATCCTGAAGCCATTGGTTTTGACTGTCTGCTCACTTCTGAGAGGACCCTTTTCTGTTGTAGCAGAAACATGCCAGGAAAAGTGCTGAATGGGACAAGTTTGTGGTCAGTCCTCCCACTTCCTGTCTTGCTTCCCAAGTTCTCCCTCACCTACCAATTAGAGATCATCATACAAAAGCCCACCGGGCTTCAGATGAGCCCCTTCTTCCTCTGCCTGGTCCAGGCTCAGGTGGCCTTTCGTTCTCCATAGCCCTGCCTGGTGACTGGCTACTGAGGGTCAGTGGAGAGATGTACCTTCTCTGCAGATTAGACACAACATGGGGCTAACTTCTTGCCCTGGATTATCATTAGCCAAGTTTGTGAGTGTGTGATGACGTCCTAGATAAGTACCCACTCCCGCCTACTCAGACCCTTTCCCAGGCACCCTGTGCCTTTAGACAGCCTGTGAGGACCAGCCCTCCAGACTTCTGGGAAAAAAGTCAGTCAAGGATAACACATTCCTGAATATAAACATGCCTCGGGTAAGAAGTGTACATTTTATCAAGTGTGGCTTCCTGGTTAAGATGTTTGAGATCAAAGAAGCAAATGTAATAGTGCAGATGTATTTTAGGAGTAGGAGAATCTTGGGCCATTCCTTCAGTTACATAGTGATTTTTTTAACCTCTATTATTACTCAGTGACCCTGCCTGTTACTTACTTTCATATCAATGACATAAATGATGGAGTAAAAACTCGGCTGGTTAAATTAGGCAAGGAACAAATTAGACTGATTTTCAAGGGTAATATGGACTTTAATGAGAATATTATATAAGTCTTACATTTGTGAAAATAAGTAATTCAAAATCTAAGCTATTGGAACTGAATTATTTTGAGCCTTCAAAGGATGTAACTATGAGGCCTGAGTAACAAGATAGGCAGCTGTAACCTAGGCAGCTGTAACCTTTGATTCTCTGAGTATAGATTGGCCTTCTTCCTCACCTACGTTGTTTTGTAAAATGTTATAAATGACTAAAGGGCACCAGGGAAGATCCTTTATTTCTTCACACTGATGTTCATTATAAATTACCACTTACCAACACAAAAAACCCTTCAAAAAATCAATGAATCCAGGAGCTGGTTTTTTGAAAGGATCAGCAAAATTGATAGACTGCTAGCAAGACTAATAAAGAAGAAAAGACAGAAGAATCAAATAGATGCAATAAAAAATCATAAAGGGGATATCACCACCAATCCCACAGAAATACAAACTACCATCAGAGAATATTATAAACACCTCTACTCAAATAAACTAGAAAATCTAGAAGAAATGGATAACTTCCTGGACACATACACCCTCCCAAGACTAAACCAGGAAGAAGCTGAATCCCTGAATAGACCAATAACAGGCTCTGAAATTGAGGCAATAATTAATAGCCTACCAACCAAAAAAAGTCCAGGACCAGATGGATTCACAGCCAAATTCTACCAGAGGTACAAAGAGGAGATGGTACCATTCCTTCTGAAACTATTCCAATAAATAGAAAAAGAGGGAATCCTCCCTAACTCATTTTATGAGGCCAGCATCATCCTGATACCAAAGCCTGGCAGAGACACAACAAAAAAAGAGAATTTTAGACCAATATCCCTGATGAACATCGATGCAAAAATCCTTAATAAAATACTGGCAAACCAAATCCAGCAGCACATCAAAAAGCTTATCCACCACGATCAAGTTGGCTTCAGCCCTGGGATGCAAGGCTGGTTCAACATACGCAAATCAATAAACGTAATCCAGCATACAAACAGAACCAAAGACAAAAACCACATGATTATCTCAACAGATGCAGAAAAGGCCTTCAACAAAATTCAACAGCCCTTCATGCTAAAAACTCTCAATAAACTAGGTACTGATGGGACGTATCTCAAAATACTAAGAGCTATTTATGACAAGCCCACAGCCAATATCATACTGAATGGGCAAAAACTGGAAGCATTCCCTTTGAAAACTGGCACAAGACAGGGATGCGCTCTCTCACCACTCCTATTCAACGTAGTGTTGGAAGTTCTGACCAGGGAAATCAGGCAGGAGAAAGAAATAAAGGATATTCAATTAGGAAAAGAGGAAGTCAAATTGTCCCTGTTTGCAGATGACATGATTGTATATCTAGAAAACCCCATTGTCTCAGCCCAAAATCTCCTTAAGCTGATAAGCAACTTCAGCAAAGTCTCAGGATACAAAATCAATGTGCAAAAATCACAAGCATTCCTATACACCAATAACAGACAAACAGAGAGCCAAATCATGAGTGAACTCCCATTCACAATTGCTTCAAAGAGAATTAAGTACCTAGGAATCCAACTTACAAGAGATGTGAAGGACCTCTTCAAGGAGAACTACAAACCACTGCTCAACAAAATAAAAGAGGACACAAATGGAAGAACAGGCCATGCTCATGGATAGGAAGAATCAATATTGTGAAAATGACCATACTGCTGAAGGTAATTTATGGATTCAATGCCATCCCCATCAAGCTACCAATGACTTTCTTCACAGAATTGGAAAAAACTACTTTAAAGTTCATATGGAATCAAAAAAAAGAGCCCACATTGCCAAGACAATCCTAAGCAAAAATAACAAAGCTGGAGGCATCACACTACCTGACTTCAAACTATACTACAAGGCTACAAAACAGCCTTGTAGTATAGTTTGGTTACAAGGTAACCAAAACAGCATGGTACTGGTACCAAAACAGAGATATAGACCAATGGAACAGAACAGAGCCCTCAGAAATAATACCACACATCTACAACCATCTGATCTTTGACAAAACTGACAAAAACAAGAAATGGGGAAAGGATTCCCTATTTAATAAATGGTGCTGGGAAAATTGGCTAGCAATATGTAGAAAGCTGAAACTGGATCCCTTCCTTACACCTTATACAAAAATTAATTCAAGATGGATTAAAGACTTAAATGTTAGACCTAAAACCATAAAAACCCTAGAAGAAAACCTAGACAATACCATTCGGGACATAGGCATGGGCAAGGACTTCATGACTAACACACCAAAAGCAATGGCAACAAAAGCCAAAATCGACAAATGGTATCTAAGTAAACTAAAGAGCTTCTGCACAGCAAAAGAAACTACCATCAGAGTGAACAGGCAACCTACAGAATGGGAGAAAATTTTTGCAATCTACCCATCTGACAAAGGGCTAATATCCAGAATCTACAAAGAACTTAAACAAATTTACAAGAAAAAATCAAACAGCCCCATCCAAAAGTGGGCAAAGGATACGAACAGACACTTCTCAAAAGAAGACATTTATGCAGCCAACAGACACATGAAAAAATGCTCATCATCACTGGCCATCAGAGAAATGCAAATCAAAACCACAATGAGATACCATCTCACATCATTTAGAATGGCAATCATTAAAAAGTCAGGAAACAACAGGTGCTGGAAAGGATGTGGAGAAACAGGAACACTTTTACACTGTTGGTGGGACTGTAAACTAGTTCAATCATCGTGGAAGACATTGTGGCGATTCCTCAAGGATCTAGAACTAGAAATACCATTTGACCCAGCCATCCCATTACTGGGTATATACCCAAAGGATTATAAATCATGCTGCTATAAAGACACATGCATACGTATGTTTATTGTGGCACTATTCACAATAGCAAAGACTTGGAACCAACCCAAATGTCCAGCAATGATAGATTGGATTAAGCAAATGTGGCATATATACACCATGGAATACTATGCAGCCCTAAAAAAGAATGAGTTCAGGTCCTTTGTAGGGACATAGATGAAGCTGGAAACCATCATTCTCAGCAAACTATCACAAGGACATAAAACCAAACACCGCATGTTCTCACTCATAGGTGGGAATTGTACAATGAGAACACTTAGACACAGGGTGGGGAACATCACACACTGGGGCCTGTTATGGAGTGGGGGGAGTGGGGAGGGATAGCATTAGGAGATATACCTAATGTAAACGACGAGTTAATGGGTGCAGCACACCAACATGGCACATGTATACATATGTAACAAACCTGCACATTGTGCACATGTACCCTAGAACTTAAAGTATAATAATAAAAAAGTCAAAAAATAAGTAAATAAATAAATTACCTCTTACCTCTCTCACACAAAGACTTTATCATATTGTCTTAAGATGGAATGTTAAATATATTCTTTTAAACTGGAGAGGAAATGAAAACAAGCCATATAGAAAACAAACTAATCAAATTGTTATAATTTGATTATAAACCAGCCTTGTATAGAAAATGTTATGATCCTCCCAAATTTATTTGTTTTCTGTCGGTATAAGCAAGACCTTAACTTTTAACTTCAGAGCACTCGCTCCATTTCTCTGGAGTCTGGTTTTCCCGGATGGCTATTCCCAACTTTTCACTTGAATACGCTCTTTAAAACTGGATTCTGATCCTTTCCATTATTTCAGGTTGACATATCAAAGAATGAAAAACATATTACAAACGATATGGATACCACTTGGTTCAGCACCACTCAGCCATAAAAGGTGTGATGGGTACAGAGGTTGAGTTGAACACGGAGTGCTTTCTGCAAAGCAGGATTCAATAACATTTGTGAATGGATAGTGTGGAAAGCAGAGAGGCTTCTAAAACATACTAAGCAGGGTTCTGAGTCTCCAGCCACAAATGTGCCTTTCTCAAAACAACATCCTCTACACTCCCATCTTCTCTTTTGTCTTTTTTGGGATCCTTTACTCCAGTCATTCCTCATCTTGATTCTTTTCTAGCCTCAAGTTGTCCAACTCATTCCCTCTATAAATGTATCTCCAGTAACAAATGTCAAAAGGACAGGAATTTTGCTCTCTCAAAAGGAAAGATTAAAGTATGCATCCCTTTTTCAACAATGCTATCCCACAGTGGGTGGAGGGGATTTTACAGACAGCCTCATTTCCCATTTTTCCAATGCCCTAGAATGCATATTACTATAAAGCAACCGTAGAAATTAATCCTTTGTGTTAGTGAGTATTTGTCCTTTATGGGAAAATTAGACATAACATGCAGTGCACATGGAAGAGCCCACAGGGGGAATTGTGAAGTTTTCATCCCTAGAGGTCATAAAGATAGTTGAAATAGTGCCAGATTCTAAGAAGGACACCTGGGCCAGATGTTTACCAGGCCCCTCCAACTCAAGGGAGGTACAATTCTAAGGAGGGAGGTCTTTTTTTTCTTTTCTTTTCTTTTTTTTTTTTTTTTTTTTTTGAGACCGAGTTCCACTCTTGTTGCCCAGGCTGGAGTGTAGTGGCGCGATCTCAGCTCACTGCAACTTCCACCTTCTGGTTTCAAGTGATTCTCCTGCCTCAGCCTCCCGAGTAGCTGGGATTACAGGGGCATGCCACTACCTCGGGCTAATTTTTGTATTTTTAGTAGAGACGAGGTTTCACCATGTTGGCCAGGCTGGTCTCCGACTCCTGACTTCGTGATCTGCTTGCCTCGGCCCCCCAAAGTGCTGGGATTACAGGCGTGAGCCACCGCACCCAGCCTGTTTTTCTTTTTACTTTTGTCAAAACTGCCGTCAAATCAGGTTCCACAGAAGATATGGACAGTTAATCATCTATCCCAGATAATGATGGTGTGTTCCCACTAGATGCCCTCATATTTCTTCCATCCACAACTAGCTATATGATTTTTGAGGCCCAGTGCAAAATTAAAGTGCAGACTCCCATGTTCAGAAAGTATTACGAATTTCAAGATGATGACAGCAGGACATTAAGCCAAGAAGAGAGCTCTTCTCAGTGCAGATCCCTATGCAACTATACAAGTCACACACCCGTGACACCACCCTTGCTTCCAGCTCTGCAATTCTACACTGTGCTGGTGAAAAGAGTCTGAAATCTCCAAACCCTCTTATCCACCAGCCACTTCAGATATGAGAGGTCTTCAATAGGATCCTAAACAATAAAGGCAAAGGACCCTTATTAATGACATCATTCAATCTGCTCTTCTCCCTCACAATGAAATAAACAAAAATGTAAGCAAGAGCAGCTCTTTCATGGAGAGAGCATTCAGTACAACTGTCTGGCATCTGTTCAGCCTGTTTCCTGAAACTGGGACACACGTTGTTTTAGATGGTGAAATTTAAATGGAAGGAACAGATGCTGTCAATTCAGGTATGCCAATAATGTTCTCTCAAAATGCAATAAAGACATACAAGCTTATAAAACGGAAGCTGACTTGAAATTACCAGCAAATGCATGAAAACAAAGAGACAATGATCCTTGGAGTTCTGCCCATTGTACCAGTGCATGGTAGACACTAGAACTGAAAACGAGGAAAATGGATTTGATCTGCCCCCACCCCAGTCATGCCTCAAAGCTTTAGAAGAAAACAACTACTACAAAAAAAACGATGTTAGACGAAACGGGGATGGCTTCGGTGAGCAACGTGAGCATGGCCAAGGAGGACAGTTTAAAATTTCTTTAGTATAAGGACGTCTTTCAATCCAATTGAGATCTTTATGAAGGACCTGGGAGGAAGTGGTTGGACACAAATAGAACAAAGCCCAGGAGAGATCGTAGCTGAAGAGAAGACGCCATCTGCAGCGTGGGAAGCTGTTTGTAAGCAGGGCCGAAAATGATCCAGGATGGGTCAAAAGTTGAACATGAGTTGGTGATACAGAATGGGACCCCGCATTGAAAAGCTAGCTTTGTTCCAATAGAGAAAAAAAAACAGAGTTGAAAATGGAGGGACAAAAGGATTTCACTGATAATATTCAGCACAGGTTAACGCTCTTATCAGAGTATCTAGTTTGAAACACCAGAAGGTTCTGAGAGTCATACAAAAAGACAGAAACTTTGGAATAGAGATCCTACCATCGAAGATAAAGGAAGCTGGTTCATTCACCTTGGAGAAGAAACGATAGAGGGGTGTGTAAAAGGATATAAGATTTTTATCACCATCTCTCTTCTCTATTAAAGATCTCTCATCCCTACTCCCACCTGACCCTCACCCAAGCAGACTTCAGATCCTACTTATTTCAGGTATGAATACTTATCATTCCCTGGACAGAGAGGCTGGAATGCCCAATTATCTCTCCTTCTGTTAAAACCCCTCCCCTTCCCCAAAGTTTTTTAACCTGTTATAATCTCCCTCCTCCCACCCTCCTGGCCACCCATAAGAATGTGAATTTCCACAGGACATAAATAATCCACACTTTTTTTATCCTTTCATCACCAGCCCTTATGAGTGTCGACAAATATTTGTTGAATGAATTCATTTTCAAAGCATTTCATGAGAATCTATTATGGACAGAGGAATAAAATAGATAATATGTAGGCTTCAAAGAAGCTAAACATAGACAAGGGACTCAAAATTCAAAAAGGAAGAATGAATTGTCAATACTGTAGACTAATAGCTTGACTTCAGCTCCTTAAAATATCAGAGGATTGTTGAAAACATAGAAAGGAATAAAATAATAGTGTAGGGCTAGTGAGCTCATAGATTATAGATCATATCTGTATTATATAGTATTATCATTGTTTGGCCAGGGTTACTAGATTAATAGATATAGTAGAGATTATATGAGGTAATGCATATAAACCGCTCAACCTAGTTCCTTAACACTAATAGCCCAATGAATAGTAGCTGCTGCTATCATGATGTTAATGTTAGCAAATCATTTGACTATGTCACTAATGATGTAATAATTTAAAAAAAAAACAGAGTACCATACAGTATTTGTTATGTGCCAAACACATTCTAAGTGTTTTACATACAATATCACATTGACACCCTCTACAAGGTAGATGTACTAGATTTAATAGTGTCCCCCAAAATCCATGTCAGTCGGGAACCCCAGATCCTTATTTGCAAATAGGGTCTTTACAGATGTAATCAGGTTAAGATGGTCAGACAGGATTAGGTGGGCCCTAAAGCCAATGAATAGTGCTCTTTATAAGGAGAGAAATATTTCAAGACACAGAGAAGATACAGGGAAGAAGGCCATGGGAAGATGGAGGCAGAAATTGCAGTTATGCTGTCATAAGCCAAGGAATTCCAAGGATTGCTGGTAACTGCCAGAAGCTATTTGGTTGGTACAAAAGTAATTGCTGTTTTACTTTTAATGGCAAAACTAGAATCTAGACACATGAGTGTGTTTAGGGATGAGGGAAGACGATAACAATACAGCTCATCGTCCTTTGATTCCTCTTTCACCTGGGATCGATCCTCTTCCCAAACATGAAGAGGGTTTTCCTTGGGTTATATTTGCCCTCAAATTTCCTCATTCAAAAATAATCTGTTTGCTGGGTGCAGTGGCTCACGCCTGTAATCCCAGCACTTTGGGAGGCCGAGGCGGGTGGATCACGAGGTCAGGAGTTCAAGACCAGCCTAGACAACACGGTGAAACCCCGTCTCTACGCAAAAAAATACAAAAATTAGCTGGGTGTGGTGGCACGCACCTGTAATTCCAGCTACTCGGGAGGCTGAGGCAGGAGAATGGCTTGAACCCAGGAGGCGGAGGTTGTGGTGAGCCGAGATCGTGCCACTGAACTCCAGCCTGGGCGACAGAGTGAGATCCATCTCAAAAAATAATAATAATAGTCTGTTTTACCACCTAGTCTCAGTGGCCAAGGGCTGCAGGAAAATACTCCAAATATACAATGTATGAAAATTGTTTTCTTCGTTCACTCCATTAGACTGAAATTTTGAGGGTAGAGACTGTTTTACCTGTTTAAGGGTGTTCTCAACCCCTAGTAACAAATATGTAGAAAACCAGCTCCTAGGAGATCTTACTGAGTTAGTAAGGAAGCATCAACTTCGGAGACAAACACTAGTAGACATTTAATTCAAAACAGGATCAGATCATGAAACGGAATAGAAAGTCCAAAACAGGCAGACAGAGGGACAGACAGACAGACACACACACACACACACACACCACTGATTTTCTTTTTCTTTTTTTTTTTTTTTTTTTTTTTGAGACAGAGTCTCGCTCTTTAGCCCAGGCCGGAGTGCAGTGGCACTATCTCCGCTCACTGCAAGCTCCGCCTCCCGAGTTCACCCCATTCTCCTGCCTCAGCCTCTCGAGTAGCTGGGACTTATAGGCGCCCGCCACGGCGCCCGGCTCATTTTTTGTATTTTTAGTAGACACGGGGTTTCACCGTGTTAGCCAGAATGATCTCGATCTCCTGACCTCGTGATCCGCCCGCCTCGGCCTCTCAAAGTGCTGGGATTACAGGCGTGAGCCACCGCGCCCGGCCCCCACTGATTTTCAACAGAGATACAAAGGCAATTCAGTGAAGAAATGAGAGTCTTTTCAACAAATGGTACGTAAACAACTGAATAACAACTGCATAATCATACGGGGGGAGGGAAGAGTTTCACTCTATACCTATGGGAGGCAGAAATGCCCTCCCCAAGAGGTCCACACCCTAATCCCCTCAAACCCCTAACGTGTTAAGAGAGTAAAAAGACAAATCACAGACTGTGAAAAATGCATGCAAATCACATATCTGATAAAGGATTTTTCTCCAGAATGTATAAAGAACTCAAAACTCAAAAACAGCCCGGCCAAGTTCTCACGCAAGTATAAAGGCCTCAGGAAAACATCTTTAAACATACAAAAATCCAAGAATTAAAGTGCCTTAAAAATTTAAAACTGACCTTAAGCCCAGCCAATAAAGATGTAAATCAAAACAAAATAAAACAAAAAACCCCTCAACAACAGGAAAATAAAATACAAACAAAAAAATGGGCAAAAGTTTTAAATAGACACTTCACCAGAGAAGATACATGGATGGCAAATAAGTACAGGAAAATATGTTCAAAATAATTAGTCATGGAAAAATGAAAATTATAGCTGCAGAAGATATTACTACCCAAGTCTTGGCAAAGATGTGGAGCAACTGGAACTCTGGTGGGAATGCAAAATGGTGTCACCACTTTGGAAAACAGTTTGTCAGTCTGCCAAAAAGTTAAACGTGTTTTTACCGTACAATCTAGCCATTCTACTCCTAGGTATGTACCCAAGAGAAATGAAAGCATTAAGGTCTACACACCTATGCAAAGACTTGCAAATGAATGTCCATAGCAGCTTTATTTGTAACATCCCAAAACTGGAAGCAATCCAAATGTCCATCAACAGATGAATGGATAAACAAACTGTGGGATGGCCATACAATGGAATAGCTATCCAGCATCAAAAATAAATGAATTATTGATAACACAACAACAGATGGACTTCAAAATAGTCTATGTGAAAGAAGCCAGGCAAAAAAAGGGGGTACACACTATATGATTCAATTTATATAAAATTCAAGGAAATGAAACTAATGTTGAGTGACAGAAGGTGGATCAGTGCCTGGGAAATGGGGTCTGGGAGAGGCAGGAGGGAGAGATTACACAGGAGCTGGAGGAACCTTTTCAGGGCAATGGAGCTTTACTATCTTGATTGTGACAGTGGTTTATGGGTGTATTCATATGTCCAAAGTTATCAAATCCACTGCTTTAAATGTGTGGTTTATTGTATGCCATTTATATCTCGAAAAAGCTGTTTTTAAAATACAGTAAGAGAATTTTTCATATTTAAAAGGCAGGATATTTAAACTATATTAAATATATAAAAGACAGTGGTACTAACAGGTTGTATTAGCAGGAGACAAGGGTAAGGTGGGGTTTCTTTGGCTGCCTTGCAAAGAAATGCTGAGTCAAGTAAGGGCCAGTGGGCAACGAGGGCGGAACCACTTGTCCCCTTGGTCACCTGAGGGATGTGGATGGGAGCTGGGTGGAAATGGGGGGTGAGAGGAACGCCGCCCCCAAAGAAGAGTCGGGGCAGGGGCGCCCAACGCTGGGGCCCAGGCAGGTTCTTCGTCCTCACTTCCTGACCCTTTCTCAAGAGTCTAGGGACCAAATGGATCCATCCTTGGAGCCTGCTTTCTACTTCTGAACACAATGAGCAGTTTGTGTTTGAGGGTTTGGGGAGGGGGTGTTGTTTTTTCTTTATGTTTTGTTTTTTGTTTTGTGTATGAGTTGGGTGGCATAACCCACACGTAAGCTGCGACGTCCAATCAAGAACGAAAATGACCCCTCACAATCAGTGATCGGGAACCACCTGCCACAATCACTAGGGAAGTGACACAGCCGGGAAACTCCGCCCCTCACACCCCCGCGCGCTCGCGCCGGCCGCAGCCCCACAGCTCGCCCCGGCCGCAGCCCCACAGCTCGCCCCGCCTCTCTCCTTCCGGAAACAATCCCCGCGCGGGCGGAAGGCGGGGTCGGCCCTGGCCCCGCCCACATCATTTCCCTTCCTCGGCCCAGCCCCACAGCGCGCAGCTTCGGCAGGGTGGCTTTACGGCCGGAGGAGAGGGTGGGTCCCAGACCTGAGGTAGGAGGCCGAGCTGAGGGGCGGGGAAGAGGCTTTTTGCGGCAGGACGTAAGTGACGGCGAAGGCGGTGCGACAGCAGCTGGAGGGCAGAGGAGGCGGGTTTGTGTTTCCCGGGCCGAACCGGGTTGTGGGGGGCGCGGGGCCTGGGCCAGGCGGCAGCTAAGGCCCGCGGTGACAGCATGGGTGAAGGGGAGCGGGGCAGAGGAGGCCTTGGGCTGTTTTCGGCGGCGGGTGGGGGCGAGGGGCTGGCGGGTCAGAGTCCCGGGTCCAGGCCGGGGCTCTGACTCGCGGTTGGTGTTCCCCCGACCCCGCAGCGCGGGGTGTCCTGTCCTCGCCATGAGGCCGCAGCAGGCGCCGGTGTCCGGAAAGGTGTTCATTCAGCGAGACTACAGCAGTGGCACACGCTGCCAGTTCCAGACCAAGTTCCCTGCGGAGCTGGAGAACCGGGTACGCAACCTGGCTCCCCACGCCTGCTCTGGCGAGGGAGAGAGACTCACCGGGGACGGGAAGGGTGTGGGCGACAACCGGGCCTTTGAGGGTCCCGCAGTTCTGGGGAGGTCCAGGCACAGAAGGGGCCTTGGCCAAACGTGTAAGAAGAGAGCCACTAAGCAAGACAGGTGTTTGGAGCAGGAAGAATAATATAGGCCGATCGCCGGGGTTGACGACCTTATGGAACTTTGTTGCCCGGTGCCGGGAATCTGGATCCAGCAGTGTTCCCCTGCTGCACTCCCCCAAATCCCCACCCCGGGTTATTGTCGGCAGCGATGAGGAGCCAATTCCTGAGGCTCCAGGTCGTCTCAGTCACCAGGTTGTAAACTATATCCTCCTACCTCTCCGCGCAAGATAAATCATCATCATTCTCGTGACTGGTGTTTGCTGCCTCTGTGCTGGCCGCACTGTTTGGCTGAAAGGGTTTATTAGGTGCATGGCCAGGCGGTGCGTTCAGGCTTTCTTGGAACCTTAAAGACGTCGGGCGTTAGATAGGCCTGGACAGGAAAATGTCTCAGAACAAGGCCTTAAACTTGTCACATTCACTGGGAGCCACCTGTTTTGTCTTGCATATCAAAATGGTCATCAGGATATAGGTCCTTTGGGCAACATTGCAGGCAAAAATGGAAGAATGGGATTTGCTTCCCCTTCAGACCTAGCAAAACTTTAAAAAAAAAAAAAAAATCATTGTATCTTGTTGTAGAGGTAATGGAGTGTGTGCGTGCCTGCCTGTGTTTTTGTGTGCCCACATATGTACATTCAACCAAAGATTCTTTTGGTCTTGACCCATGTTATGTAGATTGTGTTTCCCGTTCAGGGATCAATTTCTGGTTAGCTGGAAGCAGGTTTTGTGGCTCTCTCCTCTGTGACAGGGAGGACGAGGGCCTGAGAGGTGATTAGGCATTCCTTGGGTGTGGGACTGAGAGATGCTGGTCATGGGATAAGTGGGTGTGGATGAGTCTGTGTAGAGAAATGTGTAGCAGTTATTTACAGTCAGTTTGCAGTGAGGTGGGTTGCACTGCCCGATTTCCATGGTTGGGAAATCAACAATGATCCATTATAGTTTCCTTCAGTTTGACATAACCATGGGCAGCTTCATGGCCCAAATATGTTTCTTGAATTGCAAATGGATCAAATATGCCTTTAAAAGATGGTGAGGTGACTTGTTTCTGAAATGCCATTTAAATGCTGCAGTATGTTGTCAACTATGTTATGAGTTAACTGAGCGTGACAATAGGTGGAACTATCTACAGTGGTTTGAAGAGGTAGAAATTCAGCAAGTGGCCAGTTGGGTAGAGCTACTGAATGTTGTTTTAAAATAATTTAACATCACAATTGATGTGTTTTACATGTTAAGATTGACATGGAATCTGGCTGGGCCCGGTGGCTCACGCCTGTAATCCCAGCACTCTGGGAGGCCGTGGCGGGTGCATCACTTGAGGTCGGGAATTCAAGACCAGCTTGGCCAACATGGTGAAACCCCATCTCTACTAAAAATACAAAAATTAGTCAGGCATGGTGGCGGGCACCTGTAATCCCCGCTACTCAGGAGGCTGAAGTAGAAGAATTTCTTGAACCTGGGAGGCGGAGGTTGCAGTGAGCCGAGATCATGCCATTGTACTCCAGCCTGGGCGACAGAGCAAGACTCTTGTCTCAAAAAATAAATCAAATAAAAAGATATACATGGAATCAATCAAATGTTTTATTTTTAAGCCTCTTACGGAAACTATGACATACAATTTATGTACTTCAAAATCAGAATATAAAGTATTCTTTTTTTACCACAATTATTTGGACATTAAAGATTCCTTTGCTTTAAGGTTTTAAAGCAACACTTACACCTCATATATTTGAGCTAAATGTGTATACACAGAATCAGACATTAGCCTTCCACTCTGTGTGTGGCAGAGCCTTTATTTTGTAATCTAAGTGCAAAAGCACAATGTAGTTACTGTGCTCCACTGATTCTTGTCAGGAAATTGATGTTTCTAAATTCTGGAGTCCTTTTACCTCTTTGACTCTGTATAGCCCAGAACTGCTTGTGGTACTGAGTACTATATGGAATGTTACATGGCACTCTTCAATTGTGCCTTTGAATTTCTTTTTTCTTTTTAAATGTTTGGGTTAAAACACTAGCTTATGCTTTAAACCACTAGAAAAGCTTTGATTGTCTGTGTATGTGTGTTGAGATTAAATTTAAATTACAGGTTTAAACTTTCCTTGCTTTGATGAAAAATTGAAAGGTTTCTGTTTCTCTACTACTTACCCTAGAAATTTTACTGATTGCTCTGCTATTGGAGCTGATTTTCCTTTTGTGAGAACATCACACTTGGCAACATAATAGAGAAAGTGACTAATATGCAAGTGTTTTGTATTATTTTAAAGCATTTTTTAAAAATACACACACATTTGTGCCCTTTAATTTGGGAGTAGGATAGGTTCTGTCTGTTAACAAGTTCATTTTCTCTGCTGCCTTTTAGAATGTAATACTTTGATGCTTAAGCGATTTGTTGCCAGAACAATTCCTTAAAGGAAACTTTATTCTCATTAGCCTTAAAATACAGATATCTTAGTTACCCTTGGTCTGGGTAGAAGAATGAGTGAACTGTAATTGAGGCATTTTTTCCCTTTAAAAATATGTCTCCCCATCTGGTTAGTAATTACCTTTGACCTGCCACCCTTGATACGTGATCACTGCATGCTTCACCATGCTTTCTACTGTGTAGTTCACAGTAATTCTGGGAAAATAAGCCTGATTTCTCTTTCCATTCTGATTTTTGATGTTTGTGGGTCCAAATTTTATTTGGCTGTGACTTCTCATATATCTAAATTTTGATAGAGCTCCTGTATCAGTGTCCAGGAACCTAAGGGAGAACACTGGCCACTGTTATTCATAGCCTAAAGGTAGTAAGATACAAATGCCAACATTTGTTCTCTTGAGCCCTTTCTTGTGAAGTTTGTCGTTTGCCTTTATTGATGCCTTCTGTGATTTTTACCCTTTATTTCCCTTTTTTAAAATAACCTTTCAAAAACTTGTTGGCATTTACTTTTCTTTAACCATTTATCCTTTCTTTTTCTTTTTTTATTAACCTTTTTTTGTTTGTTTGTTTAACTGACGTATGATTTACCTCTAACCTATAGGGCATTGTAATCTCGGAATAACGCATAAGAATTAAGTGTTTCTGGCTGGGCATGGTGGTTTGCACCCAAGTAATCCCAGCTGCTCTGGGGGTTGAGGTAGGAGTATCCCTTGGGGCCAGGAGTTCAAGACCAGTCTGGGCAACATAGCGATACTCTGTCACTAAACTTAAAAAATAATAATAATTAGGGTTTCCGGGATAAACAGTAATTCTGATATGAAAGAAATAAGATGTTTCTGGGTTGAATCCCATGGTTTTGAATTGTATTGTAAAGAAATATAAATAATTCAATGACTTATAACATAGGCACATCAAATGTGATTGGAATTATTTAGACTTTTGTAGACTTATCGGTGGACAAACTGAAGGCATTAACGTAGGCATAATTAGGTGAACGTAACAGCTTACCATTTTTGTTTGCTGAGCTCTCCTCAGTCTGTTTTCGTGAATGAGAACTCACAGTTTCCCAGATGACCAGCCTTGACACCACATCTACAAGGGGTAGCTCAGTGAAGAAACACTGCCCCTGCGTTTAAAGGCCGTCTTGACCCACCTAGCCTTTGTCCAAATCTCTAATATTCCTGGAAATTTAAAGTAACTCCTTTTGAAAAATGGGTAGAGCCAACACCACTTTAAAGTTTGCATTAAATTCATGCATGCCACTAGCCCATTGACTCCTCACATTTTCCACACAACGGACAAAACAATGACTACAACTGCTTCTAACTTAAAGAGTTGTCATAGCTTAAGGATGGTCATGAATTGTTTTACACTTTAAAAGATTATGTTCTTGAGGCCAGGTGCAGGTGGCTCTTTGGGAGGCCAGGGGGGTGGATCACATGAGGCTAGGAGCCTGAGACCAGCCTGGCAACATGGCAAAACCTCGTCTCTACTAAAAATACAAAAATTAGTAGGGAATGGTGGTGCACGCCTGTAATCCCAGCTACTCGGGAGGCTGAGACACGAGAATCACTTGATCCTGGGACCAGAGGTTACAGTGAGCCAAGATTGCGCCACTGCACTCCAGCCAGGGTGACAGAGTGAGACTCTGTCTCAAAAAAAAAAAAAAAAAAAAAAAAGATTACATTCTTGGGAATAGTGAATAGTAGGGCTCATACTGTATGTTGAGGGTTTTTTTTCTTTCTTTCTTTTTTTGAGACAGGGTCTCACTCTGTCACCCAGACTGGAGTGCAGTGGTGAGATCTCAGTTCACTGCAACCTCCACTTCCCAGGCTCCAGCAATCCTCCCACCTCAGCCTCCTGAGTAGCTAGGACTATAGGCATGCACCACCACGCCTGGCTAATTTTTGCATTTTTAGTAGAGACAGAGTTTCACCATGTTGCCCAGGCTGGTCTCAAACTCCTGAGCTCAAGTGATCCACCCAGCTCAACTTCCCAAGTGCTGGGATTACAGGAATGAGCCACCACGCCAGCCTGATTTTTTTTTTTCTGAGTCGGTTTCTATTATAAAGAAAGATTTAATAGGTTCACAGAGACAGGAAAGGAGAAAAAAAAAAAGCCAAACAAAAAAGTCTTTTAAATAAGGACTTCATAAAAGAGAGAATTCATACGTAAGTAGTTATTAATTTTAGAAATAAGGGAATCCTTATGCGAGAGAAGGCCTAGAGTGCAGACAGATAAGAATGGCAGTATTGGATGATTGCTCTCCTAATGGGCCTTGAAAGTCCTGGGATGAAGTAGCAAAATTTGAAATCTGTTATACAAAGTACTATTAGAAGACAGTAAAGTAATATTGGAAGAATAAAGTAAAAGCAGATGATTGAGTGAAACAATGGATGACAGTACAGGTTCTTTCTTATGTGAAATATGTGGAACCAGAAGTATTTCAGTTTTTGGGGTTTTTTTAGATTTTGAAATATTTGTTTATACTAATGAGATATCTTGGGAATGGGATCCAAGTCTAAACACGAAATTCATTATGTTTTATATCCACCTTATACATATAACCTGAAGGTAATTTTATACAATATTTTAAATGACTTTATGAGACAAAGTGTGTGTACACTGAACCATCTTATCACCCTTTGTGAGCACGCTTGCATGGGAGAATCTGGCTGTGCATGGAAAAGATACATGGCAGCTGATGGGGGCTGGAAGGGTCTTTTTCTCTTGGGGACACTGAATAAACTATGTGTTGTGCGCCTGCATTTTGACTGTGACCCCTCACATGAGGTCGGGTTTGGAATTTCCCACTTGTGGTATCATGTCAGTGCTCAAAAGTTTCAGATTTTGGAGCCTTTCTGACTTCAGAATTTAAGATCAGGGATGCTCAACCTGTGGTAGTATTAGTGTAAATTTAAGATAATGGTGTCACCAAATAGAAAGAGGTAATAAGAATGACTTAATGTGAAAAATTGTTTATTAGCTTGAGATTTTACCTTAACAAATTTTACCTTATTTAGTAACAAGATAATTGCTTCAAAAGAGATAGGCTGAGTAAACAGAATATAGAACCTACGCCTTTTGATCCTTCTGCTAAAATGCCATTTTTTTTTTTTTTGCCTAGTAAATTCCAGTCTTTAGTTACTCAATTTAAGATTACCTGCCCTTCCCAGATAAAGGGAATTTCTCCTTGCTTTTGTGTCCCCACTAGGCTTTATATTTGCCTATATGATAGTACCCTGTCAGTTTATTGCTTTTTTTTTTTTTTTTTTTTTGAGACGGAGTCTCGCTCTGTCACCCAGGCTGGAGTGCAGTGGCGCAGTCTCGGCTCACTGCAAGCTCCACCTCCCGGGTTCACGCCATTCTCCTGCCTCAGCCTCCCCAGTAGCTGGGGCTATAGGCACCCGCCACCATGCCCGGCTAATTTTTTTTGGTATTTTTAGTAGAGACGGGGTTTCACCATGTTAGCCAGGATGGTCTCCATCTCCTGACCTCGTGATCCGCCCACCTCAGCCTCCCAAAGTGCTGGGATTACAGGCATGAGCCACCGCACCTGGCCAGCTTACTGCATTTTTATGTTTACATTGCCTGTTCTGCTTGCATAATTAAACTCTTAAGGATTGAGACAGTGCTTTATCTTGAGATTTTTCATAGTATCTGATAGTAGGCGCTCAGTAAGTGTGAAACTAAATGAATGGAAAGAGGAATAGAGCCTAAAGTTACTTGAAATTTAGTAGAAAGAATAAAGAAGTACCTTATTGAGCCTTGAAGCTATCCAGTATTTATAAGAGGGATAAAATTAAACAAATTAAGCAGTTTTGGTAACTTAGGCCCAGATTTAGTCACCAAAAAAATTGTCAACTAAGAATGGTGAGAAAACAAGATAAATTAATGATAGCATGCATTAGTTGATTTTTTTTTTCCAAAACTTAATTTTTAAATATTTTCTTCTCTACAGATTGATAGGCAGCAGTTTGAAGAAACAGTTCGAACTCTAAATAACCTTTATGCAGAAGCAGAGAAGCTCGGCGGCCAGTCATATCTCGAAGGTTGTTTGGCTTGTTTAACAGCATATACCATCTTCCTATGCATGGAAACTCATTATGAGAAGGTAATGCTACATTTGTTTTCACAAAAATCTCTTAAAATCATGAAGAAGGCAAGTTTATTACACATTGATGCTTACATGGTGATAGTTGCCGTAAAATATTTAGGGGCATTTATCATTCAAATTGTGTTGTTCCTGTGTACAGAGGCACATAGTCCTGAGTCTTTCAAAACAGGTTGCAGTTGGTATGTCCACTTGCAGATGATGTGTCAATGTTCAGACTGGCCTACACTTAAGAAGAATGTAGAAAATCTATATGTTCTCTTCCTACTCAGCTTTCTGGGAATGTTTTTACTTTATTTCCCTAAATTTCACTCTCTTCTCCCACCTGAGTTCTTACTTTCTCTTTCCAGCTGCCTACTAGCTCCCGAATTGCTGATTTCTCAACTTAAGATGACCAGAAGTCAAACCTCCCACCTCCCCATTTTGTCAATAGCACCCCTGTCTTTTCAGTACCATCTTTGGGCATGAGGGATGAAGAAGAGGGAAAAATTAATCTGTTTTCAAAGACTGAAGTATCTTTCATTTTCCCAGTCATTAACTTTTTGTGATTTCCTCTGCCACTATCCTGGGTTATGCCCTTATTCTGTCTCTCCTAGACTATTGAAATAGTCTGACTTGTCTCATTTCTTCCCTCCTTTTGCTTTTCTAAACTATCTGCTGTTGTTTTTATAAAGCGCAGATTTACTTCCCCTACTACTTCTGCCAAGTCGGAGACCTTCCCTGGATTCCCATGTTTTACCACTGAGTAAAATTCAAGGCCCTGCTCAAGTTGACCTCAGCTTACCTTTCCAGCGCTACCTCCCATTCCTTCCTTCACTTTCTCCCTCAGCCAAACTCCATCCCTCACTGGTCAGCAAACATACCCACTGTGGTTCTCCTCCACCTGGAATGCTATCTTCCCAGGTTCAAATCCCACCAGTCCCTTAGGTCTCACTTCCATCTAACTTGTTCTCTGTTTTAGTCAGAATTCTTTCTCTTCTCTTGTGTCCCTACAACATTTTATTTGTATCTGTTTTCTGGCACTTGCCTCACTCTTCTTTGGAATGTAGCAGTTTATTTTCTTGTCTTATTTGCCTTTCAAGTATGTACTTTTCTTGAGGACAATGCCTTAACCATTTTGTATCCCTCTTCATGCCTAACACCATGCTTTGGGTATATCAGGCACTCATTGAATGTATGTTAAATAAATGACTGTAAATTAATCATGGTAAGCCCCTGGTATATCACTAAATTCTGACAGTGCTTAGAAAACGAAATGCTATAAGAATATATTATGACCCATCTGATAGAAATGTCTTACACTCCATGTAGTGGAGAGTGCATATAGTTGCAGCTAAAGTTTTTGGAGCTGTTGGCTGAAAATGCTGTTGTATTCTTCATTACCATCCTGTTCCATCTCATATAAACAGGTATATTTAAGTATAGTTATTTATATCCTTCCCCATGTTGAAACAGGAAAAGTTCTCTTGTCCCCCTCGCAGGGCGTGTGATGGGGTGTGGCTTGCTTCTTCAGTACCCTGCTGCTCAAACCTCTAGGAGAGCATACAGATGGGCAGGCTGTGGGGCTCCAACCCCACAGCAGTGTCTAGGGGTGAATGTTTTACAGCTCCTGAAGCCCCAGTGGGCATATGTTACAGGGTGCTCTTTTAGTTTAGCCATCCATAGGCGGCTTGTGTTAGCTCAATTAGACCCCTGCCTTATCACAAGGGCAGAGGGCTTTCTGTATCCCAGAGTTCTTGCCTTGGTGTACCAGAAGAATCGGATCACATGTGGGCTTGGAGAATGAGTGCAAGGTTTTGTTGAGTGGAAGTAGCTCTCAGCAGATGGGGGAGCCAGAAGGGAGATAGTTTTCCCCTGGAGTCAGGCCGCTCGATGACCGAACTCTTCTCCAACCACCCTGGCCAAACTCCACCTGATTCTGCCAATTGATGGCCTACCGGTGTGCCAGTGTGCTCCTACGCCAGTGTGTTCCTCTTGACATCCAGCCACCCTGTGTGTTCCTCCACTAATGTGCACCTCTTGACATCCAGCCACCTGTTTGTCTGCCTGCTGGGGTCTCAGGGCTTTTATAGGCACAGGATAGGGGTGTGGCAGGCCAGGGTGGAAATGCAGCATTTGGGCAGGAAAACAAAAATGTCTGTCTTCACTACTGGGCACAGGCCTGGAGGTGGAGCGCTAGCCAGGGACCATGCCCTTCTCTACCCAGCACTTCCCTGCCTGCTTCTGTATGATTTAAAGGGACCGTGCTCTTCCCTTCCATATCAATACACAGAGAAGCTTTCATTCCTGTTTAAACTTTCAAAATCAGAAGTTATCAAGGCTCTATGTCAGCTTTCAGTCTGTTTCAGTGTATCTCCTCTCTAATAATACGTTCAGTGAGTGAAGGCTCAGGGGATTTGTTTGCTCAGTAACTATTGAAAGCCTACTATGTGCTAAGCAAAGTGCTGGGACATAACGGAACAGGGCGAACATGGTTGCTGACCTTGTGGAGTTTATAATTAAGTGGTGAAAGCTGATAATAACAAGGAAACAAAGCCAGCAAAATTACACATTATGATAAGTGCCTTGAAGGAAACAAACTGGCCTATGCTTGAAAATAATAAGCGGGACCTAATCTAGGGTGTGTGGTCAGAAGAGGCCTCTGAGGTGGTGACATTTAAGCTGTTGCATGAAGGATGAAAAGCCTGGGGCATTAAGGCAGAAAGATGAACATACACAAAGGCCCAGAGAGCTTGATGGACCTTGGGAACTGAGAGAAGGTGATGCACAGGAGAGGAGGGGCAGAGAATGATGGGAGGTGGATTTGGAGAGGTAAGCAGGAGCTGTAACATGGAGTGCCTAGTCCATGGAATGAAGTGTAGATTTTATTTTTAGTGCAAGTGGGAAGCTACTCAAAGGATTTAATCAAGAGAGTGATGTGATGAGATTTTCATTTTATTTATTTTTGTAATAGAGACAGGGTCTCACTGTGTTGTCCACGCTGGTCTCGAACTCCTGGGCTCAAGCGATCCTCTCACCTCAGCCTCTCAGAGTATTGGGATTAAAGGCCTGAGCCGCTGCGCCCAGCAAGATTTTCATTTTAAAGAGATCTCTTTGCTTTGTGGAAAAAAGGCATAAGAATAGAAGTAGGGAAACTAGTCAGGAAGCTCCACAGAAGTCCAGGCAAGAGTGAGATAGCCTGGATTAGGAAGGGAGCAGGGGAGGTGCAAAGAGGTGACCAGCTCCAAGGGATATGTTGATAGTTGGTATGAATGTAGGAGGGGAGGGTAAAGCTGAATTCACATAGGTAGAAACTTTATCATCTGGAATGACTATTTACAGAAGTCCATAATATTGCTAATTTAAGGTAGAAGCACATCTCTTGAGTATTTTATTCATGCTTAGTGAAGTATTAAAAGGCTTGAGTTGTTATTACATTTGTTGATAAAATTTTAATTGTATTTGTCAAAGTGTATTTGCTGAAATAGAAGTACTGATGTCATTTGTAAAAAGAAATTGGTAATTGGGTGCTAGTCAGTTTATACTAATTATGAGATCTTGGACAAATTAATCTCTCTGAATTCTCTCAACTATAAAATGTATATTAGAATTAATAATTTTCCTTACATGTGGTTAGTGCTTAATAAACAGTGTTTTCTTGAGGTCGATTTTTTTTTTTTTTAATTGAGACAGAGTCTTGCTCTGTCACCCGGGCTGGAATGCAGTGGTGCGATCCCGGCTCACTGCAACCTCCACCTCCTGGGTTCAAGTGATTCTTGTGCCAGTAGAGATGAAGTTTCACCATATTGACCAGGCTGGTCTCAAACTCCTGGCCTCAAGTAATCCACCTGCATTGGCCTCCCAAAGTTCTAGGATTACAGGTGTGAGTCACTGCACCCAGCACTCAGCCTTTATTACTTACTTTTTTAAAAAAAACTAGAGATGGGGTCTCACTATGTTGGCTAGGCTGGTCTTGCACTCCTGGCCTCAAGCGATCCTCCCGTCTCGGCCTCCCAAAGTGCTAGGGCTACAGGCATGAGCCACTGTGCCCAGCCAAGATAGATTTTAAATGAAGTTACCTATGTAAGTTTTAATCAGATATTTGTGAACTCACATATGATTTTTTATTTTCAAGTATAAGTAATCTTTTAGCCAGCCGCTAGTTTATTTGGGTGCTGAAAACACTTAGCAGCTCTCAATTAAAAACCTTCCAATTATTAAATCTTGGAAGATGGTCCTAAATACCAGAAATACAATGGAAATTGGTTGATCCCAGTATATGTTTTAGCTTGGATTTGTAGACATTGTGTAAGGTCCTATTTTATAGGTCTAAGCAAGGCCCCTTTCTTTTTATAGAGCAAATGTTACAAAGCAAATAAAGACCAAATAAAATTAATCCAGAAACCAAATTTAAGGCATGGCCACATTTTAAAAATAGGTGATATTTTGTAGAAACTGAACATGGATAATTAGATTGTGCAGAATTAATAACTGGAATGATGATAGTTAAGATATGATATACCTATACTTTTAATAGAAGTGTGCATTTGTGTTTTGATAAAATGATTAAAATGTAAGCACAGCTGCCCTCTCCCTTTCCCAGTTTGTCTCTGAGGAATTTTTGTGCTATTATTTTCTACTTACAAAAGGATGAGGTTGAGTCATTTAGTCTCTATTGTTTTAAACACCGAAATTCCTAGTCTACAAACAGTAAGCCAAATATAACAGTGCTTATACTTTGTCATGTGTGTTAAATTTTTTGAAATTGTAAATAGGCCTTTTAAAACTCACTAGAACAATCATGCATTTTTCCCTATAATGTGCTATTTATTGATTTAAAATGAAGATAAAGACTTCAGTGTTATTTCTCTATTGTTGCTACCCATGATAATTAGGGGACAAATGGGCTCGTGGAAGGTTCCCCTTTCAGTATCTCTCTGCCTTGTTCATGAACTAGAAAACATCCCTTCTGCCTATGTGCTGTAATCTCTAGAAGGAACACAGGAGAGAACTTGGGTATGTTCTGAAAACAGTAAGATGTGGTGTTACTTAGCCTCAATCAGGCCATTTTTCTTGAAGGTCTGGAAGGCTTTCTCCAGTTGAATATCCTCAGGGAGGACAGTAGTTTTTCCAAGGTTTGATTGTGTTTCACTTTGTAAATATTATACAAATTGAAGTTTTGTTGAGGATTTGAAAGTAGCAGATAACTTTGTTAAATATTATGGTTTGCTTTGACATTGATTTACCAAAAATAATAAAGTGTGAATAAAATGTCAACATATGATTTCTTGGGGGTGAGAATGGCGCTTTGTCCTTTCTGAGATTGTGGTATGAGTTTACACATATTAATGCTCTTCTGCTATTAAAGAGACTTTAAGAGTTTTATCGTTTGTTTTAATTTTTATTTTATTTTTATTTTGAGACTAAGTTTTAAAGCATCTTGTTAAGGACAGTGTTGCCTTCACCACAATAGTATAAGAATATTTAGAGCTTATACAAAAAGGAAAACTAATTGTTTTCTTTCTGAACTGATACCCAAGTGCATATCAATGTTACTAAAGTTTATAAAAAAAAAAAAAGTGTCTGTTCATGTCCTTCGCCCACTTTTTGATGGGGTTGTTTGTTTTTTTCTTGTAAATTTGTTTGAGTTCATTGTAGATTCTGGATATTAGCCCTTTGTCAGATGAGTAGGTTGCGAAAATTTTCTCCCATGTTGTAGGTTGCCTGTTCACTCTGATGGTAGTTTCTTTTGCTGTGCAGAAGCTCTTTAGTTTAATTAGATCCCATTTGTCAATTTTGGCTTTTGTTGCCATTGCTTTTGGTGTTTTGGACATGAAGTCCTTGCCCACGCCTATGTCCTGAATGGTAATGCCTAGGTTTTCTTCTAGGGTTTTTATGGTTTTAGGTTTAACGTTTAAATCTTTAATCCATCTTGAATTGATTTTTGTATAAGGTGTAAGGAAGGGATCCAGTTTCAGCTTTCTACATATGGCTAGCCAGTTTTCCCAGCACCATTTATTAAATAGGGAATCCTTTCCCCATTGCTTGTTTTTCTCAGGTTTGTCAAAGATCAGATAGTTGTAGATATGCGGCATTATTTCTGAGGGCTCTGTTCTGTTCCATTGATCTATATCTCTGTTTTGGTACCAGTACCATGCTGTTTTGGTTACTGTAGCCTTGTAGTATAGTTTGAAGTCAGGTAGTGTGATGCCTCCAGCTTTGTTCTTTTGGCTTAGGATTGACTTGGCATATTCTCACTCATAGGTGGGAATTGAACAATGAGATCACATGGACACAGGAAGGGGAATATCACACTCTGGGGACTGTGGTGGGGTCGGGGGAGCGGGGAGGGATAGCATTGGGAGATATACCTAATGCTAGATGACACATTAGTGGGTGCAGCGCACCAGCATGGCACATGTATACATATGTAACTAACCTGCACAATGTGCACATGTACCCTAAAACTTAGAGTATAATAAAAAAAAAAAAAAAACAAAACAAAACAAAAAAAAAACTTGCCCAGCAAAGTTATGCTTGAACCAGATAAAAGAATGATGTTGCCGTTTCTTTGCTCGTAACCTGTACTCGGAGAAAGGAGACGGAAAGCTGTTCTGAAGGAATCCTTTCTTTGAAACCAGCCATGCAGGCATTTTTCTGAGTGTCTTCCCTAGTATTACTGGACTGGAGTGAAGGGAGACTGAGTCTCCAGTTTCCAATTCTGCAGGTGAACTGAGAAGGAAATTAGAAGATTGAGAGGCCTTAGTTGGGCACCTTTATGGGCTACTTCCTTCTATTCATTATTTTAGGATGATTGACAAACTCTGATGTGAAGATAGTGCCTAAGGGGGTTTTTTTGCTCATAAAGACCAAGCACAGCTAAAATTCTTTGAATGCTGAAAATAGGAGAATGATACATGCATTGCTTCAGGTAATTAGATGAAAAAAACAAATCTTTTATTTAGAAATAATACTCCTAATTTATTACGTAAGAACCATGCAGATTGCTCTTTGAATAATCTTACGCTCTTTTGAAGAAGCATAAAACATGAGATTTTTTTATCCCCAAAAAATATTTGAATAAAGTGTTTAAATTACTTTTCTTCAATTAGAAAATTCTTTATATGAAACAGGTAGAGTTTTAAATTCTAAATCAGTTTATACCAAAGCATCTAAATTGTGACATCCTAATTTGTTAAGTTTGGTCTGTATGTTATATAAGCCACACTTAAATCATTGCTTAATTTCCAACTTTATTTCCATACACTTCTTTTTTCCCTTTAAGTTGTGATCACATTTGTGACTTTATCATTTGCTAATAGTGTGAATTTAAGGAAATATATAGTAATTTAAAGAACTGGATCAAAGCCTCTTTTGAACATTAGAGCCAGAAAAAAGTTATGATGACTTCGAGCCTGAAATAAAACATGTAACTCTTTGATTTGGGATGTAGCTATTAAGATTTATTTTCTTCTAGCTTATCTGTCTCAGAATTGCCTTTATTAAAGCTGGAGATTTGGCAATTTCCAGAAGTTCCTTTGTATCCTATCTGGTTTTTGTCTACATTTGCTTTGACTTTTACAAGCTTAATACTAAACTTATAAATTGAGGTTCCTGTCTAGGAAATGAGCAAACTGCAGAATAGCACTACATGCAGTCATGGAAATGACATAAGACACTTGTATTTATCAGAAACTCCCTGGCAGCTAATGCCCACATGCTCTACAAAGGAAATAAACTTCTTAGTTTTGAAATAATGGGGCTACCTTTTGTTATAAGCCCACCTTATATCATTACTTTAAATTGATGAACATGTACAAAGGAGAGAAGCAGTCCTTTAAGTTTTGTAAAAGGCAAGGCCAAGAACTGTCCTTGATTTTAGAAGATGTCACATTAACAGCACTTTATGAATAGGAAAAGAGAAGCTTGAGCAGCCATTGTGTATATAACCATCTGTGTGTTTCTCCATATGCAGGATTGAGGTGACTGAGAAGTAGGGAGGAGTGGGTTGGTTCTCATCGTGCCATTGTATGCTTTTGCATTTATTTACATTGTGTCGAAGATATTTTTGACTGGAAGAGTCCCTCACACTTGGCTGTATGTCATATGCAACTCATGTGAGCCAAGTAATCACAGCTGTATTCCACCATATGAATATCCATGTGACTTGCCTTGAAAACGAATTCCCACTGCCTATTTTGAGATCTCACTAACACTTAAAGGGAAATCTGATGAAGTTTGTAAGAAGCTGTGGTGTTTCTTTCTGTCAGGTTCTGAAGAAAGTCTCCAAATACATTCAAGAGCAGAATGAGAAGATCTATGCTCCACAAGGCCTCCTCCTGACAGACCCTATTGAGCGAGGACTGCGAGTTGTATCTTTTTAGTTCGGATCAGAAAGTCTAAATATTTATAACAAGAAAATGTTGATATTGTTTGGCATTGGCTAGAGAGAATTTAACTCTCATCCTGTATTTGCCCTAGGTAGTTTCTGTGTGAATTGCATACCTACTGTAAACCCCGTGTCTCCAACATTTTTTTTTAAAGCATGTCCCTCCTTCCATTGCATGGTGCAGGTCTCTGTGGTTTGTTTACTATTCTTGTCACCATCTTTCCTGGTGGTTCTGAGGGCATCTTGTAGTAATAATGGGGGTGGTTTGAGTAATGCATTTCAGCTGCAGAAACCCTGAACCTGAAGCCCCTTTGAAATGGATAAACTCATAATGTGTGGTGAGACTTGTCATCCAAATGAATTGCAGTTTCATGGGTTTATCTGACTAGTTGAAATCAGTTACAGCTGCCAGATGTGTAATTTCATTACCTTTGACATACTGTGCATATTTTTAGAGGCAGTAAGCTTTGAAAATCACTAAGTGAATTTGGTAAATAAAATTGCAAAAAACTAATTTAGCTTGATAACTGGAGTAATGGGTAAATAAATTTTTTTAAAAACCTAGGTCACATAATCCCAGGCCTTCCAGCTGATAATAATTTCAGCAGTTTTGTTATACTCTGCAACAATAGTTCTTAAACTTTCAGGGGTCATGAACCCTTTCCCAAGAAAAAAGTTTTCATATAATTTCAGGGTATTTTTAAATCCCTGAATTCATTACCTCCATGGATTCTCAGTTAAGAACTCCCTAGTTCAACAAATAAAGCATCGTTTTCAGAATTTATTTGTTTTGTTTTCAAAACATAAGTTATCAGTGTTTGGGAAGGAACTACATGTGGACTACTATAATTACATTTCTTAAAATTTTCAGCAAATTGGAGAAAGCAAACTTAAGTAGGAAAAATGTTTAATAATTGAAAAATAAAGCAAACTGAAAGCAAAGTCTGCAGATCACACCCTCCACCTTGCCAAGTCCCCCTTTGTGTGTTGTGTCCTGTAGTGTGTTTTCTTAACAGCCATGCTGTTTAGATTGAAATTACCATTTATGAAGACAGAGGCATGAGCAGTGGAAGATAAACCGAAGAATTAAAGGTAAATATGAAATGATATGGCTTGTATGCAGCTTTTGCAAGTTTAGAGGATGCATGAATATTCTTCCCCGCATGGTAAATAAATCATTAAATCACGCAGTTAAATAACAGTATATTTGCTGTGTTAGCTTAAGCTAGTCACTGTATTAGCTTGATATTTAAAATGTGTATTCGGCCCAAGTTCTATTTGGTGATAGAGAATTTAATTCTGATTTTTTTTCCTGCTGTATTGTGTTCAGACTGGTTTTGTTGTTACTTTGGTGGGGGAATGGGGGATGGCAGTTACTTGGCTTGTTTTAATATTTCAAAACTATCCTAGACATATAAATACTTGGGTTTTGCATATAAGAATGAGTTCAGAGATGTCTACCTATATGACAAATGGCTTTAATAAGCAAAGGAACATTTCAGAGGGGAGTGGGGAGATTCTGAATATTTCATTTATTATGTTTAAGTGGCTTCAGACCCCTGTGGAAGAAACCTTACCTACTGAGTAGAAACATAAATTTCATTCCTTTGTTTAAAGTATTAATGTCCTTAAATATCCAGATGCTGCCCTTTAATGAGTAAGAAACAAATTAATACTACTAAGAATCTCTAGGCAGAGTCACGTTGAAGCCCTAAGTACTTTAGCATAGCCTTCTAAGTGACAGGAAGTAGCACTTCACTATTTCTGCCAATTTTAGTTACGTGGTCTTCCTACAGAAAGTGTTCTGCTGCTGCGCTTTTCTAGTTGACTGTGCTTATAGGTATCTGTCACTAATTAATAGACAGCACAGACACAGAATGTACCAAAGCAGACACATGTCTTCCTAGGGCAACATCAATAACAGCTACCATTTTGAGGGCACGTACTATGTGCCTGGTATTGTACAAATGGTACTTCTGAATCTCACAAGAACCCTACAAAGTATTTCCCCATTTTATAGATGAGCAAACTTGGATACAAATAGATTAAATGATGTTCTCACAGTCACACAGTTAACGAGTATTGGGATATGAACCCAAGTCTGATTGATCATAAAACCCCTGTCTTTTACACCGTACTTCCTCTCAGTACTTGCAGCAGCAGGAACATGGAGAAAGGGAAGAGTTCATCAGATAATTCTAGAGGTTTATCCCCTTCTCTTCTTTTTCAATACTTTAAAAAAGAATACATTTTGTCTGCTCCTGTATGATTTATTCAATCCTGTAAGCCATGCAACATTCCAGAGCTGCCTTCTTTAGCACTAGTGAATGTGTCACCTGAATTCCTGAAAGCCAAAGATCTAAATCATGATATCTATCCTCTGCCATATGTTGTATTTCCTTAAAAAGGCTTTGTTTTGGAATACTTAGTGTTACTTGTCCATACGCTTTCTCATGTACAATTTTCAAACTGATACTTCTCAAACAACCAGCAACCTTCTGTGTGGCTTTTGTTCCATGCCATGGTTTGTATATCAGTTGCAGCTGCGATGACTTGGCACAGCCCATTTGTCATGACTCATTTTGCAGCTATTGTGTAATCATGTGTTTTTCTGATGTGTGAGGTTTGAGCAATTACACACCAGAGGCTAATCTATCAATATTCAAATAACTAGAATTTTGAAATGGGAAAGATTTACATTAATAACTTCTGGATACCCTCTTTCATGAATGCAGATATTTTTGTTCAACACAATTTCGTTTTGGGATTTGGGTGTTCCCAAGGTCCAGGATGCAATGTGAGCTGAGATCTTAGAGAAGGGGAGGAAACTCTAAGCATAATTTATTCAATTCTTCCATTTTTCTTCAGTCTGCAAGGTGTCTGCAATTTGAAGCAATATGTGGGAATTAGTGACTTAACAAAAGACTACACAAACATGAGGATGGCCTTTATTTTTAAAAGGAGCTTTAAACAAAAATGCCTTTCTTTAAGCTTAATTTTTATAATATCTTGCATATATCTTTATTATCACATTGTTATTGTTACATGCACTGGTGTTTTCTCTCTGGATTAAGATTGCCATCTTTATATAAAATGGAATACATGATTATTCCATCACAACTAGTGATAATAAAAACAGCTAATGTTTGTTGGCACATCTGTGCCAGCACTATTCTAAATGCTTAATTTTAATCATCACAACAACCCTATGAGGTAGATATTGTTATCCCTGTTTTTCAGATGAGGAAGCCGAGGCAGAGAGAACTTAAGTTGCTGGCCCAAGGACAAACAGCTAGTAGACAGCAGTCAAGGCAGCGTGGCTCCATGGTGATGTGCTTGGTCAGAGATCTGAATATATAGGACTTAGATTTGTAGACTATTGAGCTGTAGACTCATTTAGACAAATGGTACCAAGATATTTTAGTAGATAAAATTCTAGGTTAGTAGAACATAGACCACATGTTATAAGCTGATATCAGTTGATGGAAGAAAAATGGTTTTACAAGTTATTTTCAGGATCTCTATCAAACCTTTACTTCTCCCTCTAATTACAGATCCCACTTCCAGCCGGGCCCCTCATGTATCCACTGGCCGACCGCAGAGTGTCCCTACCTCCTCTCCAGAGCATCATTCCTTTCTATCTGCTGCCAGAGCCACGGTGCCATTTACTCCAAGGACTCACTTTCTAAAATTCCACACCTGGAGTGACCTCTAGTCGCTCAGCATCCACTTTGTGTCTCCAAATTGTGTAGGACTCTGTAATCTTTTGATTAGTTTCTGAGAAAACACAATGAAGCACTTCACTTTTTTTTATTCAAAGCCATTTAATAAAACACAGTTGGTCAGCCCAGTGCAAAGCTTGTTATCTGCCACCAGTACATACCATTGGTTCTCTTCATTCCTTGGGCCAGCTTCTCAGGTGGCTTTAGACCTCAACAAGCCGTATCTTCACCAGTGTTCTATCTTGTTCCCCTAAATTAATAAAATGTTTTTCTCCAGGATTTTGGTGAGGGTTGGCTGTGGCTGTCGTTTTGCACCTCCCAGATTTCAAAGAATTACTGGTTTTACCATGACTCAAATCTTAAGATCTGTTTCTACTATTCAGTTCCTCAAACTGAAGCTTATTGAAAAAAAAATGTATAATGTTATTTGTTTTATTATAGCAATTATGCCTAATTAAAGCAGTATTTAATGCAATTTCCAGTTATTTCTTTGGAGAATTTTATGTCATTGTTCCATTACCTTGAATGTTGGAAAGATATGATACGTGCTGCTTGTTCATCACAAAAATCAGTAAGCACAATAAAGTGGATGCCAAACCATCAGACACATAAATGTTCCCGCTGTGTCCCTGGATATGGAATAAGCAGGTATAAAAAATATTTTAATTATAGTTTTGTTATAAATATAACTTATGAGAAAAAAATTTGATAGGAATAATACTGTATATTACTAATTTTTAACTATCCCTAAGGCAAACCTTATGACCCACAGAATTTTCTCATATACAGTATTCAGTGCACAGAAATCTTATGATTGGCTCAAGTACAGTAAGTTACTTCTCAGTAAAACTCTCAAGTCTGAGTCCATATTTGTAGCTCTGCTTTTGGCTGTACGTTCCTAGGATCGGGGCTGCTTATGCCTTTCGTTTATCCTTGGGGTTTGAGAGCGCTGTATTTGGGAGAGAGTTTAAAAATACATTAGGAGAGAGAAACCATTAAAAGTTTCACTGTCAGATATATTGTAGGTGCTAATACTGGATTTCGTCTCAGATTTAATTTCTTTTATGGGTCTGTTAGTCATTCAACAAATCCCATAAGTATGTGTTAATATTTTAATTGTGTAAAACTCATTTGTTACTTTACAGCCTGTAATAGTGTGTCTGCATTTTCAACCTGTTGCAATAACTTTGCTGAAATATTAACACATTAATAAAACTTTTCTTAAACAAGTTGTCTCTGTGTCATATTTGGTGGGATTTGGTAGTAAATGATGGTAAAGTGGTAAATGATAGGACACTAAATTTGTCAGATAATACTAGAATTGTAGTAGTGTACCGTACAATGTAGCTTAGTGTTTTAAAATAAACATCTTACATTTCTATGTCACACCTCTCAATTTCTTACCTGCTTTATCTTACAACAGCAGGTATATTATAAGTAAAAATTAAGGAGTAGTCGTTGACAAAGCCTGCTCTCTTCCCCGGACAGCATGAGCTTCACCACTCCCTCCACCTTCTCCACCAACTACCAGTCCCTGGGCTCTGTCCAGCCGCCCAGCTATGGCACCTGGCCGGTCAGCAGCGCAGCCAGCATCTATGCAGGCACTGGGGGGCTTGGGATCCCAGATCTCCATGTCCTGTTCTACCAGTTTCTGGGGCGGCTTGGGGTCTGGGGGCCTGGCCACAGAGATGGCTGGGGGTCTGGCAGAAATGGGGGGCATCCAGAATGAGAAGGAGACCATGCAAAGCCTGAACGACCACCTGGACTACCTGGACAGAGTGAGGAACCTGGAGACCGAGAACTGGAGGCTGGAGAGCAAAATCCAGGAGTATCTGGAGAAGAGACCCCATGTCAGAGACTGGGGCCATTACTTCAAGACCATCAAGGAACTGAGGGCTCAGATCTTCGCAAATACTGTGGACAATGTCCACATCATTCTGCAGATCGACAATGCCCGTCTTGCTGCTGATGACTTCAGAGTCAAGTATGAGACAAGAGCTGGCCATGCGCCAGTCTGTGGAGAGCAACATCCATGGGCTCTGCAAGGTCATTGATGACACCAATGTCACTCTGCTGCAGCTGGAGACAGAGATGGGCGCTCTCAAGGAGGAGCTGCTCCTCATGAAGAAGAACCATGAAGAGGAAGTAAAAGGCTTGCAAGTCCAGATTGCCAACTCTGGGTTGGCCGTGGAGGTAGATGCCCCCAAATCTCAAGTCCTCGCCAAGGTCATGGCAGACATCAGGGCCCAATAGGATGAGCTGTCTCAGAAGAACTCAGAGAAGCTAGGCAAGTACTGGTCTCAGCAGACTGAGGAGAGCACCACAGTGGTCACCACACACTCTGCCAAGGTCAGAGCTGCTGAGATGACACGGAGCTGAGACGTACAGTCCAGTGCTTGGAGATTGACCTGGACTCAATGAGAAATCTGAAGACCAGCTTGTAGAACAGCCTGAGGGAGGTGGAGGCCCGCTACGCCCTGCAGATGGAGCAGCTCAACAGAATCCTGCTGTACTTGGAGTCAAAGCTGGCACAGAACTGGGCAGAGGGCCAGCGCAAGGTCCAGGAGTACAAGGACTTGCTGAACATCAGGGTCAAGCTGGAGGCTGAGATCGCCACCTACCGCCGCCTGCTGGAAGACAGCGAGGGCCTCAATCTTGGTGATGCCCTGGACAGCAGCAACTCCATGCAAACCATCCAAAAGACCACCACCCGCCAGATAGTGGATAGCAAAGTGGTGTCTGAGATCAGTGACACCAAAGTTCTGAGACATTAAGCCAGCAGAAGCAGGGTACCCTGTGGGGAGTAAGAGGCCAATAAAAAGTTCAGAGGTCAAAAAAACATCAAGGAATAGTCCATGGTAATTAAAAAATGTATATTTTTTTTGAGATGGAGTTTTGCTTTTTGCCCAGGCTGGAGTGCAATGGCACCATCTCGGCTCACTGCAAACTCCGCCTCCCGGATTCAAGTGATTCTCCTTCCTCAGCCTCCCGAGTAGCTGAGATTACAGGCGCCCGCCACCATGCCCAGCTAATTTTTTTATTTTTAGTAGAGACAGGGTTTCACCATGTGGGCCAGGCTGGTCTCAAACTCCTGACCTCAGGTGATCTGCCTGCCTCAGCCTCCCAAAGTGCTGGGATTACAGGTGTGAGCCACCACACCCAGCCTAAAAAACATATTTAAAGAAATAAGACATTGGCATGTTTCATTAGGAAAAAGGCATCACAGTTATTGTTACTATCTTGGATCACCTGATGACTCAGTGTAGTTTTATTATTTTTTTTTCTGGGTACATAGGTGTCTATATTCACGGTGTACATGAGATGTTTTGATACAGGCATGCAATGCGTAATAATTACAGTATGTCAAATGGGCTACTCATCCCCCTCAAGCACTGTGTTACAAACAATCCAAATACAGATTCCATTTTTTGTTTTTGTTTTTGAGATGGAGTTTCGCTCTTGTCACCCAGGCTGGAGTGCAGTGGTGCAATTTTTAGTAGAGACAGGGTTTCGCCATATTGGCCAGGCTGGTCTAGAACTCCTGAACTCAGGTGATCCAACAGCCTCAGCCTCACAAAGTGCTGGGATTACAGGCGTGAGCCACCGCACCCGACCCAGACTCCATTTCTTTTAAATAAGGTAGATTTGTAGAAAATTAACAACTTAGAAGTTACAGTCCATAGTCCAACTTTCTTTTGTAAGCTTATTTTCCTATATAAAATGTTCAATGTCTCTCCTTATCCAGTGAAACTCATAGTAAATAATACTTATATAGCCAGGAGACAAAAAAGAGGTCATAACACCTCAATTAAATTTCTTCTGTATTCCACTTAGCCCTGGCTCCTAGCATAAGTTAAAGCTACAGTTTCCCAGGAGTAACATGCTTTGTTTTTTGTTATTTGTTTTAATGTCAAAGGAAATCAGAGTACTGGTGCCATATCTGATTTATGTACTTACCTCCTCTCCCCTTCACCAGCTTCTTTCCCCCTCCAAACAAAGGAGATTGTACATTCCATGAGGGCAGAGGTGGTTTCCTACTTACCCTTGCATCCACCTCACACTCCATGCATCCTCATACACAGTGCTACAGATACTTAGCTCTCACATGTTTGTAAAGTGCATAAATGAATGAGAGGTAAGTTGACCCATCAGGTCATTAACATCAGAATAGAATTACGGTGCTACACCTGGATTGGTGCGGCGTTTGTCTGGCTTTTGATAGGCAGTGATTTGTGTGCTCCCTTGGTAAAGTCTTCTAAAACTGGGAGGAGATATCTGTGGCTTAAGCTCCAATAGAGTGGACTTTTGCCTGGAGATAAGTACCCTTGAGGATCCCAATGCCCTTTAATTCTAGATTAGGAATTCCCAGGGAAAGGAAAGGAATTGCATCGAAACCTCTGAGTTGGGTAAAGTAAATAATAAATAAGCCTCCTGCTCATACTTTGTCCTGTATTATTCTCTATGTAACATTAAATCCAGCTATGATTGAAACTGCAAAACTTAGAAGTCTATTTCTCCTTAATTCTTTTAACTTAGTCTTCTGATAAAAGCTTATTTTCAGATAATTTCCACTTTTCAAAATTCTCTAAGGACCTAATAAAGCACAAACAATACTTTGTACTCATTTGAGTTCTTGCTACTGAATTTCTCTATGTAAAATCAAAGTTACAAGAACAATATGAAAAAAGGTGCTTGTCACTCATTAGATAAAATGAATCAAGCACGCTTGTAGTCTAACATCACCAGAGACTACTCTGTAGTGCAAACACTAACTGAAACAGGCCAGAGTCATCCCTGTCCTCATGTGTGCTTGCTGGAAGGATAAACATCGATGACTGTAACCATTACACAGTGACCAGCTTTAATGTGCAAGGGTGTCAGTGTGAATGATTTTATTCTACCCCACCCCCAAGAGCTGGAATAAATGGCTTTATGATGGTACTCTCCAGTACTGTACTCAAAACTTGGAAATGTGTAGAGAACGGCAAACATCTGATTAACATCCCATTTGCTGTGGATTGTTGGGAATGTCAAAATGGGGATTGTGGACCACCTACGTGCTAGGATTGTTAGGGGTACAGCAATACATGTATTTTGCTCCAAAATGAGTAGGCACAGAATTACAGAACCAAAATAAAGATCTTGGCTCTTCTGAATTATATCCTAAGTTCTTCCCATATATGTACCTCAAATGCTGCAGATACGAAGTTCTGTGAAATTCTGCCTACAACCAGGAAGCCCTATGGGAACTTAACGCCTACTCTTTACATTTTTAAGCCTCCATTTTGCAAAAAAAAAAAAAAAAAAAAAAAAAGTTTTTATGAGTTAGGCACTACCAAAGATCTTTGGTTAAGGGTTATTGTCAAGTGAAAACAAGTTTATGCTAGCAGGATGTTGTGGGTTTTTAAAAAAATAGTATCTGAGCAATAAAAGGATTTATTGACTTAGTAACTTATCTAACTTTGTGCTGTCACATTTTACTTTGCTAGTGAAATCTTTAATCTTCAGATTTATAAACTATCTTTGAAGAAATATTTCGTTTCACCTACAAAGAGTTCTTTAAAAAAAAAAAGCAGGAGACCTAAAAATCCACCTATTAGCTGCCATATCTGTTGTTCTTGATCTTTCTGTTTCTGTTCATGTATATATCCTCTTACCTCATGTTTTAACAGACCTGTTTATTGCCAGGAAATGATAATAACTTGTATTCAAAATGTTTTGTTAATTACTCTTCACGGAGCAGCCGAGTGTCAAACAACATAGCTAGCTCAGATTCTGGGATGTGCAAGGGCTGAGAAACATAGATGTGATCTTTTCCTCCCAACAAAAGGATTCATGTGCACAACTTGCACATCTTTGTTTATCTCATAAAATCTACAAATGTTTTACTTAGTCCAGTTTCTACTTTCTTAGATATTTGAAGAATTATGCGCTTGAAAATCAACATCTGTGATTCTCGTTTCTAATTTTAAAATGAAGAGTGCTTCAGTTAACAATTAGGGGCCAGGCCAGGTACGGTGGCTCACACCTGTAATCCCAACACTTTGCGAGGCCGAAGTGGGTGGATCATTTGAGGTCAGTAGTTCGAGGCCAGCCTGGCCAACATAGTGAAACCCCATCTCTACTGAAAATACAAAAATTAGCTGGGTGTGTTGGCAAGCACCTGTAATCCCAGCTACCCGGGAGGCTGAGGCAGGAGAATCACTTGAACCCGGGAGGCGGAGGCTGCAGTGAGCCAAGATCACGCCACTGCACTCCAGCCTAGGCAACAGAGCAAGACTCCATCTCAAAACAAAAACAAAAACAAAAAAAAAGTAGGGGCTGGGCTCACACCTATCATCCCAGCACTTTGAGGGGCCAAGGTGGGCAGATTACTTGAGCCCAGAAGTTGAGACCAGCCTGGGCAACAGCAAAACCTTGTCTCTACAAAAAAACACAAAAATTAGTTGGGCATGGTGGCCCACGCCTGTGGTCCCAGCTACTTGCAGGGCTGAGGTGGGAGGATCACTTAAGCCTGAGAGGTCGAGGCTGCAGTGAGCTGAGATCATGCCACTGCACTCCAGCCTGGGTGACAGAATGAGATCCTGTCTCAAAAACAACAACAACAACAACACACACACACACAATTAGGAAAGGCCAAACAGCATGTTTTGGGGGATTTTTAATATTGCAGAAAAGATCTTCCCTTAATATTTAATGACATGGAGGGACTATTTCAGGATAGGAAAAATCACCTTTTAAGTAACCAGAAACCCCACAGCAGCCATCTTGAATACAGAAACTTCACCAGCCCCTGCCAGCAAGAGCTATAAATGTAAAATTATCAGATCCCTGATAGGGGCTCCCTGAGGAAATTTGCTTGTGACAAGTTGTTTTCTATTCCCTAGGAATAGAAAGGGAATAGTTGTTTTCTATTCCCAAGTACTGTGTAGATTTTGAAGTGACCACAAGTTTTCCATAAAGGAAATGTGTGCTGCCAGAGTAATACACAGCTGTATATTAACTCCATGCAGCAGTTAAGACAGCAAGTAAAAATGCCTCTGAGACCAAAGCCAGCATTTAGGCTCAGAGGGTAAAATTCAATCTGATCATTTCGTTTAACAGATAAGCTTGGCCGGGCACGGTGGCTCATGCCTGTAATCCCAGCACTTTGGGAGGCCGAGGCGGGTGGATCACAAGGTCAGGAGTTTGAGACCAGACTGGCCAACATGGTGAAACCCCGTCTCTACTAAAAATACAAACAAAAAATTAGCTGGGCGTGGTGGCGGGCGCCTGTAATCCCAGCTACTCAAGAGGCGGAGGCAGGAGAATTGCTTGAACCCGGGAAGGCGGAGGTTGCAGTGAGCCGAGATCATGCCACTGCACTCCAGCCTGGGCGACAGAGTGAGACTCCATCTCTAAAAAAAATATATTTTCCTGGCAACCAAGGTCCCAACAAGGTTTTCAATGGAACTTGACATGCTGGTTTTAGAAAAGTGAAGAGACATGCCCTGTATCTAGCAAGACATGAAGTTGTAGTAGCTGAAATGTGTCTCATTGGTACAAGAATAGCTCACGGATGATGGAACAGAAGAGAGACCTGCACACAGACCTCAGAATGCATGGTGTCCTGGATCGTCCCCTTTTGTCTCTCATACCTTTTTTCCTTCGCTGTGCTCCTTATGTTCTAAGAAGACGAATCTGAGCAGGCTGCAACAACCTGGCTCCCTTGCCCTGTCGTTTCTGGTAGGGTTCAGGCAAGGGAGGGATCAGCAGGGGACCTGAGCGTGGAACACTGCATCACAGAAGTGGCTAACTATTTAGACAGCTGCTTAGGGATCTGGAAGATACAACTGGAGGCTGATGAGGAAGAGGAGAGAAACCCTATGTGGATGCACCCTAGGAGTGGGCATAGAAGGTGAAGAAATTCATATGTTGTGTATGCCCACCACATAGCATCCCTGCAGGGAGGTTCTCATTGCAGGAAAGGAAGTGGAAAGTCCTCTGATATCAGTCAGCCTCTTTCCCAGCCTTCCTGGTGCTGGCTCAGTGGGACCATGTGAAAAGGTGGACACAGCAAGGATGAAGCATGCAAGGGGCTCCACAACATGGGCCTCCTTCCGTCATGGCTGACCTGGCCACTGCTACTGCTGGCAGCCCAACTGGCCGATGGAGACTCATGCTAAGCCCACAGTGTGGCACCGTTTCCCAGGAGGGAGGGAGGGAGTTTTGATTATATATTTTAATTACTGAATGGTACTTAAGGAGATCATGGAACTCTTTTTTTTTTTAAGCAGAGTGACAAGAGTAATCAGTTTTTGTCCAGTGACAGGGGAAGAACTATCCCCAACAAATAAATGTAGAGAAAAAATAAACTTGTTTTATAAGCACATTTCCTGAGTTATGCTAATTGATGCCATGACTACACACACACACAGCTCATATTACCATATTATTTTGGGGTACACAGTTGGTCAAATTTAAAAACATTTCTGGGAACAGGCCAGGCACAGTGGCTCACATCTGGAATCCCAGCACCTTGGGAGGCCGAGGTAGGAGGATCGGTGAGGCCAGGAGTTTGAGACCAACCTGGGCAACATAGTGAGACAAAAAACAAATTAGCAGCCGGGCGCAGTGGCTCATGCCTGTAATCCCAGCACTTTGGGAGGCCAAGGCAGGCAGATCACTTGAGGTCAGGAGTTCGAGACCAGCCTGGCCAACATGGCGAAACCCCGTCTCCACTAAAAATACAAAAATTAGCTGGGCGTGGTGGCGGGCGCCTGTAGTCCCAGCTACTTGGGAGGCTGAGGCAGGAGAATTGTTTGAACCCGGGAGGTGGAGCTTGCAGTGAGCTGAGATCCCACCATTGCACTCCAGCCTGGGCGACAGGGCAAGCCTCTGTCTCTAAAAACCCCCCAAAATACAAAAAAACAAATTAGCCTGTAGTCCCAGCTACTCAGGACAGTGAAGCGGGAGGATCACTTAAGCCCAGGAGGTCGAGGCTACAGTGGGCTGTGGTTGCACTCTGGCCTGGTGACAGAACGAGACCCTGTCTCTATTAAAAACAAAACAAAACAAAACAAAAAACTATTCATAGGAACAATAAGCACCAAGTTGAAGATACTGGTTACATCTAGAGAGTAAGGAACAGGAATGAGGTCAGAAACAGGAGCACAACAGACTTAGATTGAGTTTGTCGTGTTATATGGCTTCTTATCATTCATACGTTTTCAAATGCCTAAAAAGAACCAACAACTTGTACTTGTCAATATGGATTACCATATCCTAAATATCAGGCACACCAGTTAACATCTTCAGTATTATGAATGGTTTTGATAATTTGGATGCAATAACCACCACCCCATGGGATCCCTTCAATTTCCTCAAAGCCTCCGGGCCTGTTCAGCTGATTGGTTCCATTGGTCATCAACAGAGACTAGCCTCTGAGCTCTGCCAGTTCTAATTATAACCCCCCCAAAAAGGTGGAAAATATGAAAAAAGTGGCTTTTTCATGCTTACAAGTATACGAGTAGAACTCTAAAATACATGAATTAAACTTCCAGCCTAGAAGCAGGTTATAGCCAAGGGTAAAGTTCAGGGTCAAGCTGAATTTTCACTGGAAGTAAACATGTCTAATACAAAGCAGAGAGGATGACTAGGAAAGCATGATCTTGCTTCACAGAGAAAAGTCAAAGGTAACAGCAGCCCTTACAACTCCATGGGTCACATCCAAATCTTATTGATTCCAATGAGTTAGCAACTCATAGCATCACAGCTGTTCACAGCAAGACCAGCAATAATAGACCAAATGACCCAAGGCTTCTGGTTCTTATTTCAAAAAATATCAACAATTAACACAATTGCATGACCAGACTTCAGTATTTTCAGTTGAAAGTATTTTCATAACTGAACTGAAATAAACTGAAAAATCTAATAATTTCTATCACTTTGGGGTACTCTAAAGGTGGAATTATTTCACTATCTGTTCTGAGCTAAGTCAGTAGTAAAATACTCAGATAATGGTATGTGGCATGGAACATAATCATCCTGTTCTCTAGCCTTCTGATAAATAGAGGGTGAATGTCGAACTCAGCTAAGATATTAACTTTTACCAGTGAGAAACCTGGAAGTGTTTCAGTAAAGAAACCTGTCGTAACCCAGAAGGTTTTAAGATGTCACAAATTTAAAATTTCACAATTTTCTCCTGTTAGGCCTCTTTTTTTTTTTGTTTGAGACAGTCTTGCTTTGTTGCCCATACTGGAGTGCAATGGTGCCATCTCGGCTCACTGCAATCTCCACCTCCCAGGTTCAAGCAATTCTCCTGACTCAGCCTCCCGAGTAGCTGGGACTTCAGGTGCCCGCTACCGCAACCAGCTAATTTTTGTATTTTCAGTAGAGATAGGGTTTCACCATGTTGGCCAGGCTGGTCTCAAACTCCTGACTTCAGGTGATCTGCCTGCCTCAGCCTCCCAAAGTGCTGGGATTACAGGCGTGAGCCACTGCACCCAGCCTAGGCCTCTTACTCCTTATGATTTCAAGTACTGACATCTTAAGAGATGTATAATTCATAGACACTACATGTAGAGGGAAAATAATGACAACAATGGTAATTATAATTCCATCTTTGTAATTCTAATTAAAAAGCTTGGAACTTAGGAATAATTTTATTTATTTAATTTTTTTTTTTTTTTTGAGACAAGATTCTCACTCTGTCACCCAGGCTGGAGTGCAATGGTGCGATCTCAGCTCGCTGCAACCTCCACCTCCCAAGTTCAAGCAATTTTCATGCCTCAGCCTCCCGAGTAGCTGGGACTACAGGCGTGCACCACCACGTTCAGCTAATTTTTGTATTTTTAGTAGAGATAGGGTTTCACCATGTTGGCCAGGCTGGTCTCAAACTCCTGGCCTCGATTGATCTGCTCGCCTAGGCTTCCCAAAGTACTGGGATTACAGGCATCAACTACCATGCCTGGCCAGAATTTAGGAATAATTTTAAATGAATCTTACTGTATTTTATCAGCTCAAGAAAACCATGACTTATATATAGTTGAGTCTTGAACAACTCAGATGTTAGAGGCACTGAACTCCTGCACAGTCAAAAATCTGCATTTTTTTTTAAGAGACAGGGTCTCGCTCTGTTGCCCAAGCTGGAGTGCAGTGGCACAATCATAGCTCACTGTAGCCTTGAACTTCTGGGCTCAAGCAATCTTTTCGTTTTTGTAGAGACAGGGTCTTACTATGTTGCACAGGCTAGTCTCGAACTCCTGGTTTCAAGCAATCCTCCTACGTTGGCCTCCCAAAGCACCAGGATTACAGGTGTGAGCCACCATGCCCAGCTTCGTACAACTTTTGTTTTTTTCTTTTTCTTGAGGTGGAGTCTCCCCCTGTATCCCAGGTTAAAGTGCAGTGGCACGACTCATTGCGACCTCTGCCTCCCGGGTTCAAGCGATCCTCCCACCTCAGCCTCCTGAGTAGCTGGGATTACAAGTACGTGCCACCACACCCAGCTAATTTTTGTATTTTTAGTAGTGACAGGGTTTCACCATGTTGGCCAGGCTGGTCTGAAACTCCTGACCTCAAGTGATCCGCCTGCCTCAGCCTCCCAAAGTGCTGGAATTACAGGTGTGGGCCACTGCACCCAGCCACGTACAAATTTTGACTCCCCAAAAACTTAACTACTAATAGCCTACTGTTGACTGGAACCCTTACCCATAGCATAAACAGTCAATTAACACATTTTAACGTTATATGTGTTACATACTGTATTCTTACAATAAAGTAAGCTAGAGAAATGAGTATGTTACTAAGAATCTAAGGTAGAGAAAATATATTTACTATTCATGAAGTGGAAGTGGAGCATCATAAAGGTCTTCATAAGAAGGAATGAGGGGGCCGAGCGCGGTGGCTCACGCTTGTAATCCCAGCAATTTGCAGGGCCTGGGCGGGAGGATTGCTTGAGACCAGGAGTCTGAGACCAACGTGGGCAACCTAGGGAGACCTCATCTGTACAAAAACTAATAAAAAATAAATAAAAATTGTAAAAAGAAGGAAGGAGGGGTTGGTCTTGCTGTCTCATGGGTGGCAGAGGCAGATGAGGTGGAGGAGGTGGAAAAGGAGGCAAGCACACTGGTGTAACTTACTTGAAAAAAAACCCAACATAAGTGAATCCCAGCGGTTCAAATCCAAGTTGTTCAAGGGTCAACATATATAGATGAATGAATTTTATTCTAAGAGTTCTCCCACAGAAAACAATTATTTCAATAACTGTTAGCCTAAATTTCACAAAACGGGCCGGGTACAGTGGTTCATGCCTGTAATCCCAGCACTTTTGGAGGCTGAGGGGAGCAGATCACTTGGTGTCAGGAGTTCAAGACCAACCTGGCCAACATGGCAAAACTCTGTCTCTACTAAAAATACAAAAATTACCCAGGCATGGTGGCACACACCTGTAATCCCAGCTATAGGGGAGGCTGAGACACAAGAATCGCTTGAACCCAAGAGGTGGAGGCTGCAGTGAGCCAAGATCACACCACTGCCCTCCAGCCTGAGTGACAGAGCAAGACCTTATCTCGAAAAATAAAATAAATTAATTTAAAAAGTTATCAAAATGGTGCCCATGTCTATGATTCATTAACACAAAGAAAAGAAAGACATTAAAATTCAAGACAATAAATGAAATTTTGATACGGGGCACATTCTTGAACAAGGCTACCTTTTACCCTTTACTTTGACTATAATCAGACCTTTTCCCATCACTATAGGAAAAGAGAGAGAGAGAGAGCACGCATTGCCCTAAGGTGCAAGCATTTAGAAATACTGAGTTTGGGCCGGGTGCAGAGGTTCATGTCTGTAACCCCAAACACTTTAGGAGGCTGAGGCAGGAGGATCGCTTGAGGCCAGGACTTCAAGACCAGCCTGGGCAACATAGTGAGACCCCCGTCTCCACAAAAAAAAAAAAAAAAATTAGCCAGGCACGGTGGTACACACCTGTGGTCCCAGCTACTTGGGAGGCCAAGGTGGGAGGATTGCTTGAGCCCAGGAGTTTGAGGCTGCAGTGAGCCATGACTGTCCCACTGCACTCCAGCCAGAGAGAAAGAGAGATTGAATTTGGCCTGGCTTTTATTTAGACCTTAGGACAAGTCCCTCAAGATCTCTCAGCTAAACTATATAGACTTTAATAAATATGAAGCCTTAGGCTGGGCACAGTGGCTCATGCCTGTAATCCCAGCACTTTAGGAGGCTGAGGCAGGTGGATCACAAGGTCAGGAGTTCAAGTCCAGCCTGACCAAGAAACCCCGTCTCTACTAAAAATATACAAGTTAGCGGGGCGCAGTGGCAGGCACCTGTAATCCCAGCTACTCAGGAGGCTGAGGCAGGAGAATCACTTGAACCCGGGCGACAGAGGTTGCAGTGAGCCGAGATCATGCCACTGCAGTCCAACATGGGCAACAGAGTGAGGCTCCATCACAAATAAATAAATAAATAAATAAGACTTGCCCAACACTTGGGCACATAAGCTTCTCATCAAAGATGCCCATGATATAAAGGCACATGAATTTCTTTATGGAAAGGTCACCTTTCTCTTTGCTTGACATATTCAGAAAAGCATTAGGAAAATAATCTTACTCAACCAGCTACATGCTATGTTGGCCACAGTGTTTCATAAGATATATTTAATTTTTAAAAATTTTTTATGATTATTGTATATTCTACAACAAGCAAAGGGGCAGATAGTTCTTATATCTCCTTACAGAGTTTCAGAGGACCTAGGGTCTGAGGAGAGCAAAGGAATTAGGAATATCATAAATTGCCCAGATTTTCCATTTGTAAGGGAGACCCAAGCCTTGCCCGGCTTCCTGAGTTCTCCAGCATCCTGGCCATGCAGCTGGCATTGGGTGTTATCATTGGCCAGAAAAATACGTATAAGTTCACCAGCCAATAGCTTTCCTTATGAGCCTAAGAGAAAACAGCGTAAGCACACTTTTCTGCCTTCCTTAAAGCTCTTTGGGAGCCCAAGGCGGGTGGATCATCATGTCAGGAGATCGAGACCATCCTGGCCAACATGGTGAAACCCTGTCTCTACTAAAAATACAAAAATTAGCCAGGCATGGTGGCACACCCCTGTAGCCCCAGCTACTCGGGAGGCTGAGGCACGAGAATCGCTTGAACCCAGGAGGCGGAGATTGCAGTGAGCCGAGATCATGCCACTGCACTCCAGCCTGGCAACAGAGCAAGACTCCGTCTCAAAAAAAAAAAAAAATGCAAGCTGTCCTCTTACATGGCTGTCTGTAGTGCCAATCTTCATGCATTCAGAAAAACCGGGAGTTAAACTCAACTTAACTAAAACACTCCCAAATCTTAATTCTTTGGTTTCCAGGGCAGTGAGACCAAGATTGTGATGGAATTCAGAAAAAGGGACCCCTGAGAAACAGCTGCTGACCAAACAAGCAAGGGCACTGATATGAGAACAATAATAATGCCATTACTTGTATTCTGAAAGCATCTTTCTCCAGAAAGCTCACAATTCTGTATAGATATACAGTATTTACTGTTGTTTTTCCTTGGTGATTAAAACATTAAATTTGTTCTCATTAATAATGTATCTTTTTGGCCAGGTGCAATGCCTATAATCCTAGCACTTTGGAAGACTGAGGTGGGCGGATCACCTGAGGTCAGGAGTTCAAGACCAGCCTGTCCAACATGGGGAAACCCCATCTCTACTAAAAACACAAAAATTAGCCGGGCATGGAGGCACATGCCTGTAATCTCAGCTACTCTGGAGGCCAAGGCAAGAGAATCGCTTGAACCTGGGAGGCAGAGGTTGCAGTGAACCAAGATCATGCCACTGCACTCCAGCCTGGGCAACAGAGCGAGACTCTGTCTCAAAAAATAAAAATAATGTACCACTGGGCCAGGTGCAGTGGCTCACGCCTGTAATCCCAGCACTTTGGGAGGCCGAGGCGAGCGGATCACAAGGTCAGGAGATCCAGACCATCCTGGCTAACATGGTGAAACCCCGTCTCTACTAAAAATACAAAAAATTATCGGGCGTGGTGGCAGGCGCCTGTAGTCCCAGCTACTCGGGAGGCTGAGGCAGGAGAATGACGTAAACCCAGGAGGCGGAGCTGGCAGTGAACCGAGATCACGCCACTGTACTCTAGCCTGGGCGACAGAGTGAGACTCTGTCTCAAAAAATAGTAATAATAATAATAACGTATGGCTGTCCACAAATATTTTGGCTGTTTCTATTTGCTGTGTCTATAATTTCCATTAACATCTTCACTGAGAATATCTGAATATTGCTGTGGCTTGTCACTTTCTTCAGTTGTATAGGATCCTATTTTCTGTATCTTCCTCTTCCACTTTGGGCAGTAGCTTTTTCCTTCTCTTTCGAGGTAACTTCATGTTTTACTTGTCTGAATTCATGTTAGTATGTTCATCTTGCAATTTAAATCATCTAAGCTTGCCTGCAAATTCTATCCACAAACTTCATCCTCCTAATATAATAATCTATGTAATCACCTTTTATCTGTGATCATTTTAATGAATTGCATTCCATTTATATGGCTATCTTATTATTTCTAAAACACTTCTTGACAGTGGGTGCACATCAACCAGGTGTTCCTGATTTTTCTCTTCATTCTATATAATGTAATTGAAGACCTCTTTTCTCCCACCTTCCTGAACTTTACAGTGCCAAACGATCAACACCAAAAGTTTGTGTGTTGCTTTGGCATTTCTTTTAATAACCCTTCTTTACACAGCAGAAATATTTTTCTGCCAACTCATTTCCTCTAAAAGTGTTTTTGTCTAATGAATATTAGTTGTAATCAAAGATCTTAGAAGTGAAACGGGTCCCTCAATTTTTTGGTCTGTCCCTCTGTCTTCAGGCAGACACATATTAATTTTGTGTAAAAGGTGGTGTGATTAGCCAGGCGCGGTTGGATCACTCCTGTAATCCCAGCAATTTGGGAGGCTGAGACAGGTGGATCACTTGAGGTCAGGAGTTCGAGACTAGCCTGGCAACCATAGCAAAACCCCATCTCTACTAAAATACAAAAATTAGCCAGGCGCGATGGCGTGCACCTGTAGTCCCAGCTACTCGGGAGGCTGAGGTGGGAGAATCGTTTGAACCTGGAAGGCAGAGGTTGCAGTGAGCTGCGATCACACCATTGCACTTCAGCCTGGGTGATAGAGTGAGACTCCATCTCACAAAAAAAAAAAAAAAAAAAAAAAAAAAAAAAGGTGGTGTGACTGATGGCCAGGTGTGGTGGCCCCCTCCTGTAATCCTAGCACTTTGGGAGGCCGAGGCGGGCAGATCACTTGAGGTCAAGAGTTCAAGATCAGCCTGGCCAACATGGTGAAACCCCGTCTCTACTAAAAATACAAAAATTAGCCAAGCGCGGTGGCACATGCCTATAATCCCAGCTACTCAGGAGGCTGAGGCAGGAGAAGCACTTGAACCCAGGAGGCAGAGGTTGCAGTGCACCAAGATCGCACCATTGGACTTCAGCCTGAGGGACAACAGCGAAACGTCATCTAACAACAACAGCAAAAAAGGTGGTGCAACTGAAATCCAAAGTGACTCGTTTAAGGTCACACCTCTATTAAGTAAGGAAGCAGAAGCTGGGCTCTAGCTCTCCAGTGGAGGAGCGGGGGAGATTGGAGAAGGTGGTTGGACCCAGAGAAGGGAAGTTTTTAAATCAATAAACTACATAATCGGCACTTGTGTAGAGACGTTATCTATGCTTGGACTCAAATATGTAACAATTAAGGAATATTAATAAACATCATTGAAAAGCTATTTGGTAATGAGAATTATGGAAGAATGCGATTGTGCTCAAAGACCACTGTTCCAGTCAGCTAATGCTACATAACAAACCACTCCAAAACTTAGGGCCTAAAACAACAACAATACTTATTTTGCTCACAAATCTGCGATTTGGGCAGGGCTCAGCAGAGAAGCTCATCTCTGCTCCCTTCATCTTAGCTGGGACGGTTTGAAGCCTCAGCACTAGAATCACCTGAAGGCTCATTCAACCCAGACATCTGGAGAATGGAACAACTGGGGTTCTGGGGTTCCTCCAGTAAGGCTCCCCATCTCTGCCTGGCATCTTCATATCGACTCTCTTGCACATCGACTGCAGGCTAGCCAGACTTCTTCCACGTCAGCCCACAGCTCTCAAGAGATGGGGCTCCAGAAAAAAGAGCCAAGTGGAAGCCACATTGCCTTTTATGACTTAGTCCCAGAAGCCAAGCAGCATCACTTCTGCCAAATTCTCTTGGTCAAAGCAGTTAAAAAACTCTTTCCTGATGTAAAAGGCAAGAACAGGGCCAGGCGCTGTGGCTCACACCTGTAATCCCAGCACTTTGGGAGGCTGAGGTGAGCAGATCACTTGAGCCCGAGTTCAAGACCAGCCTGAGCAACATGATGAAACCCCACCTCTACCAAAAATACAAAAAATTAGCCAGGCATGGTACACACCTGTAGTCCCAGCTACTCATGGGGGCTGAAGTGGGAGGATCACCTGAGCCCAGGAAGGTCAAGGGTGCAATGAGCCGTGACCGCCCCACTGCACTCCAGGCTGCGCGACAGAGTGAGGCCCTGTCTCTAAATAAATAAATAGAAGGTGAGAACATAGACCCCACCTCTTGATGGAGGAGTGTCAATGTCACATGGTAAGAAGGGTATGTGGGGTGAGATCCATATTAGAGCAGCTATGTTTGGGAAACACACTCTGCCACAACCAAAAACCACTGGATTACCAAACCGTTGAAACAGACCTTGAAATAACCACCTATTTGCCACTCACAAAATTCATTTCATAAGACACAGCTCAAATGTCCCTTCCTTTTGGGAATCCCGTGCTGATATGCCCCAGCTTACACAGCGCTTTGTAAAGATGCCTACTCTCTCACTCGGCTTATTCTATTGTCATTTTCATAACAGGATTGTAATCAGGCAGGTACGATCATACTATATTAGCCAATCATTTTACTAGTCAATCAATATGACATCATAGGGCAGCTTTGCAAAGAGCCCTCAGATTGATGGAGAAGAGATACTTTTAGGGAAGCCAGAAGCAACGCTTTGCACAGAAAACAAAGGACAGCAAAGAGAAAAGAATCAGCAACTCAGAGAAGAAAAACTGGATCACACAAAGATGGAAAAAATATATACATATACAGACATGGGTTTTTGTGCTTTTCCCCTCCAGAAGGTGAGTTGAAAGCATTGCCCCAAAGCAGTGATTCTCTTTTCTTTTTTCTTTTTTTTTCTTTTTTTTGAGATGGAGTCTGGCTCTGTCTCCCAGGCTGGAGTGCAGTGACGCCATCTTGGCTCACTGCAGGCTCCGCCTCCCGGGTTCACGCCATTCTCCCGCCTCAGCCTCCCGAGTAGCTGGGACTACAGGCGCCCGCCACCACGCCCGGCTAATTTTTTTGTATTTTTAGTAGAGACGGGGTTTCACCATGTTAGCCAGGATGGTCTCGATCTCCTGACCTCGTGATCCGCCCACCTCGGCCTCCCAAAGTGCTGGGATTACAGGCGTGAGCCACCGCGCCCGGCCCCAAAGCAGTGATTCTCAAACCTCAGCTGTGTCAGGGTCACCGGGAGGGCCTGGGTCTGGTGAAATACCCCCAGTTTCTGATTCGGTGGGCCAGGGTGGGGCCTGAGAACCTGCATTTTCACGGATTCCCAGGCGATGCTTCTGCTGGTCGTCCGATCCCAGGCTTCAAGAACCAGTACCCACTTTGTGAGGCCGAGGTGGGAGGATTGCTTGGATCCTTGAGTTCGAGACCAGCCTGGCCATCATAGGGAGAACCTCCCCACCCCCAACCCCGCCACAGTTCTTTTTTTTTTTTTTTTTAATTAAAAAATAACTGGGCGTGGTGGCGCTGGCCTGTGGTCCCAGCTACTCCGGAGGCTGAGGTGGGAGGATCGCTGGAGCCCGGGAGGCGGAGGTTGCAGTGAGCTGTGGTGGTGCCACTGCACTCCAGCCTGGGCACCAGAACGAGACCCTGTCTCAAGAAAGATGAAAAGGAATATACTGGAGATTCTGAAGGCAATGACCACACTGACCACAGGTGAAACCCCGCAAAGACGGAGGAACCCAAAGAGCCACGAGAGCTGTGGGTGGAGACGGCCCAGGAGGCTGCAGCGGCCTGCTTTCAACAGCATACTTCTGGGTGGGACCCCCCGGGGCGGACACCGCCGCTCCCCTTGGCCGCGGTGGCGGGCGCCCCCTCCCGACGCTCTTGGGTAGTGCAACCCGGACCGCACAGCGGAGCGGCCGGCCCCCAGGTGGGCGGGGCCAACCCGGACCAGCCTCCCGCCGCCTCAAGTCCTTGGGTTGCTGGGACTGCAGGCCGCCGCGAAGACAGTCCCCGCCCGCCGGGTGGGCGGGCCCAAGGAGACCGCCCCGCTCTTCCCCCCGGGCCTTGATTGGTCAGCGTCGCCCTTGCGCGATGACGTCGTGCCTGGGCGGAAACTTTGCGAGAGTAGCGCGGGAGCTGAGAAGTTGCAGGGTTGAGTTGGTCCCGGCAAGTCCTTGAGCAGTTTGTTCCTCTGTCTTCCCGCTTCCTGGTGCCCCGACTGCGTCCCCACGAACGCCCCGTCCTTACCGCCGGCTGCTGTGGAGTGCCTCGCTGTCTCCCAGGTCCCCGAGTGAGCGTCGAATGGGACCTCTGTGGCTAGGGCAGGCCTGTGTGGGTGGCACTGAGAGGGAGGAGGGGAGGGGGATGTTCGCAGTTTCCTTGCGACCCCAGGGACTTTCTTTGTCCCCGCCATCCACCTCCTTAGGCCTTTGGGATCGCCGACTGGTCTAATGTCGCCGGCCCTTGTGGCTCTGGGAAATTAGCATTGATTAATCTTCCTAACAATTTTTGTTTTTATAGAGACAGGATCTCCCTATGTTGCCCAGGCTGGTCTCGAACTCCTGGGCTCAAGGTATCTTCCTGCCTCGGCTTCCCAAAGTGCTGGGATTACAGGCGTGAGCCCGGCCAGCTCCTAATAATGTTAAGTGCTTGCTAGGAGTCAAGCGCTGTGCTGAGCGCAGGGGCTTCCCACGTCATTGCGTCCCCAGTGCTTAGTGCCAGGCACTGAGCAGAGGCGCGATTCGTATTTGAACTAAAACGAACCCCGTCCCTGAGGAACAAGACCTCTACTGGGAAGTCAAAGAAATGAATAGTGATTGTATGGTGTGATGGGTGCTCAGCTCTTGGTGGACAGAAGTAAGGGGGAGGCTTGTTTGAGAAACGGATACCTGACCTAAGCCTTGGAGGAAGAGGCAGACACTGGAAAACTAGAGTCCCTGCGTTCTCTCACCACTTGCTAAAGGGCCTCTACAACCCCAGGAAACCTCAATAAACCTTTCCTTTCTCCAGATAGATGTCTGTTCTTGCAGATAATTAGAAAACGCATTGCAGAGTATTGGTTCTTTCCCTCTCATTAGGTTCCTGGTTTCAGAGAAGATGACCGAAGAAGTGGATTTCCTGGGACAGGACTCTGATGGGGGTAGTGAGGAAGTGGTCCTAACTCCTGCAGAGCTCATTGAAAGATTGGAGCAGGTAAGCATCCCAGATCGAATCCCTTTGCTCCAGTCAGCCTTTTTATTTAGTTCAACTGTGAATATCAGGGATCACAAGATGAGGAAACGGAATTTGGGGCTTACTTTAGAACAGGGACTGGATCTTACCATCTACATGGAAACGGGAAGCAAGAAGGACATCCTCTGTTAGAGACCTCATCATATCAAACACAGCATCCCCAAGTGGGGTCAGTAAGGGACAGCTTTGGGCACATTCAGTGAACAGTTCACAGAGCAAGGATCCACGTGATATTTTCAGGGACTGTAGAGGTCCCTGAACTTCTTTACCTTAGTCCCTTGAACATCTGCTGTTTCCCTGGAGAATGCCTGTTTAGCAAGAAAATGCTGAAATGCCTGTAAGGGAAAACTGGTCATATTTTTCCTTTTTCTCACATGTTTTTTCTTGAGTCGTCTGCTCTCCATATGTCCACTGCTTATCTAAAATCCTTTCTGAAATATTTCTCCTTTAAGTTGTAATAGCTATGACTTACTGCATATTTCCCATGTGCCAGTAACTGTGTTCTTTACACTTATATCTCATGATGCTCTGGTAACAGGAGTTCAGACTATCTGGATTTAAATCTGTCTGTGACACTCCTCTGTTATGTGATCTTGAGCAAGTTAGGGAGTTTGTCTCAAGCCGTTGCTTGCCTATAAAATTGAGACAATAGGGCCGGGCACGGTGGCTCAAGCCTGTAATGCCAGCACTTTGGGAGGCTGAGGTGGGCGGATCACCTGAGGTCCAGGAGTTCGAGACCAGCCTTACCAACATGGTAAAATCCCGTCTCTACTAAAAAACAAAAATTAGCCGGATGTGGTGGCGCATGCCTGTAATCCCAGCTACTCGGGAGGCTAAGGCCGGAGGATCACCTGAACCTGGGAGGCAGAGGTTGTGGTGAGCCAAGATCCTACCCACCATTGCACTCCAGCCTGGGCAACAAGAGTGAAACTCCGTCTCAAAAAAATAATAAAATAAAATTGAGATGATAATAGTGTCTATGTCCTGGAGTTTTTGATTAAATGTGGTAATTGTGTAAAGCACTCAGCATGCTATCTGACACATGATAAGCACTCACTAGATGTGAGCTGTTCATAGTAAGTATCCTTATCCTCTTGCTCTAACTGCCCCTTTCCAGAGCTCTCTCATGTTTGCTACTTTAGTATTCTTCATTCTTCCCTGCCATACATGATATCACGAATGACAAAACGGAACTAAAATGATTTTTAAATTATACCTTACATGATAATCCTTACTATTTAGCAGTGATTCTTAATCTGTTTTTATATCACAGACCTTTTTGAGAAACTGGTAGAAACTGTGGTCTTTCATCCCACAATAACGCACACATGCACCCATGCAGAATTTTGCATATGACTTCCAGGGGATCAGAGATCCCCTGAAATCCACCCACAGACCTAGTTTGTGGAACAGCATTAAGAATTCCTGGTTCGTTAGGAAAGGGTTCATTAAACAAAAATCAAAAGGCACATAGCATAAAGGAAAAAAGGGATACATTCCTGGAGTGCAGTGGTGTGATCTTGGTTCACTTGCAGCCTCCACCTCCCAGGTTCAAGCGATTCTCCTGCATCAGCCTCCTGAGTAGCTGGGCCTACAGGTGTGCACCACCACGCCTGGCTACTTTTTGTATTTTTAGTAGAGATGGGGTTTCACCATATTGGGTTTCGCTGTGTTGGCCAGGCTGGTCTTGAACTCCTGACCTTGTGATCTGCCTGCCTTAGCCTCCCAAAGTGCTGGGATTACAGGCATGAGCCTCTGTGCCCAGCCTGTTTGTACTTCTGGATTAGAGTGAAAAGACAGGCCACCAGGCTGGGAGAAGATATTTGCAAAATACTAATATGTAGCTGACACAAGATGATTATCCACAGTACATAAACAGCTCTTTCATACTGCCCAGTACAGACTGATACCTCAGAGAAGAAGAAAACAGGATGACCAATAAGCATATGAAAAAGATGTTCAACCTTTTTAGTAATCAGGAAAATGAAAATCATGAGATATCATCTCATATCTATCAGATTGGAAGAACTGAAAAACGTGAGCAATATAAAGTATGGCAAGAATGTAGAGCAGCTGAGCGCAGTGGCTCATGCCTGTAGTTCTAGCAACTCAGGAAGCCCAAGTGGGAGGTTCATTTGAACCCAGGAGTTTGAGACCATCCTGAGGATCATAGCGAGATCTTATCCCAAAAAGAGAAAATTAAGAATATAGGGCAGGCCGGGTGCGGTGGCTCACACCTGTAATCCCAGCACTTTGGGAGACCGAGAGGGGCGGATCACCTGAAGTCAGGAGTTCAAGACCATCCTGGCCAACATGGCGAAACCCCGTCTCTACCAAAAATACAAAAATTAGCCAGGCTTGTTGGCATGCCTGTAATCCCAGCTACTCAGGAGGTTGAGGCAGGAGAATCTCTTGAACCCAGGAGGTGGAGATTGCAGAGAGCCGAGATCATGCCACTGCACTCCAGCCTGGGCAACAGAGCAAGACTCCATCTCAAAAAAAAAAAAAAAAAAATGAAGAGCAATTTGCACACTTATATACTGCCGTGGGATATAAATAGGTATAATCGCTTTGGAAAATAATTTGTTATTGTCTAGTAAAGATGAAGGTGCACATACCTGCGGCCCAGTAGTTCCACCCCCAGGTACATACCTAGTGAAAACTTCCGCATGTACTCTAGGAGACATCCACAGTATGTTCACACATTGCTTGCAATAGTTAAAAATTAAAATAACCTAGACAACCGTAAACAAATAGCATTGAGAAAATATACCATACACAGTGGGAATAAAACAGCAGTGAAAATGAGTAAAATAACTCCTGAAACAGCATGAATAACAGGAACTTAATGTAGAACAATAACAACCATAAAATATGAGCTGCCAAAGAAACACTTTATGTAAAGTTCAAACTTGCAAAATTATTGTTCAAGGCAGAGCCGCCACCCTTGGGTGATGTGGCACACTGCTATGCCACAGATGCCTCTGTGTGGACCCCTGCACCTTCCAGGACAGCTGGAGCCCCAGGCTGGTTACTTTTTCAAGTGAGCATCATCGGGGTCCTTGAAAGGCAGCTAGAGGATGGGGCGGCGGGGGTTCTGACAGCACAGCTGCAGCTTGCTGGTGGGTAAGCTGCAGTAACATCTCATGCCTGATGCTCTAGTGCAGTGCCCTGAGTGCAGCCAAGGAAGTGACCCGCCACCTGCACGGCTGCCACAGCCAGATCCTGTCTCTTATGCTGTGTGGCACAGCCAAAGGGACAGCCTGACAGGGCTGCTGATGAGAACAGCTCCAGGAGCATATATAGGATACCCTTTAATGCCTGTAAAAAGTGATTTAAAAGTTGTTACCTGTAGTGCAGATTTGCTCATTTTAGTGATTGTTTTAGTTTGCTAGGGCCACAGAGCGAAGTCCCAAAGACTGGGTGGCTTAAATAGAAATTTATTTTCTTAATTCTAGAGGCTGAGGTCAAAGTGCCAGCATAGTTGTCTTCTTCCGAGTCCTCTGTCTTGGGTTTGTAGGTGACCATATTCTCCCTGTGTCCTTGCATGGTCTTCCCTCTCGTGTGTGTCTGTGTTAAAATTACCCCTTATCAGGGCACCAGTCTTACTGGATTAGGGGCCATCCTAATGACCTCATTTTAACTTAATCACTTCTTTAAAGACCTCCATCTCCAAATACAGTCACGGTCTGAGGTCCTGGAAGTTAGGTAGATTTTTGAGGGGCGGACACACTTCAGCCCGTAGCAATAATGAACAGATTGGCATTTAGAATTTTGATCAGGGGCCAGGCACAGTGGTTCAAGCCTGTAATCCCAACACTTCTGGAGGCTAATGCAGGGGGATGTCATGAGGCCAGGATTTCGAAGACCACTGTAGGCAACATGGTAAAACCCCATCTTTATTAAAAAAAATTTAAAAATTAGCCAGGCTTTGTGGTATGTACCTTTAGTCCCAGCTACTCTGGAGGCTGAGGCAGGAGGATCACTTAAGCCTTGGAGGTCAAGAATGCAGTGAGCCATTATCATGCCACTGTGTGACCAGAAACCAGATGTAGCCATTTCAAGCATAAAACCTGAGTTAAAAAAAAAAAAAAGATTGGATTTAGATACAAGTTTCTCAGTAAAAATTTTGGAAAGATTTATATGAAAGTTTTATACTAATATAAACTTCCACCTAATGTTTTATACTTTATTGTCATAATTTCATAATGTAAATGAAGTGGTCCCCAATACTACCCCAGTGTACCAGACAAGCACTATCATTTTCTTTGAATATCCTGTCATGAACAGGTTGAGAGGTGTTCTACAGAGATATGAACAAATGTAGTGAGACCATAAAGAAAATTCAACATGAAATTCAAGCTAATGATTACCTCTGAGGAGGGAGGGACACACAGGGTCTTTTTTTTTTTTGAGATGGAGTCTTGCTCTGTTGCCCTGGCTGGAGGGCAGTGGTGCAATCTTGGCTCACTGCAACCTCTGCCTCCCAGGTTCAAGCAGTTCTGCCTCAGCCTCCCAAGTAGCTGGGACTACAGGCGTGCCACGCCCGGCTAATTTTTTGTATTTTTAGTGGAGACGGAGTTTCACCATGTTAGCCAGGATGGTTTGATCTCCTGACCTCGTGATCCGCCTGCCTCGGCCTCCCAAAGTGCTGGGATTACAGGCGTGAGCCACTGCACCCGGCTTGTTCTTGTAGTTTTAAAAATTATTCAGTATTTGGCTGGGCTCGGTGGCTCACGCCTCTAACCCCAGCACTTTGAGAGGCCAAGGCAGGTGGATCACTTGAGGTCAGGAGTTCAAGACCAGCCTGACGAATACGGTGAAACCCTGTCTCTAATAAAAATACAAAAATTAGCTGGGCATAGTGGCACATGCCTGTAATTCCAGCTACTCGGAAGGCTGAGGCAGGAGAATCACTTGAACCCGAGAGGCAGAGGCTGCAGTGAGCTGGGATCATGCCTCTGCTTTCCAGCCTGGGCAACAGAGTGAGACTGTGCCTCAAAAATAAATAAAAATTATTCAATATTTAATAAAAATCAATCAAAAAGAAATGCTGCTCCTAATAAGCCCTCCAGAAAATATGATGTTTTCCCATGCATTATGCAGGTTTTTTTTGTTTGTTTGTTTCAGTCTGCAGGACTGTTACAGATGCTCAGGCTCTGCACAAATGCCTATGACTGTAGCCATACCCAGCATTTGGTAATGTGTCTTGACGGTGATCATGGGGAGAAGCAGACACTCAAGGACGTCAGAAAAAAATAAGTTGAGCCTGGTCAGCATATAATTCTGAGCTATGCTAAAACTACATTTCCTGTAATTGAAAGATAAGTGTAGCTTTCCTCAGTCACTTAGGGATATTTCAGTTCTCTAAGCCTTGGAAGTCTCTAAAATGAACCAAACAGCTGGGCCTGAGTCATAAATTAGAGCTTTAACCTCTGGCTCCAAAACTCCATAATAGATGAGCGCCTGTTTCTATTATGATCCTGTATACTTTGGGGCCATTAGTAAATTACTCAATCTGTATTTTTTCAATCAGATGAGGATAACTATATCCATTTTCTCTGAGATATGATGATGATGAATGAAAAATATTTGTGAAGTGCTCTGAGCTTCAGGAATGAAGAGCTGTGTGGATTGGTGGGTTATTGCTTTCTCTCTAAATAGACATGGGGTGGCGCTGCCTGGGGGAACAGTGTGCCCGGGCTGCCTGGCAAAGGCACTATTTGAACACCAGGTGGTGTCACTCTCAGCACCAAGCGTCACACTAACTGAAGTAAGCAAGGGTTTGTATGAGTGTCAGTTGAATAGAAGGTTGTGAACACAGCCTCCCAACTAAAACAAGACACGAGAAAGCAATCGCTAAACGTAGTTTGTCTTCAAAACACCTTCAATGTTTCCAGTTGGTGGGCAGACAGTTTTCTTGCCTGCGCCATCCCTGGTTTTCGTTGGACTTGGGCTGACTCACTGGGTTGTTTAGCTCTGTGGTGGGTGATGCTTGCTTTTTCTGGCATTTGTCTTTTAGGCCTGGATGAATGAAAAGTTTGCCCCTGAGCTGCTGGAGAGCAAGCCTGAGATTGTAGAATGTGTCATGGAACAGCTGGAGCACATGGTAAGAGTCGCTTGTCTTGGGTTGACAAAGGAGGAGAAAGGTAAAAGCATTTGGTCAGCACACTGAGAGCTTGTGGTCTGGTAGCAAATCTGTTTTGTTTGGCTCCACTCACAGTCCAGTTCTTTAAAACAACATTGAATTAGTTATCTATGTTTATCAATCTTGAGAGTGCCTGTAAATATCTGGATATTGGCTTCCCATGAAAAGTCTAAAATCCTGCATTTCTGCATGAGAACAGTTGACCAGAGCAGTCCCATGAGAGCTGTCCATCCATGTACTCCCTGCTCCCCACAGCCCCTGACTACCCACCCTTCTCTTGTAGCCTCCCCACCTGGCCCCTGCAAACATTTGAGTTTGTGGTCCCTGGCCTAGATGATCTGAGCATAAATCATTGTCAACTTCAGAGAAGCTGTAAAATGTGGATATTTCAGTTTCTCAGCTGGTGTTTTAATACTGCTTTTTAGACCCAATGGAAGTTTCGTCTGTGTGCTGTACTATCTCCCTTACAATCAGATTGGAGTTCTTTTGGAAGCCTCTGGCTGAACAGATTCTATTCAAATGGTCATTTTCTAAAAGTAAATGACTATTGTTTGTACTTTATACAATGATAAAATGAAAACTCACATGATATTTTTGTTTTCCTTGGACTGAAACATAGTCTGGGTCCTCAACGTTGCCGGTGATGATGGTTGAACATCATGTTTTTTATAAACCTTAATTTCTCATTTAATAGGAAGAAAATCTCAGGAGAGCCAAAAGGGAGGACCTGAAGGTCAGCATCCACCAAATGGAGATGGAGAGGATCCGCTACGTCCTCAGCAGCTACTTGCGGTGTCGCCTCATGAAGGTTTGACGTGGAGATACCTGGAGGGATTGAGACAGCACAGTCTGTAATGCAGACTGAATGTCCTGGGGAAAACTTGGGCTGGGGCCCAGGAGGGTCCAGGACCTGAAGATGCTGCTAAGAGCCCAATATCCATGTAGCTAAACTGTAAGGAGAGCGAGAGATTGCTCCACAGAAGCACAGAGGAACGTGTGTGGCCCACTGCGGGGACACCGCACACATTTTTAGTCTGTTCACCTGCCGAGTGAGTGGTTCCCCCTTGCGTTACAGCATGGCAGTGCTAAAGGGAGAGTTGTTGGCATTGGTCAATAGTGAATGCTGACTAGAGGAGAACTTGTTTCCAAAATTATTTTGTCTGTCAGATGGCCAACGTCAGTGTCAAATGAACCAGGATGACTTACATTCACCTACAGCTTTGTGGCTATCTAACTTACAAAAATGAAGTTGCAGGCCAGGCGTGGTGGCTCACACCTGTAATCCCAGCACTTTGGGAGGCTAGGCGGGTGGATCACCTGAGGTCAGGAGTTTGAGACCAGCCTGACCAACAAGGTGAAACCCCATTTCTACTAAAAATAAAAAAATTAGCCAGGCGTGGCGGCAGGCGCCTGTAGTCCCAGCTACTCAGGAGGCTGAGACAGGAGAATTGCTTGAACCCAGGAGGTGGAGGTTTCAGTGAGCCAAGATTGTACCACTGCACTCCAGCCTGGGCAACAGAGCGAGACTCCGCCTCAAAAAAAAAAAAAAAAGAAATTGCAAAACATTCCTAGTTTATAACTCTGAGAAATTCTTACTTCCTTGACATTTCATTTGGTTCTATGTGTCTCTTTAGTTATTACAAATAAGATAAATTATCTCTTCTACATGAGAATGCTTCAGCTATCTGAAGACTGCCCACAGTCTCCTCGAAGTCTTCTCTCAGGCATACATTTTAGCCATTCAAACCATTTACTCTCCTGGTCTCTTCTCTAAAAGGGTTCTTGTTTGTCTCTATCCTTCTTAAGTTACACTATCTTAAACTAAACACAGTATCCCAGTTGTAGTTTGACCAAGTTTGTGAAAAACAGAATGATCATTTCTCTTATTCTGGTTATTAAGCTGGTAGTAATGCCAACCACATCACATTAGCATATTTATCACATTAGCATATTGACAGGTACGCTGCCTGAGCTCATTCTTCACTCACGTGGACACTAACCCCTTTTAAGATGATAATTACCCCATCCAGTCACTGTCCTCTACTTGTATGGCTTAGGTTTTGGCTCCTTAAGTGTAGGGCTTGATACTTATCTCTCTTAAGCTTTATCTTATTAAATTGGGCCATTTCCCTTGTCTCTGGATGCTGATCTTGTCACCTAATGTATTAGCTGTCTCTTAATACTTTATGTCATCAACCCCCTTTTTTTATTTGTTTGGTTGTGTTTTTTTGTTTTTTTTGACAGAGTCTCACTCTGTTGCTCAGGCTGGAGTGCAGTGGCGCGATCTCAGCTCACTGCAACCTTCGCCCCCCAGGTTGACGTGATTCTGTTGCCTCAGCCTTCCAAGTAGCTGGGATTACATGCCCCTGCCACCAGGCCCAGCTGATTTTTAGAAGAGACAGGGTTTCACCATGTTGGCCAGGCTGATCTCGAACTCCTGACCTCAGGTGATCCACACCCACCTTGGCCTCCCAAAGTGCGGGGATTACAGGCATGAGCTACTGTGCCTGGCCCACATAAGGTTTTTGATGGCATGCTTACCAAAGCTGGTGATGACCAGTTACAGGCTCACGCCTATAATCCCAGCACTTTGGGAGGCCAAGGCAGGTGGATCACCTGAGGTCAGGAGTTTGAGACCAGCCTGGACAACATGGTGAAATCCTATCTCTACTAAAAATACAAAAATCATCTGGGTGTGGTGGTGGGTGCCTGTAATCCCAGCTACTTGGGAGGCTGAGGCCGGAGAATCACTTGAACCCGAGAGTTGGAGGTTGCAGTGAGCTGAGATCACACCACTGCATTCCAGCCTGGACAACACAATGAGACTCCATCTCAAAAAAAAAAAAAAAAAAAAAAAACCTTATGTGATTATTAATTGGACTGTGGCAAGGGTCTTTCACAAAAGACTTCCCTACAGTTTGACATCTACCCATTGAGTCAGCATTCTTTTTTCAGCCACTTAGGAGTCTCCCAATCCAAGCCGTCCCCTAGCCCCAGGTCCATAGCTTGCCTGCAAGGGTGTCTCAGAGACGTTGTCCTGTGTCTTATGGTGTGTCTCTCCACCCACCCTATCCCACCTCCAGGCCACATGTCCTTCCTCGGGAGGGTTGTGTAAACCCTCTTTATGTTAACCACATCCTTCTCTTTGACTTTTGCCAATGTTTTCATGAAGATTTTGCTTTATCCTCACAGATAGAGAAGTTTTTCCCTCATGTCCTTGAGAAGGAAAAAACACGTCCTGAGGGGGAGCCTTCCAGCCTCTCGCCGGAAGAGTTGGCCTTTGCCAGAGAGTGAGTGAGTGAGCCGTTGGCGTGGGGCACCTGGCTGGTTCAGCATGAGGCCTGTCCTAGAGGCCTGTGCGCTGCTGCCTGCTAACCTTGGACGTCCATCAGCTGTGTACACCACAGCGATTTGAATCCATGTCTTTCAGGTTCATGGCGAACACAGAGTCCTATCTGAAAAATGTCGCCTTGAAGCACATGCCCCCTAACTTACAGAAGGTGGACCTCTTTCGGGCAGGTAAACAGGACGTTCTCCCTGCAGGTGGCCCACCCATCCTCAGGTGTCCCAGGGTAGGATCCTCTCTTCACTGTTTTTACCCAAATACAAAAAAGTAAGTATGTAGATAAACAGAAAGAAGAGCAAGGATTCTAGCTAAAAACCAAAAAAATCACGGAAAGCAGATCCAATGGTAGGCATTTGAGCATTGCTTCCTTGTTCCCTGGGGTGGGCTGAGCCCCATGACTGCACTGGTGCTTGTAGACTCGGGCATGGAGCCGCGTTCGCCTTCAGTAGCCATCTGCTGAGCCTCTGTGAGGTGCTGGCAGCCCCGAGTACCAGCACTGCAGAGCCTACACCAACATTGCCCCTGCTTAGAGGGGCTGGCCATCTCTTCGTCACAGGTCCCAGAATGCACAGGGCTCGCCTAGCTGGAGGGGAGGGCTGAAACAGGAGGCTAGGGAGACCTCCAGTGAGTCCCTGTGGCCTCAGAAGAGGGAGCAGGTTGGAGGGTGTGGAGAGAGGAGGGAGGGGAGCCGGGGAAGGGGAGCTTGGCCGGAGCCCCTCCTCGGGCTTCTTCGCACCAGCCCCTGAGGGCTGCCGAGCAAGGAAAGGGAGGTATAGGCAGAGCCCTTACCGTCGGATCAACCCACCGGGGGCCCTGGCTTACAGGATAAAGCCCATGTTCCTCAGTGTTTCACAGTGCGCCAGATCCAAGCAAGACCTCCTCAGGCAAAATTGCCATACCAAATCAAACGAGCTCCAGTACACCCGAGCCCTGGAAATTCATCTCTGCCCAGCCTGTGCTGGGGCTGGGGACCACACAGCCACCCCTGCGGTGGTGGAACAGGGTCTTAGTCCCTTTGGGCTGCTCACAGTTATGGAGACTGGGAAGTCCAGGATCCAGGCCCCCACAGACTCAGTGTCTGCCAAGAGCCTGTTCCTCATAGATGGCGCCTTCCATATGTCCTCACAGAGAAGGGAAGGGGCAAGCAGACTCTCAGGCTACTTTTATAAGATCACTAATCCTAGTCTCTGTGTGTCCTAGTCCCCTCCCTCCCCCCCACCTTTTGATTTTTGTTTTTTGTTTGCTTTTTATTTTTTGAGACAAGGTCTTGCTCAGTTGCCCCAGCTGGAGTAGATTGACGCTGTCATAGCTCACTGCAGCCTTGAACTCCTGGGCTCAAGCGATCCTCCCACCTCAGCTTCCCAAGTAGCTGGAACTACAGGCATGTGCCACCATGCTTGGCTATTATTTTTAAAATTTTTTTGTGGAGACAGAATCTTGCCATGTTGCGTAGGCTGGTGTCAAACTCCTGGCCTCAATTGATCCTCCAGCCTCAGCCTCTCAAAATGCTGAGATCACAGGCATAAGCCACTGTGCCTGGCCTATTCTCTTCTTATAAGACACCAGTCAGATTGGATTAGGGCCCACACTACTTGGCCTCGCTTTCACTTAATTGCCTCTTTAAAAGCCCTGTTTCCGAATACAATCCCACGCTGAAATACTGGGGGTTAGGGCTTCAGCGTATGAATTGTGCAGGGACACAGTGTAGCCCATAACACCAGGAGCAAGTCAGACCCATACCAGACTTGTGGAACCCTGAATTGGTCATTTTGCTGAGGCTGCCTGAGGAAAACAAAAGGCCCAATGCGTGTCCGGTTTCCTCCCTGGTCAGCCACTCTGTCTGCATCTTTGAAGAGTAGGAATGGGCTGGGCTCCTATCTAAACCCTGAGTGTGCCATACCATTCTTCCCAGCAACTTTTACTTTGTTGACTTTGTTGGCCGAGGATTTCCTAATCACATTGTTGTTTTCCTGGCAGTTCCCAAACCAGATCTAGATTCTTACGTGTTTCTGAGAGTGAGAGAACGACAAGAAAACATACTGGTAGAACCAGACACAGATGAGCAGAGGTGAGTGGCGTGCATCTTTCACAGTGGGCACATTCCTCCCGATGGAGGGCCAGCCGAGCTCTGCAGGCAAATGTGTTTCCCTCTTTTTCAGGGACTACGTGATTGACCTGGAGAAGGGCTCACAGCACTTGATCCGATACAAAACCATTGCACCTCTGGTTGCATCTGGAGCTGTCCAGCTAATTTAAAACTAGGCATAAACAGCCAGGCATGGTGACTCAAGCCTGTAATCCCAGCACTTTGGGAGGCCGAGGCGGGCGGATCATGAGGTCAGGAGTTCGAGACCAACCGACCAACATGGTGAAACCCCATCTTTACTAAAAATACAAAATAATTAGCCGGGTGTTGGTGGTGTGCACCTGTAATCCCAGCTACTCAGGAGGCCGGGGCAGGAGAATCGCTTGAACCTGGGAGCAGGAGGTTGCAGTGAGCCGAGGTCGTGCCATTGCACTCCAGCCTGGGTGACAGTGAGACTTTGTCTCAAAAAAAAAAACAAAAAACAAAAAAAAAACAAACTAGGCATAAACTCATGAGGTCAGGAGATCAAGACCATCCTGGCTACTAAACCCCATCTCTACTAAACCCATCTCTACTAAAAATACAAAAAATTAGCCAGGCATGGTGGCGGGCCCATCTACTCAGGAGGCTGAGGCAGGAGAATGGTGTGAACCCGGGAGGTGGAGCTTGCAGTGAGCCAAGATCGTGCCATTGCACTCTAGCCTGGGCGACAGAGCGAGACTCCATTTCCAAAAAAAACACACTAGGCGTAAACAAGAATGAAGACCTGGAACCGTAGAGAAAATACTAGAAACCCCTCGTATCACGTTGTGCCTGAGGACAATAATAAAGTAGTTTACTAGGCATCAGACATTCCTCAGCAGTGCTGTGGGTCACGGGCGTGAAGCGGAGCTCGAGGCAGGATTGCTTGTGTTGCTGCATGTCCTGTCTGCTGTTTTAGCCCGTGTCAGTAGATGGGGCCATTGTACTGTTTGTTCTGCACACTTGGCGGAGCAGCAGAGGCTCTCAGCACGCCTTTTCCCTTTGTAGTATTTTCTGAGCTAAGGAAAGTCAGGCAGAAGTAGTTCATAAGAAGGCATCACTGCCTGTGATCGGGGCTGCATTTAGCCCTGACCTGATAATGGTAGGAGAGTTCATTTAGCCTTTCTGCTGCGAAGATTGTAAATAGATTAAAGAAAACAGCTGTGGCCTTCTCCCGTCATACATCATTAGACTGTGTAAACTAACATTTTAGAACCTCTAATATTGGACTTAAAACCAATTTCTGTCGTGCTTAATTGAAAATCACAACTAAACCAATAAACCATTATTAAATTTCCATTCTGCAGCAGAAGGCACCTCTGGACGGCTCCCGGCTTGTAGTTTAATGAAGTATGTGCTCCCTGCTGTTAACCCGCAGCCCTCCCCAACTCTCCAGCAGCTTTGCCAAGTCAGCCTCCGGGCCATCTGGCTGTCCTTGGCCAAGGCACTGTTAACGGAGTGACGTTAACCATCTTGTATTGTGACCTGTGGCCGCTTTTCTGGTTTAAGTCCTTCACTTTTTCAAGAGGAATGGATGAAATTAATGTGCATGCAGAGTCTCACAGTGATGCCGGAAGGAAGGATGTATAGGCAGTGAATGAATGATCTTTCCTTGAAATGCTATAAAAAGCAACCTGCATTCCAGTCTTTTCTTCCTGGTTGAAGTTGGCAGATTTCCATTTGCAGGGTATGGGCTGCGAGAGTAATCAGGGTAACATTGCTGTCATTTCCAAGAGAAATCAGTAGGGGAAAGCAAGGGAGGTCTTTTTTTTTTTTCTTTTTTGAGACGGAGTTTCCCTCTTGTTACCCAGGCTGGAGTGGCAGTGGTGTGAACACGGCTCACTGCAGCCTCCACCTCCTGGGTTCAAGAGATTCTCCTGCCCCAGCCTCCCGAGTAGCTGGTATTATAGGTGCACACCACCACACCCAACTAATTTTTTGTATTTTTAGTAGAGATGGGGTTTCATGATGTTGGCCAAGCTGGTCTCGAGCTCCTGACCCCAGGTGATCCACCCACCTCGGCCTCCCAAAGTGCTGGAATTATAGGCGTGAGCCACTGCGCACGGCCTGGGGAGGTTTTATTTCTTGACAAAGGTATTTGATACTCGTGCAGTCCCTGGAGGGTCTCACTGGAGAGACAACATTTAGGCTGAGATCTGATTAACAGGAGGCAGCTGCAGTGCAGAGGTCAAAAGGGAGGGTGTTCCAGGCAGAGAAAACAGCCTGTGCAAAGGCCCTGAGGCAGAAACAAACTCTACTTGAGGTCAGCCTGGTTAGAAAGCCCAACTCAAAATAGAAAGTATTACATGATAAGGTCTGAGGCAGGCTGGACCCAGATCTTACAGGACCTTGTTAATAAGGATCCCATTTGGTCCCCCACAGTCCTGAGAAGCGGGCAGGGCTGTGGGAAACAGCAGATATTTAGTGGTAAGCCTGAGATCAGAACCCAAGTCTGCACTTCCTAGTCACGTTCTCCCTGTAGTGCTAAGCCCAGAGACCTGAGCTGTTAACCTAGAACAGTGTGCTTCCTAAGCCTTAATGTGCATACCCATCGCCTGGAGCTCGCCTTAAGATGTAGGTTCTGCCTGAAGCCCAAGTTCATTTAGTATGTCATGGTTAATTCAGAGTAAAATCAAGAGTTAGTACTTGATTTATGCTTGTTATATAAAGAAAGAGACAACTTCACTGTATGATCATTTTGTCACTTTTCAAAAGCATTTAATTCCCATTCAATTGAAAATGTTTCAAGAACAAACCTGTTTGGTCATTTTATTGATATTGCACATTTGTATATGAATAAATTTTTGCAAATTAAAAAAAAAAAAGATGTAGGTTCTGAAACAGGGTGAGGTCCAGGATCCTGCCTTTCTAAGGAGCTCCCATGTTGTGCAGTTGCTGCTGGCCCGGGGACCACATTGAATGACGGCTCTACGTCCTCATGCCTCCAGCTGCTGCCCTGTACATGTCCAACTGCACGGAGCACTTTACATCCTCTAAAACCACAGTAAATTGCTCCATTTCCTAAATTACCTCTTCAAGAGAAGACTGGTTTTGATGTCATTTTTAAATAAAGGAGAAGTTGAATTTCAAAACCAAGTGGAACAGGAAATGATGTGACTTGGTTGACATTGATTTTAACATTTGGTTCATGGTGAGTGTTTTGCTTTATTGTTAAAAACTCGCCACTAAAAGCATGACAGAACATTTTATCAAATGATGGCGTCATCCTTTACCGTAAGTTTGCCCCTAGCAAGACAGCTCTTCCTGAGACGTGCTTGCAGGCCGCTATGTGGGTTTTCCCACCGCAGTCATCATCCGTCATCTGTGACCTTGCTGCATTTACTCCATGCTCACACCCCAGCAGCCCGCCTGGCTTTGGCATCGCCCTCAGAGGCATCAAACTTCCCCTGCTGCAATGTACAAGAGTTAGCCAGGAAGCTTGCAGAGTGCTTTGGTTTTGTTTTGTTTTTTTGACATGTCGCCCTGGCTGGAGTACAGTGGTACAATCTCAGCTCACTGCAACCTCCGCCTCCTGGGTTCAAGCGATTCTCCTGCCTCAGCCTCCCAAGTAGCTGGGATTACAGGTGCACACCATGACACCCAGCTAATTTTTGTATTTTTAGTAGAGATAGGGTTTCACCATGTTGGCCAGCCTGGTTTTGAACTCCTGACCTCAAATGATCTGCCTGCCTCGGCCTCCCAAAGTGCTGGGATTACAGGTGTGAGCCACCATGCCCAGCTGCAGAGTGCATTTTTAAGCAAACACATCATATGTCAATTCTTCATATAGTGTTCTTTAATTTATCTTGGGAAGCCAAATATCCCATTTAGAATTCTGTAAGAACTGATTTTTCAAATGTATCTAATCAACTAGCTATGAAAGCCCTCTCATTATATTGTCCAAAAAACCTTTGTTTTTTAAAAAAACAAAATCAGTATTCTGTACTTATTTAACAGATTTGGTTTCAAATAGCTTGGCTATTTCCGAAAAATCGGATATTCATTCCATGGCTAAGAAACAACTACTGGGTATATTCAAAGAGATGTACCGGCCCAGGCTTGGTGGCTTACACCTGTAATCCCAGCAACTTTGGGAGGCCAAGGTGGGAGGATCGCTTGAGCCCAGGAGTTCCAGACCAGCCTGGGCAACATAGTGAGACTCTGTCTCTACAGAGAATAAAACAATTAGCCTGGCGTGCTGATGTGCATCTGTAGTCCCAGCTGTTTGAGAGGCTGAGATAGGAGGATTGCTTGAGCCCAAGAGGTTGAGGCTGCAGTGAGCTATGATTGCACCACTGCAATCCAGTCTGAGTGACAGAGCAAGACTCTGTCTCAAATATATGTGTGTATACATATATATATATGAGATTCTTTTTTTTTTTTTTTTTTTTTTTTTTTGAGATGGAGTCTCACTCTGTCACCCAGGCTGGAGTGCAGTGGCACGATCTCAGCTCACTGCAACCTCTGTCTCCCGGGTTCAAGTGATTCTCCTGCCTCAGCCTCCCAAATAGCTGGGACTACAGGTGTGTGCCACCACGCCCGGCTAATTTTTTGTATTTTTAGTAGAGATGGGGTTTCACCATGTTAGCCAAGATGGTCTTGATCTCCTGACCTCATGATCTGCCCACCTTGGCCTCCCAAGTGCTGGGATTACAGGTGTGAACCACCACGCCTGGCCGTATATATAGGAGATTCTGCAGGCAATGAGAATATTTAATTTACCAAGTTTACTATGCATGAAGCTCTTTTTGTTTTTGTTTTTGAGACAGAGTCTTGCTCTGTTGCCCAGCCTGGAGCGCAATGTCACAATCTTGGCTCATTGCAACCTCCACCTTCCGGGTTCAAGCAATTCTCCTGCCTCAGCTTCCCGAGTAGCTGGGATTACAGGCACCTGCCACCACATCTGGCTAATTTTTTTTTTTTTTTTTTTTTTTTTTTTTTTTTAGTAGAGACAGGGTTTCACCATGCTGGCCAGGCTGGTCTCGAACTCCTGACCTCAGGTGATCCGCCCGCCTCAGCCTCCCAAAGTGCTGGGATTACAGGCGTGAGCTACCATGCCTGGCCACATCAAGCTGTTTTTAAAGTAGATTAACTTGTAAATCTCCACAACATACCTATGCAAGGAAAAATTTGAGATTTTGGAATGGGCAAAACATTACTGGCTATCCTTTCAATGTAATGCTTGATCCCTGTGTGCTGTGTGCCCATGTCTTTAAATTTTACAACTCTGTAGAGGTACAAGTTGATTTATAGAAAACTTATAATGATGTGAATATTTCTTGTCTTGCTATGCAGATGATGCCTGCCCATGGCAATATAAGTGAATTTTGTCCTGTTGAGAATAAGTCAAGCCCCCATTTGATTGGATGTTTTTGTTTTGTTATAATTTGGTGGGACATAGTCTCGCCCTGTTGCCCAGGCTGGAGTGCAGTGGCAATCTCGGCTCACTGCAACCTTTGCCTCCCGGGTTCTAGTGATTCTCCTGTCTCAGCCTCCCCAATAGCTGGGACTACAGGCATGTGCCACCACACCTGGCTAATTTTTGTATTTTTAGTGGAGACGGGGGTTCGCCATGTTAGCCAGGCTGGTCTCGAATTCCTGGCCTGAAGTGATCCATCTGCCTTGGCTCCCAAAGTGCTGGGATTACAGGCATGAGCCATGGCATCTGGTGAGCTTTGATACCAGACTCCTTTGCTGAAGGCCACATCACTTCTAAGTAGAGATGTGATCAAACCCCAGTGAGGCCAGGGCACCTGAGTCCATCCTTTTCATCTTACTGTAATCTTTCTTTCCACAAAAGAAAAGAAGATCCAAAAATGTTTTCAGCAACAATAGCTTCACTGGAATAAGTTCTCATATTCGAAAAAGACTCATTTGAGGGAATAACCACTGCCATTCACATTGCTTTAGAGGAGGTGGCATTTTTCTCAACATAGCTTTCTGTTTTAACCAGGTCATATTCTATGTAACACAATGCTGACAAATTCTGCCTAGCTTGTTAAGACAAAACCACTCGAAGTAAAGTCAGCACACAATTAACCTAAGTCTTGCTTCTTGTTCAGTTCTATTAGTTTCTATGGAAATAAGAATAAAAGTAAATGACTATTTTTGCTTCTAAGGAATTTACAATTAATCCTGAGAAGATGTCTTAAGTGTAAACCTAAAAGTATGGGATTTTTTGGCTCAAAAAAAAAATTTTCCTAACGGCCAGGCCTAGGGTTAAGAGGAAGTTATTTTCTTGGGTTCAGAGATTTGCATATGAATGTTTTAAGCCTCTTAAAGTGACTTAAAACAACCTGGGACCCAAAGTTGTTGCCAGCTCAAATGTAAATGTTTTTAAACTTCAAATTGCTGCTTCTGTTATCACTGAACCTATTAATTTTCCTTAAACAGAATTCTGACCATTTCATTGCCTCTTAAAAAGCTTCAGTGGGCCAGGCACAGTGGCTCACAGCTGTAATCTCAGCACTTTGGGAGGCAGAGGCGGAGGATTACCTGAGGTCAGGAGTTCAAGACCAGCCAAGCCAATATGGTAAAACCCCATCTCTACTAAAAATATGAAAATTAGCTAGGCATGGTGTCAGGTGACTGTAATCCCAGCTACTTGGGAGGCTGAGGCAGGAGAATCACTTGAACCCGGGAGGCGGAGGTTTCAGTGAGCCGAGATCTCGCCATTGCACTCCAGCCTGGGCAAAAAGAGTGAAACTCCATCTGAAAAAAAAAGCTTCATTGGTTACTCATTGCCTACAGAAAAGGAAACAGTAAAGGAGATTAATATTTATCTGTGTCTTGGACAATAGGCAAATTGCTTTCCATGAATTATCTTATTTAATCCTCATAAGGACCCTATGAGATAAGCGCCAGCTCACCACGGTACCCCAGCTTCCTGGTCAAATTGTCCTCTTTCCCTAAATAGTTTATGACCTCTTTTTTAATATCTACAGTTTTACTATTTTATTAAAATCCCACCAAATTCTTTGGGGAATTAAGTAAGGTGTACAAGTTTTCATATGAGAAACACTGGAGTGATTTGGGCACACATAGCTTTCTGGTCGGCCTGCAATCTCACTTCCAGAATAGGTCATGAAAATAACAGTGAGAAATGGCCTCTCCCACACCCAGCTTCACGTGTTAAAGCGTGTGCTGTCCACTCCCACTTCTGTTTGCAGACGTGGCTGCCCTCAACCTCCGGACAAGTGATTTGGTCCTCAATCCAGGTGAGACTGTAGCAGGCCTCCTTTGTTTGTGTAGAAGATCATCAACTTTGCCATCTTCTGGCATCTGAAGCTTTCTGATCTCCAGTCAACAACATAACGTGTACCCTTTGGGTCCTCTTTAGTGAGCTCATGGGTAGGCTGCTGCCCACACTCTTGTCAACAGTTTAACAACTAACACGAGAGAGCCGAAGGGCTGTTTCTTCAGTCCATTTCTCTTGGTTCTCCAACTTTTTTTTTGAGACGGAGTCTCACTTTGTCGCCCAGGCTAGGGTGCAGTGGCGTGATCTTGGCTCACGGCAACATTTGCCTCCTGGAGTCCAAGCGATTCTCCTGACTCAGCCTCCAGAGTAGCTGGGACTACAGGCGCATACCACGGCGCCCAGCTAATTTTTGTATTTTTTGTAGATATGGATGGTGTCTCACCATGATGCCCACACTGATCTCGAACTTCTGAGCTCTGGCAATCCACCCACCTCAGCCTCCCAAAGTGCTAGGATTATAGGCATGAGCCACCACTCCCAGCCATCCAACTTTTACTTCTGTATCAAACTGGATCCCATTAGTCAGTATTTCTGGATGAATGTTTTAGTTCTTTGCTTTTAGCAAAGAGACAGCCATGTGAAAAACATTTCCATGTTTTCTGAAAATTAGAACTGAAGGCATTATCTATTACATATCCATTGTTTCTATATAAGAATCCCTGTAATAAATTTTTCTCAGAATTCAGTGCAAGTAAAAGTTTATATTTTCAAACTTTATGGTTCATTTTATCAGACAAATGAGTCCTATCTGTTCCCCTTCCCGGCCTTCCTACCAGGAACTCAGAGCCACTTTGTGTGCCCCTGCCTCCCTCTGAGCTTCCTTGTGTCTTTCCTTAAATAGTTTCCGATCTCCTTATGATACCTACAGTTTCAATCTTCTATTTTGCCTTAATTTTAAAAGCTACCCCAAATTTGGGGAAGAATTACATAAAAGATATATAAGTACATATTAGTAACTTGGATATATATTAGTTCCCACTTTTTAAAACATGTATGGGAATGAGTGATTTATAAGCCATTTGACAGCATATGAATTCCTAAGTAGGAAAATTCATAAGCAAAAGTGGTAATGAAGGCAGGAGGTGTAGTGTCCTCTCACTCCAGCACTTGTTTAAAAAGAGTGGCCAGGTGAGGTAAGTGACCTAGTAACAACAGCAGGTGCCAGGTATAACTCCATTCACTTTAGTCAACAAACAGGTAGGCTGGCTGGGTGCGGTGCCTCACGCCTGTAATCCCAGCACTTTGAGAGGCCGAGGCAGGCAGATCACTTGAGATCAGGAGTTCAAGACCAGCCTGACCAACATGGTGAAACCCCCATCTCTACTAAAAATACAAAAAAAAAATTAGCCGGGCATGGTGGCGGGTGCCTGTAATTCCAGCTACTCGGGAGGCTGAGGCAGGAGAATTGCTTGAACCCAGGAGGTGAAGGTTGCAGGTGAGCCGAGATGATGCCACTGCACTCCAGCCTGGATGACAGAGTGAGACTGCATCTCAAAAAAAAAAAAAAAAAGGTGGGGTTAGACATTGTGGTATGTGCTGCACATTCAGAGAAGAAAGCCCCTGTCTTAAAGCAGCTTACAGTCTAGCGAGGGAGACCAACAAAAACCAAATCACAGCATACTATGCTTGTATAAAGGTAGGAATGGGCAGGGCACAGTGGCACACTTCTGTAATCCCAGCACTTTGGGGGGCCAAGATGGAAAGATTGTTTGAGCCCAGGAGTTCTAGATCAGCCTAGGCAATACAGCAAAACCTCACCTCTACCAAAAATACTAAAGCCAGGTGTGGTGGAATGTGCTTGTAGTCCCAGCTACTCAGGAGGCTGGGGTGGGAGGATGGTTTGTTTGAGCCCAACAGGAGGACATTGCAGTGAGCCAAGATGGCACTATTGCACTCCAGCCTGGGCAACAGAGCTAGACCATGCCTCAAAAAAAAAAAAAAAAGAAAAAGAGAAAAGAAAAAATGAATGAACAGGGGGTATTATGAAAAAACACAGGAAGAACTCGAAAGACTGGAAGAGTCCTGAAGTCTTCCCAGAAGAGGTGGTACCCAAGCCAAGACTTGAAACACTGGAGAGCTAGCCAGGCTGAGGAAGGAAGAGAGGATGGCTACTGGAGGCAGAAAGGTCACATGCAAAGGCACAGAAGCCACAGGGTGGATCCAGTACTCTGGAAACTCCCAGGAGTTGGGCATGGCAGGTGCATCAGACAAGATTCGGGGATAGGAGGAGAGGCAGTTTCCCATCTTGGAGGAGTCTTATAGGAGTCTCATGGGAGACAGGTTTTCAGACAAAAGTCTTCAGGAGTCTGATTTGTCATGCTAAAATGTAAATGTATGAATTTTGCATGAAAACATTTAGAAGGCTCTGAAAGATTTTAATATTTGATATAATCAGTTTTTTTGTTTGTTTGTTTGTTTTTTGCAGGGGGGGGTGGTGGGTGGACAGAGTTTTGCTCTTGTTCCCCAGGCTGAAGTACAGTGGCGCAATCTTGGCTCACTGCAACCTCCGCCTCCCAGATTCAAGTGATTCTCCTGCCTCAGCCTCCCGAGTAGCTGAGATTACAGGCATGCGCCACCACGCCCGGCTAAGTTTTGTAGTTTTAGTAGAGATGGGGTTTCACCATTTTGGTCAGGCTGGTCTCAAACTCCTGACCTCAGGTGATTCGCCTGCCTCAGCCTCCCAAATGGCATAAGCCATTGCACCCGCCTGATAGAATCCGTTTTACATTTTTATTTTATGTATTTATTATTTATTATTATTATTACCTTTTTTTTTTTTTTGAGGCAGTCTTGCTCTGTCACCCAGGCTGGAGTGCAGTGGCACAATCTTGACTCACTGCAACCTCCACCTCCCAGGTTCAAGCAATTCTCATGCCTCAGCCTCTGGAGTAGCTGGAACTATAGGCACATGCCACCACACCCAGCTAATTTTTGTATTTTAGCAGAGACGGGGTTTGTCTATGTTGGCCAGGCTGGTCTTGAATTCCTGACCTCAAGTGATCCGCCTGCCTTGGCCTCCCAAAGTGCTGGGATTACAGTCATGAGCCAGCACACCCAGCCCAGTTTTACGTTTTTAGAAATCCAGTTCACAGAGAAATCCCTCTGGTGACTGTGGAGAATGGAGGTCACACTGGAGGGTTAGGAGCCAGGGCTGTGTGGGCAAATCCAAGCCAGAAGGAATGAGGGTCTTGTAGTACATGCAGGAAGAGGTAACCTGGCAGTGTACTGGGCCTTCTGCTGCTGTAGTGGTGGACTAGGCCATATGGATCATTTTTAGTGAAGACAAACACTGGGTGAAACATAAAAAGCATTTTTCTAAAGCCATCAAGGAGCTAACAAGCTAGTGAGGAATTGTTGCACCAAGATCTAGAAGACCACAGTCAAAAGAGGTCAATACAGGCCGGGCGTGGTGGCTCACGTGTGTAATCCCAGCACTTTGGGAGGCCGAGGCAGGCGGATCACGAGGTCAGGAGACTGAGACCATTCTGGCAAACACTGTGAAACCCCGTCTCTACTAAAACTACAAAAAATTAGCCAGGCGTGGTGGCGGGCTCCTGTAGTTCCAGCTACTCAGGAGGCTGAGGCAGGAGAATGGCATGAACCCGAGGGGTGGAGCTTGCAGTGAGCTGAGATCACACTACTGCACTCCAGCCTGGGCAACAGAGCGAGACTCCATCTCAAAAAAAAAAAAAAAAAAAAAAAAAAGCGGGGGTCAATACAGCATTTGCCCAGGCCAAGTGGTAGCTGAGAGACAGCAGTGCTTCCAACAGCCTCAAGCAGCGATTTTAAATCTGGGTTTCATGGACCATGCAATTCAGAAGATTCATGAACTTGGCTAAGAAAAAAATGAAAAAAAAATACATTTTTTTTTGCACTAACCTCTAAATGAAGCTTAGATTTCCCTTCTATTATGAATCTAGGCAACAAGCCACAGTAATATATGTGTGTGTGTGTGTGTGTATATACATTTTTTGAGATGGAGTCTCGCTGTGTCACCCAGGCTGGAGTGCAGTGGCGCGATCTCAGCTCACTGCAACCATTGGCCAGGCTGGTCTTGAACTCCTGACCTCAGTGATCTGCCTGTCTTGGCCTCCCAAAGTGCTGAAATTACAGGTGTGAGCCACTGTGCCTAGCCAAGCCACAGTAATATTATCAATTGGTAACAAAGTCACAAGTACTGATAAGCCACAGTAATATTATCAGTACTTGTGACTTTGTCACCAACAGAAATCAGATACCTTCCTACCACATTTACAGTTGTTGCAGATATCTCAAAACGTCATTTACATTCCTATTTTAAAATTTCAGTCATCATTAGACCTGCTGCCAGAACATGTTATGTAATGCATTAATAAAGAAGCACATGTGCTACTGTTATTGCAAATTTGTTTTTTAATGTTTTGATCACTGTGTTTCAACATAATAGATTTCCTTTGACATTACATATTTTATTTATGCATTAAAAAAATATTGTTCTCACTTTGGGAGGTCAAGGTGGGAGGATCACTTGAGCCCAGGAGTTTGAGAGTAGCCTAGGCAACGTAGACCCCATCTCTACAAAAACTACAAAAGTTAGCTTGGCATGATGGCATGCACCTGTAATCCCAGCTATTCAGGAGACTAAATTGGGAGGATCACTTGAGGCCAGGAAGTTGAGGCTGCAGTGAGCCGTGATCATGCCTGGGTGACAGAATGAGACCCTGTCTCCAAATAAACACACACACACTGACACACACCTACATATGTACATATAAAATGTATATAATGTACATATATAAAATGTATATGTATAGGTACATAGTTCTGAGAAGGAGTCATAGCTTCATCAGAATACCCACGGGGTCTGTGGAACAAAAATCATGAAGCACCACCAACCCAGTGGGACTAAAGGGGCAATGCTAGAGTTTAGTGCCTATGAATGCTGGGAGTTCTGGTAAACCACCTTGCAGAATTACTATGTATTGTAATACATAGTATTACATTGTATAAGTGTATAAATACATAGTATTACATTATATAAATGTATAAATAATACATAGTATTACATTGTATAATACAAACTAGGAGTAAAAGTGAATTAGAAGTCAACTGCCCCTCATACACACACAGATGTTAGTCCAGCTTTGAATCATGTAGATGGCCCTGAAAATCTCCAAATTATAAATTGAATTAAAGCTATCCAGATTGCTGGTGGCTTCAAGAAGTAAACTAAAATCATCTCTGAGGACAGATAACATCTCACTTTGTCGCCCAGGCTGGAGTGCAGTGGCGTGATCTTGGCTCACAGCAACTCCACTAATTTTTGTATTTTTAGTAGAGACGAGGTTTCACCTGTGTTGGCCAGGCTGCTCTCAAACTCCTGACCTCATGTGATCCACCCGCCTTGGCCTCCCAAAGTGCTGAGATTACAGGCATGAGCCACGATGCCTGGCCTCAAATGACTTCTATTAGTAATTTTTCAAATACAATGTCTAGCATAAAGATAACTAGGCACATATGGAGAAAAGATAGTATGAATGAGAACCAATAGAAGCAACAGATAATACAAACAGGTACTCCAGACAGTAGAATTACTAGACAGTCTGGAAAACAACCATGCTTGTGGAGATAAAAGATGAACTCAAGAATTTCAGCAGGGAACTAGTATCAATATAAAGTAACATTGCAGATTTGAAAAAAATGTTAGCAATAGGCATGTCTGAGAGGAGAGGACAACCATTTAGATTGGAGGTGGGTGGGAAATTAAAGACAGAAGAGTCTAGAATGATATCTGAGTGAAAACAATAATTACATTAATCAGTGCAGTGGCATATAAAAAAAGAAGACGCTATTAGTTGGAAGAGGAGTAAAGTGATGTCCTAGCTTTCTCTTTCAGCTACATGCAATCTTTTTTTTTTTTTTTTTTTTTTTTTTTTTTGAGACAGAGTCTTGCTCTGTCACCCAGGCTGGAGTGCAGTGGCATGATCTCAGCTCACTGCAGTCTTCGCCTCCCGGGTTCAAGCAATTCTCCTGCGTCAGCCTCCCAAGTGGCTGGGATTACACGCATGCACCACCACACCCAGCTATTTTTTTTTTTTTTTTTTGTATTTTTAATAGAGACAGGGTTTCACTATGTTGGCCAGGCTTGTCTGGAACTCCTGACCTCAGGTGATCCACCCACCTCAGCCTTCCAAAGTGCTGGGATACAGGCATGATGCCCAGCCAAGCTAGATGCAGTCTCGTTGTCTGGATATACTATAATTTACTTAAACAATTCCCTGGAAATGATTAGATTGTTTCCAAACTTTTGCTACTACAACCACGGCTGCATTGAATACTCTTGTATATGTGTCATTTCATTCATGCCTAGGGATAAAGTGGAATTATTGTAATATACTTTATATATTGTGCATACTAATCCTGTGTTGTTGGTCACATGCACTGCAGATATTTTCTGTGGTGTGTCATTCAGTTTTTTTGGAGACAGGGTCTCAGTCGCCCAGGGTGGAGTGCAGGGGCATGTGATTCTCCCACCTCAGCCTCCTGAGTGGCTACAGATGCGCACCACCTACACACGCACACCACGACACCCAGCTAATTTTTTGTATTTTTTGTAGAGACAGAGTTTTGCCATGTTGCCCAGGCTGGTCTCGAACTTCTGGGCTCAAGTGATCTGCCTGCCTTGGCCTCCCAAATTGCTGGGATTACAGGTGTGAGCCACCACGTCCGGCCTAGCTCTTCTTATTGTGCCTTTTATCCCACAGAAGTAGTCAACTGAATGGAGTCAATTTTCTTCATGGTCTTCGGTTATTATATATTACTTAAGGAGTCTTATCCCAAGGACATAAATCGAGTTTCCAATATTTTCTTCCAAAACTTTAGTTTTGCTTTTTTACATTTAGGTATTTAATCCACCTAAAATTAATTTGGGGATGTGGTGTGATGTAAGAATTGAACTTTTCTCCATATGATAGCTAATCATCCCATTTTATTCCCATTTTATATGTGTGTATATATATATATACACACACACACATACACACATATATGTGTGTGTGTATATATACACATTTGTGTATAAAGGCAGGGGTCTCACTCTGTTGCCCAGGCAGAAGTGCAGCCCTGTCCTCCTGGCTCAAGCAATTCTCTCACCTCCACCTCCTGAATAGCTAGGACTACAGGCATGCACCACCACGTCCAGCTAATTTTTAAATTTTTTGTAGAGACAGACTCTCACTATGTTGCCCAGTCTGGGTCTCAAACTCCTGGTCTCAACCCATCCTCCTGCCTTATCCTCCCAAAGTGCTGGGATTATGGGTGTGATCCACCATGCCTGACCCATTCAGGTATGTTTTATTGAACAGTCCATTCTTTCTTCCTGACTTTTAATGCTATCATGTGTGTGTGTGTGTGTTTGGCTGTTCATTTCCATTAGTCTATTAATTTGTTCTAGATCTAAAACCACAGTATTTGCTGTAGATTTTAGTTTAGTTTTGTTTTGTTTTGTTTTGTTTTTGAGATGGAGTCTCACTCTGTCACCCTGGCTGGAGGGCAGTGGCACGATCTCAGCTCACCGCAACCTCCACCTCCCAGGTTCAAGCAGTTCTCCTGCCTCAGCCTCCCGAGTAGCTGGGACTACAGGTGCCCGCCACCATGCCCGGCTAATTTTGTATTTTTAAAGGGTTTCACCATATTGACTAGGCTGGCCTCAAACTTGTGATCTGACCTTGTGATCTGCCTACCTCGGCCTCCCAAAGTGCTGGGATTACAGGTGTAAGCCACCATGCCTGGCCCTATAGCTTTTAGTTTTAACTTTAAATAACTATTTAAATTACTAAAATATATATGCCATTGTCAATAGTTTAGAAAAACTGAGAGAAGAAAACAAAAATCACGTAACATTTCACCATCCTAAAATAACCACCAATAAAATGTTAGTGTTTGTGCTTCCTTCTTGTTGGTGGTGTTAAATGACTGAGCAAAACAATAACATGTCTAGAAAATGGGCCTAGTGCAGAAAAGGCTTCTTTAGCTTAAGTAGGGGAGAACAGAAAAAAAAATGTAAATATGTTCTTTAAATTTTTTTTTAATTTTTTTTTTTTTTTTTTTTTTGGAAATGTAGTCTCATTGTCACCCAGGCTGGAGTGCAGTGGCACCGATCTCGGCTCACTGCAGCCTCCACCCCCTGGGTTCAAGCGATTCTCCTGCCTCAGCCTCCTGAGTGGCTGGGATTACAGGCAGGTGCCACCATGCCAGGCTAATTTTTTTGTATTTTAGTAGAGACGGGGTTTCACCATTGTGATTGGTGTTTTTTTTTTTTTTTTTTTTTTTTTGAGACAGAGTCTCGCTCTGTCGCCCAGGTCGGACTGCGGACTGCAGTGGCGCAATCTCGGCTCACTGCAAGCTCCGCTTCCCGGGTTCACGCCATTCTCCTGCCTCAGCCTCCCGAGTAGCTGGGACTACAGGCGCCCGCCACCGCGCCTGGCTAATTTTTTTGTATTTTTAGTAGAGACGGGGTTTCACCTTGTTAGCCAGGATGGTCTCGATCTCCTGACCTCATGATCCACCCGCCTCAGCCTCCCAAAGTGCTGGGATTACAGGCGTGAGCCACCGCGCCCGGCCCACCATTGTGATTGTTAATGGGTGTCAACTTGATTGGATCGAAGGATACAAAGTATTGATCCTGGGTGTATTTGTGAGGGTATTGCCAAAAGAGATGAACATTTGAGTCAGTGGGCTGGGGATGGCAGACCCACCCTTAATCTGGTTGGCACAATCTAATCAGCTGCCAGTGAATATAAGCAGGCAGAAAAACGTGAAAAGGAGAGACTGGCCTAGCCTCCCACCCTACATCTTTCTTCCATGCTGGATGCTTCCTACCCTGGAACATTGGACTCCAGGTTCTTCAGTTTTGGGACTCAGACTGGCTCTCCTTGCTCCTCAGCTTGCAGATGGCCTATTGTGGGACCTTGTGATTATATACATTAATACTTAATAAACTCATATATATATATGAGTTAATAATACTTAATAAACTCATATATATGAGATCTATATATCTAAGATATATATATGAGATCTATATATCTCATATAAGATATATATATGAGATCTATAGATCTCATATAAGATATATATGAGATCTATAGATCTCATATAAGATATATATGAGATCTATAGATCTCATATAAGATATATATGAGATCTATAGATCTCATATAAGATATATATGAGATCTATAGATCTCATATAAGATATATATGAGATCTATAGATCTCATATAAGATATATATGAGATCTATAGATCTCATATGAGATATATATATGAGATCTATAGATCTCATATGAGATATATATATGAGATCTATAGATCTCATATGAGATATATATATGAGATCTATAGATCTCATATGAGATATATATATGAGATATATATATCTCATATGAGATATATATATATCTAATATAAGATATATATAGGAGATATATATATCTAATATAAGATATATATATATCTAATATAAGATATATATATATCTAATATAAGATATATATATATATATCCTGTTAGTTCTATCCTTCTAAGGAACCATAATACAACCATGTTGGCCCGGCTGGTCTGGAACTCCTGACCTCAGGTGATCCACCTGCCTTGGCAGCCTCCCAAAGTGCTGGGACTACTGGCGTGAGCCACTGTGCCCGGCCTGTTCTTTAAATTTGAAGAATTTTTAGAGGAATGCTAAACAGTTGTTCGTTTTTAAAAGGCCCAAAGAAGAATAAAACCACTTACGTCAAAAGAAGTGGTTCCCTGAACATGAAGCAAGCCCCTTCCTTCCTTCCTTCTTTCCTTCTTTCCTGACTTCCTCCCTTCCTTTCTTCCTTCCTTCCTTCCTTCCTTTTTTGAGACGGTCTCACTCTGTTGCCTAGGTTGGAGTGCAGTGGCACAATCATGGCTCACTGAAGCCTCAACCTCCCAGGCTCAGTCAATCCTCCCACCTCAGCCTTTCAAGTAGCTGGGACTATAAGCACGCACCACCACGCCCAGCTAATATTTTTGTATTTTTTGTAGAGTTGGGGTTTCGCCATGTTCCTAGCCTGGTCTTGAACTCCTGGGCCCAGGCAATCCTCCTACCCCAGCCTCACAAAGTGCTAGGGCTACAGGCATGAGCCACTGCACGTGGCCGAAGCAAGAGACTCTGAAGAAGATAAAACAGTGGACAGCCCAGTCAAAAGATTTAGACATCCATCCCCCCACCGACGAGAGACTGTAAGAAAGAAGTTGCTCCATCCTCTATCGGGTAGGAACCTGGGCCTTCCTTACTGCTTGTCATTCACAGCCAGCCAAGACATCTTAGGCTACACTCCAGTGACCTTTAAAATTAAACTGCTTAATTTTAGTGGATTAACCAGAACAGCCAGGAGTGGGTCATGATGACCTGGGAGGAGACCAGCAGTTTGCCTGTGGTCATAAACAAGATCTCATGATCCAATTTCATTCTGGCTTTTAGAAACAAATTAATTTTGTGGGATAAAAAAATTCAGGAGGAAAGGGTAAGAAAGGAAGAGGGAAGGAATTAATCAAGTTGGGTTTTTAGAATGAATGTTGAAAAACCAAAATTCAGGCTGGGCGTGGTGGCTCACGCCTGTAATCCCAGCACTTTGGGAGGCCGAGGCAGGCTGATCACTTGAGGTCAGGAGGTCAAGACCAGCCTGGTCAACATGACAAAACCCCATCTCTACTAAAAATACAAAAAAGCTGGGAGTGGTGGTGCATGCCTGTAGTCCCAGCTACTTGGGAGGCTGAGGCAGGAGAATCACTTGATCCCAGAAGGCAGAGGTTGCAGTGAGCGGAGATGTTGCCACTGCACTCCAGCCTGGGTGATGGAGTGAGACTCTGTCTCAAAAAAAAAAAAAAAGTTGGCCAGGCCCAGTGGCTCACCCCTGTAATCCCTGCACTTTGGGAGGCCGAGGCCAGAGGATCACTTGAGCTCAGGAGTTTGAGATCAGCCAGGGCAACACAGTGAGACCCTATGTCTACACAAAATTAGCCTGTGGTCCCAGATACTCAGGAGTCTGAGGTGGGAGGATTGCTTGAGCCCAAGAGGTCAAGGCTGCAGTGAGCTGTGATTGTGCCACTGCACTCCAGCCTGGGTGACTAATAGGAAGAAAGCAATGGAAAATAAACTGGGATTCTTATAAAAAGCAAGCTACTTTTCTAATCTAAGTCAGAATACCCAGAACATATACAAGGACAAATGAGTCAATAAAGTGACAAAGCCAAACCTAGAGCTATTTATGAAGAATAGAAAGGCCTATGCTGCGTCAGGAAGAAAAGGCAAACCCAGCGCTGGAATGGTCTACCAAACAAGGTTGTAAGAGCTATAGTCTTAGACACGACAGAAAAATTAATAGATATTCTTCTGTCCTGAAAGGTTTAAGCATCTGCTCACCCAACATTTGCAAAGGGCGGTATCAGAAAGTCTCTAGAGTTTCCTTCCAGTTTCCAATCTGCCTGCATGCAGCAGTCTTCTGTAGATTTATGCATGGTTCCACACATCTCTTCCAGAATATTAATACTAATTCCTCACATTGAGAGGCACTTTTTGTTTTTCAAAATATTTTCACAAGGAGCAGGATACAATGAAATGATCCTGTGACTTGGAGTCAGAAAATGAAGCTCAGGTCCAGAATCTACATTTTTATTAACTCAGCAGCTGTGGAGAAATTACTTCCTTATCTGTAAACTGGAGCTAATAGTAATACCAACATAAAAAGTTTGCTATAGGGAAAAAGTGAGATGAAGTATTAAAAGGTTTTTGGCTGGGTGCAGTGTCTCATGCCTGTAATCCCAGTATTTTGGGAGGCTGAGGAGGGAGAATAGCTTGAGGCCAGGAGTTCAAGATCAGCCTGGACAACATACCAAGACCCCATCTCTACAAAAAATTTTAAAAATTAGCCTGGTGTTGTGGCATGCACCTTTAGTCCTAGCTACTCAGGAGGCTTGGGAGAGAATGGCTTGAGCCCAGGAGTTGGAGGCTGCAGTGAGCTATGATTGTATCACCGCACTCCAGCCTGGGCAACAGAGCCAGACCCTGTCTCTTACAAGCAAAATAAAATAAGGTACTAAAAGGTTTCTGAGGCCAGATGTGGTGGCTCACCCCTGTAATCCTGTCACTTTGGGAAGCCAAGGTGGGCGGATCACCTGAGTTCAGGAATTTGAGACCAGCCTGGCCAACATGGTGAAACCCCATCTATACTAAAAATACAAAAAATTGGCCGAATGCAGTGGCTCACGCCTGTAATCCCAGCACTTTGGGAGGCCGAGGCAGGTGGATTACCTGAGGTCAGGAGTTCGAGATCAGCCTGACCAACATGGTGAAACCCCATCTCTACTAAAATCACAAAAATTAGCCAGGCCTGGTGGTGCACACCTGTAGTCCCAGCTACTTGGGAGGCTGAGACGTGAGAATTGCTTGAACATGGGGGGTGGAGGTTGCAGTGAGCCAAGATTGCACCACTGCACTCCAGCCTGGGCAACAGAGTGAGACTCTGTCTCAAAAAAAAAAAAAAAAAAAAAAAAAGGTTTTTGACTGTAGTCCCAGCTACTCCGGAAGCTGAGGTGGGAGAATCACTTGACCCAGGAGGTGGCGGAGGTTGCAGTGAACCGAGATGGCACCACTGTGCGCCAGCCTGGTTGTCAGAGTGAGACCCTGTCTCAAAAACAAAAAAAGAGGTTTTGAGAGGTCAGAGTATCACACATATATAAGATGTATAAGATGTTGTCTTCATCTTCTTACAATACATTGACATAGACAGTTACCATTATCCCATTTTCAGATATAAAAGCTTCAGCGTTTCCGTAGTCACTGGTAGGCAGTATGGCCAAGCTTGCGATCTAGCACTTCTGACTCAGAAAATCAGTTAGCTTTCCCTGACCCCACACTGTTTGTCCAGCAAAAATAAGTTCCGACCTTGACCTCTTCCCATGGCACCTACAGAGGCAATGCCTCCCCAGCTGCCTGGTTTCCAACTATGTTGAGCAGTGAAATTGCTTAGATCATGGTAGATCATTTCCAGGTCTAACTTTGGTCCAATATGTTCTTCCAACTCAAGGTCTCTGTGGGTGAAAGGTTTTTAGGGTCTTTGAAACTTTTACATATGTTGTGTGTTTAGCCAGATTTGGGGGGTTTCAGTGTGCAAGATAAATGCACACAATCCTGACAAAAAGAGATCTAAATAACTGTCTAAACAACTGCTCTTTTAGCCTACATTTGCTTTGATAGCAATGCCAGGATCACGCTGAGCTAAATACTTGGCATTAACCAGTGTAAATAGAGAAAAACAACTCTTATGCAATGAGAGTCAGTTGAAAACCTAGAGCTTATTGAAAGTACCAAGAACAAGAGAAAAAGAAATCTGGAAAAACAATCCAGCTACTTTCTCTTCCTTCAAAATAATCACACACCTCAAATAGTAGAAAGTGGATAAAAAATAAACAATAACAATGAATCTATTAAAAACATTGGTATTAACGGCCAGGTGCAGTGGCTCATGCTTGTAATCATAGCACTTTGGGAGGCCGAGGTGGGTCGATCACCTGAGGTCAGGAGTTCGAGACCAGCCTGGCCAACATAGTGAAACCCTGTCTCTACTAAAAATACAAAAAAATTAGCCGGGCATGGTGGCACACACCTGTAATCCCAGCTACTCGGGAGGCTGAGGCAGGAGAATCGCTTGAATTTGGGGTAGGGGGTGAGCGGGGGCAGAGGTTGCAGTGAGCCAAGATTGCACCATGCACCATTGCACTCCAGCCTGGGCAAAAGAGCAAAACTCCATCTCAAAAAAAAAAAAAAAGACTGATATTAACAAAGCAAAATTGGGGTGTCAGAAAAATCAATATAAACTTAAAGGCAAAATCATTAAATAGAATAGAGGTTTATCAACCATTAATATAAGACAAAATCACCAAGAAGATATAATAATAGTGAGCCTTCACATACCAAACAACATAGTGTTACAATATATAAATGCTAAACTGTCAGAAACACAAGAATTTGAGAAAAACTCAACCATCATAGGAGACCTGAAAACTCCTTTCTCAGGATTTAGGAAGTGAGAGAACATTTTAGCAAACTGAGAAAATACTTTTTTAAAAAATTGGATCACCTATAGCCATGAAAGAAAGTTTCAATAAATTCCCCCAAAATGTAGGTCATAAAGATCACACTCTCGGCTGGGTGTGGTGGCTCACGCCTGTAATCCCAACACTTTGGGAGGCCAAGGCAGGCAGATCACCTGAGGTCAGGAGTTCGAGACCAGTCTGGCCAACATGGTGAAATCCCATCTCTACCAAAAATACAAAAATTAGCCAGGCATGGTGGCGGCTAATCCCAGTTATTCAGGAGGCTGAGGCAGGAGAATCTCTTGAACCCAGGAGGCGGAGGTTGCAGTGGGCTGAGATCACACCACTGCACTTCAGCCTGGGCAACAGAGTAAGACTCTGCCTCAAAAAAAAAAAAAAACAAAAAAACAAAAAACATTCTCTGAATGCTAGAAAGCAAGTCTCCTGTGGTCAGCAATCTTACCAGTTTTATTTACCTTCATGCTTCAGCACCCAACACATTGTTCAGCAAAAAGCAGGGATCCATAAGAATTTGTTACATAGGAAGAAGGTTAGGCTGTCAATAAAACTTAAAGACAACATGAAAAAGATATCCTCCTCCCAATATGATCTCTTACAAATTTTTATAGCACTCTTGAAAATAATTCTTGTGTCAAAGAGAAAACAAATATGCAAATGAGAGCCTGTTTAGCAATAAAGCACTGTCTTCAAATGTATAGGTTTACTTTTTTGAGAGAATATACAATCTCAAATGCATTTCTTGGGAAACACAAAAGATTAAAAATAAAGGAAACTGAGCATTCCACTGAAGAAGGGAGAAACAGTAGAAAAATGAAAGGGGAAATCATAAAATGAAAACAAAATAATTAACTAGACAACAAGGGAAATCAATATACCTAAGAAACTGAAAAACAAATAAAAAAACTTCAAATCTGACCATGAAAAATATAGAAAATACTGATAAAGCATATTAGGAATAATAAAAGGGCTCTGTGGCTCAGGCTGGAGTGCAGTGACACAATCACAGCTCACTGCAGCCTCCACCTCCTGGGCTCAAGCGATCCTCCACCTCAGCCTCCTGAGTAGCTGGGAGTAACTGGCACGCACAACCACGTCTCGCTAATTTTTGTATTTTTTTGTAGAGATGGGGTTTCACCAGGTTGCTCAGGCTGGTCTCGAACTCCTGAGCCCAAGTGATCCCCCCTGGCCTTGGCCTCCCAGAGTGCTGAGATTGCACAGGTGAGGCACTGCACCCAGCCGAGTCTTTTTAATAACTAGAATAACACTGTGCTTACCTTTATAGTAAGTTTAACATTTAAAGGAAATGGATGACTCTCTCAGAAAATATAAGCAAAACAGACTCAAGAAGAAGTAACATCATCTTGGTTGGTCGGTATTTTGTAAACACATTTCCCCAGTCTTTTGTTTACCTGTTGATTTTGTTTATCATGCCATATATAATTTCTCCTTCCCCCAAATTATGCAAATATTATCCTATAATTCTTCCTTATAATTTACAGTTTTATTTTTTATTTTATTTTATTTTGAGATGGAGTCTTGCTCTATCGCCCAGGCTGGAGTGCAGTGGCGCGGTCTCAGCTCACTGCAAGCTCCGCCTCCCAGGCTCAGCCATTCTCCTGCCTCAGCCTCCCAAGTAGCTGGGACTACAGGTGTGTGCCACAATGCCCGGCTAATTTTTTTTTTTTTTAATTTTAGTAGAGATGGGGTTTCACCGTGTTATCCAGGATGGTCTCGATCTCCTGACCTCGTGATCTGCCCGGTTTGGCCTCCCAAAGTGCTGGGATTACAGGTGTGAGCCACCGCACCCAGCCAGTTTTATTTTTTTGTTAAGCTCTTCAATTATTTTTGTTGTGAGATTGGGGTCTACCCTTATTTTCTTCCAAACAGATAATCCACTTACTTGATATCATTAACCCCTGCCTGGCACGACCTCCTGATCCCCAGTGACCCAAGAAGCAAGTTGTGTTTGCTGATGCAAAGGGGCTCTTGTTGGCATCGGTGCACAGGTTTGAACCAATTAATATCATTAATTAACCAAGAGCTACTAACACCTACATTATTGAAAATATACAAATAGCTTAATTTAAAAATTGGTGAAAAGTTTGAATATGTCATTCACTGAGAACGAAATGGAAATGGCCAATGATATATGAAAAAAATCCTACCATGCCATTTTCTTTTAAAAATGTAATCAAAACAATCATGAGATGCTTTTTTACACCTGTCATATTGACAAATATCTTAGTTTGATCGTTTTTAATTATGGTGAAGATATGGGAAAAGGGCAACTTTTTTTTTTTTTTTTTTTTTTTTTTTTTTTTTGAGAGAGAGTTTTGCTCTTGTCCCCCAGGCTGGAGTGCAATGGCCTGATCTTGGCTCACTGCAACCTTTGTCTCCTGGATTCAAGTGATTCTCCTGCCTCAGCCTCCCAAGTAGCTGGGATTACAGGCATGCGCCACCACACCCGGCTAATTATGTATTTTTAGTAGAGACAGGGTTTCACTGTGCTGTCATGCTGGTCTCCAACTCCTGACCTCAAGTGATCCACCTGCCTCGGCCTCCCAAAGTGCTGGGATTACAGGCATGAGCCACTGCTCCCGGCCAAAAGGGCAACTTTTCAAGGCTACTGGTGGAACTGGGCACGGTGGCTCATGCCTATAATCCCAGCCCTTTAGGAGGCCGATGTGGGAGTATCGCTTGAGCCCAGGATTTGAAGACCAGCCTGGGCAACAGGGAGACCAAGTCTCTATTAAAAGAAAAATAATTAAAGTAAATAAATACGACAAACAGGCTGGGCACGGTGGCTCACGACTGTAATCCTAGCTCTTTGGGAGGCCGAGGTGGATGGATTGCCTGAGCTCAGGAGTTCAGACCAGCCTGGGCAACACCGTGAAACCCCATCTCTACTAAAATACAAAAAACTAGCCGGGCGTGGTGGCACACGCCTGTAGTCCCAGCTACTAGGGAGGCTGAGGCAGGACCCACTAGAACCCGGGAGGCGGAGGTTGCAGTGAGCCGAGATCAGGCCACTGCACTCCAGCCTGGGCGACAGAGTGAGTCTCTAATAATAATAATAATAATAATAATAATAATAATTACAACAGACAAACAAACACAAATCCCGTCTATTCCACAGCTAAGAGGGTTTCCAGTTTCAACATTGTCCCTGTTGTCCCTCCTGTCCTGATCACAGACCCCCATCACTGGTGACCCCAGAGTGATCCCAAATGCTGCCCCAGGTGACGTGCTGGTGGCCTGAGGCAAAATGTCTGTGTCACACTTCTTCTCCTCCTTCTTCTTCTTTCTTCCTAGAGACGGGATCTCACCATCTTGCCCAGGCTGGTCTCCTAACTCCTGGGCTCAAGCGAGCCTCCCACCTTGGCCTCCCGAGTAGCTGGGACCTACTGAGTCATACTTGTAGTCACATCCTTTTCCTTTCTCCAACCCACTGGTTAATCATGAAAGGCTCTTCTGATTGGCTGCCTCCTGGCAGTAGTGCCTCAGCGCGACGGTTCGGGAGCAAATAAATAATTCCCGCTGGGAAGCTGTTTCTCAGACAGGAGCAGCGACACCCCTGCCACGCCTGCCGCCTGGAGTTGAGTGGGGTAAGCACGCCGGCCTCCAGGAATCGACGGTGCCACGTGGTTCTTCTTGCACTTCTCTTCTTCTCCAGTTTCAGGGGACACCGTGGGGTGTGCGAGCCCGGGGGAGCGCAGGGAAGGGCGGGTTGGGCTGCAGGTGGGAATGTGCGGTCCTTCTGCGCCCTCAACAGAGCTTCCTTCCTTTTTGCCAAGGTCCCCGTGCCGCCTTCAGCGCGCCTCCTTATGCACCTCTACCTCTGCTGCAGCGTACCTCTTCCGCAGCCCTAGCGGCCTCCCCGAGGGGCGCCGCGGCCTCGGCTGTCCCTCCCCTGCCTGGCACGACCACCTGACCCCCAGCGACCCAAGAAGCAAGTTGTGTTTGCAGACGCAAAGGGGCTGTCGTTGGTATCGGTGCACTGGTTTGAAGCCACTGCGGGCACAGCCTGAAGAGGGCCGGTGTCCCGCGTGCAGCCTCCCCGGCCCGGCCTCCTCCTGCTGCAGAACCGCCCCCCACGCCCGGGCTGCTGCGCCCCAGGAGGGACTAGCGGGTATTCAGGGATGCCCGCACTCTCGGGGGCGAGCCTGCAGCTGTGTGCCCTGTAGGGGCTTCCTGCGGGGCACCGTGAGCGCAGGTGGGGACAAGCGGGCCGTGCAGATGCGCACCCCCTGGATGCCTGGGGCTCCTTCCAACAAGAGCCCTGTGTTGGAATGCCGGGTCCCCGCCGAGGTGAGAGGGTCGGCTTCGCCTTCCAGGTGGTGTTGCCGCCGAGTACCCTGGCCCCGCGGGCCACCGTCCAGTTCTGCTTCTCTTTAGAGCGTGCTCAGCGGCCTTTCGGGGACAGTAATCAAAGGCAAAACTACAGCTGGGTGCCGGGTTCGCCGTCCTGCTCATCAGAATGAAGCCAGGCTCTGTGAGGGCGCACAGACAGACAGGCTGAGGCCTCTGCGCCTGCCTTTTCCACCTGGGCAAAGCGTGATTTCTTGTCCAGGACGCGCGTGTTTCCCATGTCGGGGAACTTTGCTCAATCTGTTTTCTTGCTCCTGAATTCATAATGGGGAAACAGGACTGATTCAACTCCTAGTCCCTGCAGAAGGCCTCGAATGCCTTGCATTCTTCTCTCACTTCCTGACTACAAGGGATGAGGTTTTGCTTTAGGAAGATTCTGGGAATGGAGTCGGGAAACCGAAGAAATGCAAATAAAGTATTTATATGTAATTATTGAAAGGGCTTAGCAGAGAGTGTCTAAGGACCGTGGGTGGTGTGTGCGTGCGCATGTGTGTATGTTTGTGTGTGTATTGCAGAGGTTGGGGAGGGGTTCTTTACGTTAAAGATGGGAGAGAGAACTTTGCCCTTCTACTTTCCTCTCCATCTAGGAAGGGCTACTTTCCTGGTAACTTGAAATAGTCAGGCTTATTCCACTTTTGCCAAAAGGAATGTTCATTAAAGCATCTTCAACAGTTGATATAATAAACACTTTTTCTCCCTCTTCATCATATAAAAGTGTGGGGAGACTCTGTCTCTGTTCATTTCAAAATATGGGTACTTTTAAAAACACTTATTTTCAGTAGTTTAGTACACTTTAATTTTTAATTTTAATTTTTATTATTATTTTTTAGACAGTATCTCCTCATGTTGTCCAAACTGGTCTTGAACTCCTGGGTTCAACTGGTCCTCCTGCCTAAGGATCACTCAGAGTGTTGGGATTACAGGTGTGAGCCATGGTGCCTGGGTACTACTTTTTTTTTTTTTTTTTTTTTGAGATGGAGTCTCACCTTGTCACCCAGGTTGGAGTGCAATGGTGCCATATCAGCTCACTGCAATCTCCACCTCCTGGGTTCAAATTATTCTCCTGCCTCAGCCTCCTGTGTAGCTGCGATTATAGGCACCTGCCACCATGCACTGCTATTTTTTATATCTTTAGTAGAGACGGGGTTTCATCATGTTGGCCAGGCTGGTCTCAAACTGCTGACCTCGTGATCCTCCCACCTTGGCCTCCCAAAGTGCTGGGATTACAGGCGTGAGCCAACACACCCGGCTGCTACTACTTCTTTGAATGCAATTTACCTAGACCCAGAAACCTGACCTTTGCCCCCACGGCCCCCATAGCTCCCCATTATGTATTGATGGTCCGGTATTGAAAGCATCCACTGAAGTGTTTGCCTCCCCCAGGATGGGAGAAAGTGAGGACAAGTTGGCCTTGGACACAGCCGGCCGCAGGCTGGCCACCCCCCTGGAGCTCAGAACATATGGATTAGAATAATATATGTGAATGTGTGCCAAGTATGCCTCTAGCTTCAATTTACAGTGTTCTGAGAGCTTTAGATGTTGGAAGGCTTTAACCTCTTTTCAGGGACTCTTCATTCTTCGATTATTATTCATAGATGACAAATTTTAAATAAAAGATTTCTTTTTGTACACTTTTATCTCTTCTGATACTTGATTTCTTGGACTACATTTTTTATGCCAATGGCAGGTATTGAGGTTGAACAAGCAACATTCACTTTATTTTTTCTTTCTTTCTTTCTTTCTTTTTTTTTTTTTGAGACAGAATCTTGCTCTGTCACCCAGGCTGGAGCGCAATGGCACTATCCTGGCTCACTGCAACCTCTGCCTCACGGGTAAGCGATTCTCCTCCCTCAGCCTCCCGAGTAGCAGGGATTACAGGTGCCTGCCACCATGCCCAGCTAATTTTTGTATTTTTAGTAGAGACGGGGTTTCACCATGTTGGCCAGGCTGGTCATGAACTCCTGACCTCAAGTGATCCACCCAACCTTGGCCTTCCAAAGTGCTGTGATTACAGGCATGAGTCACCCCAACCGGCCACTTCATTTTTTTCCCTAAAGGGCCTGCCCCACCTGACTCTCGAACAAAACAGCCAGGGTGCCCTGCCAGGTGGTTAACAGGGTAAAGGCAGAAGCAGCCAAACACACAGGCTTCCAGGAACAGTGTGGACAGAGCTGCAGCTTCCTCATCTGATAATGGGAGCTATTGCAATCGCTACTGTTTCCCCCTTGCCTTCTAGAAGGCCTGACTCCATTAAGGGTTGATCATGAATAGGGCAGGTGGACTTATAGAGCATGCTGTCAGAGTTGGGGGTTGCTTTCAAATTCAAGCTAGTAAAAATCAACAGAAAAGATGAGTAGCCAGCTGTAGAAGTGACGTACTCCTAAGATGTGTGGTAATGTATTTCTAATGACATTAGAGTTTCTGAAATCCATCTCATCATCATGGCCTAGCACTAGAAAGGGGAAGTGCTGGGAGACCACGTGGACCAGGCGTCACATTTAGAGAGGGTCTGGGACCTAGACTTTTGATACTATCTCCAAATTAAGTTACACATACAACTACAGAGAGAACTAACAGGATTGAAAAAAGATGCTGCTCAGCTGGGCTCAGTGGCTCCTGCCTGTAATCCCAGCACCTTGGGAGGCAGAGGCAGGTGGATCACCTGAGGTCAGGAGTTCAAGATCAGCCTGGCCAACATGGTGAAACCCAGTCTCTACTAAAAATACAAAAATTAGCTGGACATGATGGCAGGTGCCTGTAATCCAAGCTACTCGGGCAGCTGAGGTGGGAGAATCGCTTGAACCCAGGAGGTGGAGGTTGCAGTGAGCCGATATGTCACCATCGCACTCCAACCTGGGCGACAGAGTGAGACTGTCAAGAAAGAAAGAAAGAGAGAGAGGGGGAGGGAGGGAGGGAAAAGGAAAGGAAAGGAAAGGAAGGAAGAAAGACAGAAAGACAGAAAGAAAGGCAGGGAGGGAGGGAAAGAGAGAAAAGAAAGAAGGAAGGAAGGAATAAAGGAAAAAAAGAAAGAAAGATGCTGCTCATCATTCACCTCCAAATTTCACATTTGCATCTCCTAGCTAGAGATGCATCTCATGTTGCCTGCTATGCGCTTTGAAATAATATTTGACATTTTTATAAAACTTTATCTTGTAAGTAGCACAATTGTGTATACTGCCCCTTTTTCTGTTAAAATTGTCAATTTTGGAAATATACACATGTACCATATGCCACAGTTGTAATCTTGTAATTCTTTTTTTTTTTAATGCAGGAATAATCTCAAAAAAATAAAAAGTGGTCAAGGGCTCCCTTGACCTCTGAAAGGTCCAGACGAAGATGAACTAGTCTAATTTATTACAACCTTTCCCATCTAGGTAATGTTAAAATTCAATAAGCTGGGCTGGGCACGGTGGCTCATGCCTATAATCCCAGAACTTTAGGAGGCTGAGGCGGGCAGATCACAAGGTCAGGAGATAAGACCATCCTGGCTAACATAGTGAAACCCTGTCTTTAGTAAAAAATACAAAAAAATTAGCCAGGCATGGTGGCGGGCACCTGTAGTCCCAGCTACTTGGGAGGCTGTGGCAGGAAAATGTCGTGAACCTGGGAGGTGGAGCTTGTAGTGAGCAGAGATCGCACCACTGCACTCCAGCCTGGGTGACAGAGCGAGACTCCGTCTCAAAAAAAAAAAAAAAAATTCAATAAGCTCTGGTATTTTTGCTGTTAAGAATTCCTTTGGGCCACTCAAGGTGGCTCACGCCTGTAATTCTAGCACTTTGAGAGGCCAAGGTGGGAGGATCACTTGAGTCCAGGAGTTCAAGACCAGCCAGGGCAACATGGAGAAACCCTGTCTCTACAAAAAAATAAAAAAATAGCCAGGTGTGGTGGTGCACACCTGTGGTTACAGCTGTTTGGGAGGCTGAGGTGGGAGGATCACCTGAGCCCAGGAGGCAGAGGTTGCAGTGAGCTGAGACTGTACCACGACACTCCAGCCTGGGTGACAGAGTAAGAACTCATCTCAAAACAAAACAAAACAAAAAGAACACCTTCATTTTCTCACATACCCCAAGTATTGTCTATCAAACTTTGTGCATTAAGTAGTAGTTTAGTTTATAATTTTATTCATCAGATGTATGCATAATTTGTCTAGTTTCTGGTAGTCATCACGTAGTTTTCACTCATCCAACAAACATTTATTGAGCAACTACTATATATGCCAATTGGTGATAGAAAGATGAATAAATCAAAATTTACGGTCTGGTTGGGGGACAGACATATGAATAAATAATGAAAGTAAACAATATTAGAGGCACCCAAAGAGAGAATGAGCTCCTGGGGGAATCAGAGAAAACTTTCTGTTGGGGTTGATCTTGAAGTGAGTCATATGAGCGGATATCTGCAAAAAATTACATTTTAGTCTGTTTAAGTATCCTTATTTCAGGTAAATGTGTGAATTCTACTAGACTTTTTGAATTCTTAAAATAATGTACAAGCTCCTGTTTTCTTTCCATGGGAACCCCAGGAAGGCAACTATAGTCTCACGGGAGGTGGTAATGGTAGGTGGGCATGAATTTCAGAAAGTGGGGAGCTGGGCTAAGAGAAATAGTGTATCATGGTCATCCAAGAGGATGGTCGGCTCTGCCAACTTTTATCCACTGCTTGGCAGATGCAAGCAGAACTTTGCGAGTAGAGCCCATTGCCAGAGCCCTGGGAGCCACACATTTCCTCGTTTCTTTTTTAAAAACCTTATAGTAAACAAACAATCAACTAATGTTGATTTGATTTTCCAAGTATGTAGACTTTCCTACTGCTGAAAGTATGAGCTGACCTACTAATTGTATCATTCCAGTTAATTTTGCGTTTTCAATCCTCCCAAAATAATAAATAAGCCTTTTTGTATCAGTGTCCCTTGTTGGTTTGAGTCTCTTAACCAACTTGTCACAATCAATTCATAATAAATTGGCAAAATAGAGTGTGTCGCCCAGGCTGGAGAACAAAGGCGCCATCTTGGCTCACTCCAACCTCCGCCTCCCCAGTTCAAGCAATTCCCCTGCCTCACCCTCCCCAGTAGCAGGCATTACAGGCACCCACCACCACACCTGGCTAATTTTTGTATTTTTAGTAGAGATGGGGTTTCTCCATGTTGGCCAGGCCTTGGTCTTCAACTCCTGACCTCAGCTAATCCACCCATCTTGGCCTCCCAAAGTGCTGGGATTACAGGCATGAGCCACTGTGCCTGGCAGAGTGTGTTTCTTTCAAATTGAAGACTATGGTATAGATCTGGACTGAAACAACCTGTCTTCTTCACTGCTCTTAACTGCCAAGTCTCTCCTTAAGTCTGGGCTTTCTTGTATTCATCCGATCCAACATATGTACCATTCGTATTCTGATGACTCTCAAATTTATTTATTTTTAACTTTTTTTTTTTTTTTTTTTGAGACGGAGTCTCGCTCTGTTGCCCAGGCTGGAGTGCAGTGGCGCAATCTCGGCTCACTGCAAGCTCCACCTCCTGGGTTCACGCCATTCTCCTGCCTCAGCCTCCTGAGTAGCTGGGACTACAGGTGCCTGCTACCACGCCTGGCTAATTTTTTGTATTTTTAGTAGAGACGGGGTTTCACCGTGTTAGCCAGGATGGTCTTGGTCTCCTGACCTCGTGATCCGCCTGCCTCGGCCTCCCAAAGTGCTGGGATTACAGGCATGAGTCACCGCGCCCGGCCTTTTTTTTTTTTTTTTTTTTTTTTGAGACATGGTTTCACTCCAGTAGTCCAGGCTGGAATGCAGTGAAGCAATCTCACTCACTGCATCCTCGACCTCCTGGACTCAAGTGATCCTCCCACCTCAGACTCCCAAGTAGCTGAGACTACAGGCTCCTGCCACCATGGCTGGCTAATTTTTTTTTTTTTTTTTTTAGAGAGAGGGTTTCACCATATTGCTCAGGCTGGTCTTGAACTCCTGGGTTCAAGCGATCTGCCTGCCTCGGCTTCCCAAAGTGTTGGAATTACAGGCATAAGCCACGATGCCCGGCCTGACTCTCAAATTTATATCACTAGCTGAAGCTCTCCTCCCAACTCCAGACTTAAAAAAATTGAGAGTAGAATTACCATACGATTGGGCAATCCCACTTCAGGGTAGATACACAAAATAATTGAAAGCAGGATCAATCCCAAATGTCCGTCAACGACAAATAGATAAAGAAAATGTGGTATACAAATACAATGGGGCCAGGCGCAGTGGCTCATGCCTGTAATTCCGGCACTTTGGGAGGCTGAAGTGGGTGGATAACTTGAGGTCAGGAGTTCGAGACCAGCCTGACCAACATGGTGAAACTCCATCTCTACTAAAAATAAAATTAAAAAAAAAAATTAGCCAGGCATGGTGGCGCATGCCTGTAATCCCAGCTATTTGGGAGGCTGAGGCAGGAGAATCTCTTGAACCCAGGAGGCGGAGGTTGCAGTGAGCCAAGATCATGCCATTGCACTCAAGCCTGGGAAACAAGAGCAAAAACTCCGTCTCAAAATAAACATACATACATACAATGGAATATTAGCCCTAAAAAAAAGGGAACTCTGACACATGCTACAACATGGATGAATCTGGAGGACACTGTGCTAAGTGAAATAAGCCAGTCACAAAAAGACAAAATCCGACTATTTATATGAGGCAGACTACTTGAACTCCCATTAGCAGAACGTAGAATGGTAGAATGGTTGTTACTGGGGGTAGAGAGAAGAGAAATGAAATTTTTTTTTAATGGGCATAGAATGTCAATTTTTTTTTTTTTTTTTTTTTTTTAGAGATTGGGTTCCCCCATGTTTCCCAGGCTTGGTCTCAAACTCCTGGGCTCGAGCAATCCACTTGCCTCAGCCTCCCAAATAACTGGAATTACAGGCATTAGATACCATCCCCAGCCTTGATGGAAATTTCTGAAGATTCATAATAATGAAAATATATTTAACACCACTGAACTGTACACTTAGAAATGATTAAGATGGGCCAGGCCCAGTGGGTCATGTCAGTAATCCCAGCACTTTGGGAGGCCAAGGTGGGTAGATCACCTAAGGTCAGGAGTTCAAGAGCAGCCTGGTCAATATGGTGAAAACCCATCTCTACTAAAAATGCAAAAATTATCTGGGCATGATGGCGCGCACCTGTAGTCCCAGCTACCTGGGAGGCTGAGGCAGAAGAATCACTTGAACTGGGAGGCAGTGGTTGCAGTGAGGCGAGATCTCACCACTGCAGTCCAACCTGGGCCACAGAGTGAGACTCCGTCCCCTCTCCCCTCCACCAAAAAAATTAGCCAGATGTGGTGGTGCATGCCTGTAATCCTGGCTACTCGGGAGACTGAGGTGAGAGGATCGCTTGGACCTGGAGGCGGAGGTTGCAGTGAGCTGAGATTGTGCCACTGTACTCCAGCCTGGGCAAGAGAGTGAGACTCCATCTCAAAAAAAAAAAAAAAAGAACTGATTAAGATGGTATAATAAATTTTAGGTTCTACGTATTCTACCACAATTGAAAACATTTTTTAAAAATAATATTTATTTTACTTTCTTTGGCTTTTTATTTTGGTGCTTGGAAATGAGCATTGATGTTGCTGGTTGTGCAGTCGACAGTTAGGGATTCACCTCTTAATGAATGGCAAACTCTTTGTAGATGTTAAAGTTGACTTTGGAAGGAAGATAAGTTGTACGGCACAGGCATGGTACTCTCCTGGGGAAAGGGGTTCTTCCCAGGCTCACAGCACTGTGCACCATGTACAGAGCACACATTTTGGGGAAATGCCCTCATACTATGAATGAATTCAAAGTTAGTATGGGGTAGGATCTAAATCTTGTGATCTCTTTCTTCTAAAGGACTACCCTTCATCAGGTTTTAAAAATTACTCCTATAATTTCTGCAGTATGAGTTTTTTCATTCTAGAATGTGAAAATACTGCCAACAATAATCTAAAGACAGCCCATATTCACAGCGACAAGAAGTTCAGTGTTGGCTATAGCTCGGTCATGCTATGGGCAGGAGGCCTTCTCTAAAGATAAGTCTGCTTTGTGTCAAGCATTTCAAGCATGACTTGCTTGTTTCATCTGCCCATTTACATTCCTTGTACCTAGAAATGAATGTGATAAAAGTTTTGGTGCCTACAGGAACTATATTTACCTAGTTCATGTTGGCTTCCCACTCAGAGGGAAGTTTGATTGCCTTCCTGCACTTGAGAAGTTTAGAGAATGTGCCAGTGAATGTGCACACTCACAAGGTGTGTGTGTGTATCAGTGTTAATACCCAACAATTGAGCCTACTATTTGCTTGGGCAAAGAACACCATTTTCTCTTGAGCCTCTAATATGTGTGAAATATTTTAAGATTTCAATATTATGTACAAAGAACTAGTAGATGGTAAGAATTGTGAGAAAATATAACCATGAGAACACAAAGAGAGTACAGCAGATGAGTGGGCTACTTCCAAGACTGGTTCTGGGGGCAGAAAAGGAGACCAGACGAAGGACTCCAAAGAGCAGTTGAGATCCTGGTGGCCACTTTAAATCCCTATCCCTAGCACTGTGGAGAACACAACACAAAAATGTATGATGTCTGGTTTCTTCTTCTTTTTTTTTTTTTTTTCTGAGATGGAGTCTCCCTCTGTCGCCCAGGCTGGAGTGTAGTGGTGCGATCTCAACTCACTGCAACCTCCGCCTCCTGGGTTCAAGCAAGTCTCCTGCCTCAGCCTCCCGAATAGCTGGGATTACAGGTGCGCACCACCACGCCCGGCTAATTTTTGTATTTTTAGTAGAGACGGAGAGACGGGGTTTCACCATGTTGGTCAGGCTGGTCTCGAATGCCTGACCTCGTGATTCCCCCGCCTCAGCCTCCCAAAGTGCTGGGATTACAGGGGTGAGCCACCGCGCCCGGTGGTTTCTTCTCTTATGGAATTTAATGTCGTTGACGATTAGACGTGGCCATGCATTACTCAATCTTGAATTGGGATCCCCAAAAAAGCTGGGCGAGTAACAAGGGCTCAATGAATGGATAAGTGATTGAGTTAATAAATACGTGATCAGTTCCAAATGGGTAACATTTAGTTATATTTGGTGGAGATAAGTAGTCCAGTGTTTTGGAGCTAAGTGGTTATTCTTTTTTTTTTTTTTTTTTTTGAGTTTGGGTCTCGCTCTGTCACACAGGCTGGAGTATAGTGCCACAATCTCAGTTCACTGCAACATCTGCCTCCTGGGTTCATGCAATTCTCCTGTCTCAGCCTCCCGAGTAGCTGGGATTACAGGTGCGTGCCATCACCCCCGGCTAAATTTTGTATTTTTAGTAGAGACGGGGTTTCACCATGTTGGCCAGGCTGGTCTCAAACTCCTGGCCTTAAGTGATCTGTCCGCCTCTGCCTCCCAAAGTGCTGGGATTACAGGCGTGAGCTACCCGCGCCCCGCTCCCCCCACCATTTTTTTTTAATTTTCAAAATTTTTGTAGAAGTGGGGGTCTCGTTACGTTGCCCCGGCTAGTCTCAAACTCCTGGCCTCAAGCGATCCTCCTGCTTTGGCCTCCCAAAACGCTGGGATTACTGGCGTGAACTACCATACTCTGCCCTTTATTCTTACAGAGATTTTGAGGTCTAAGAATGTGGACTTTAAAGATTTCATTATCAGATTATGCATTTAGCACGGAATGACAATCTGACAGCCGTGTACAGCGTAAACCGGCGGAGAGGGCTTGGCACTAAAGGCAAACTGTCTTTTAAGAACAGGAAAAAGAAAGGTAATATATATTTTAAGGAGGTCCCATTTTAGGGGAGATAATAAGCTTGGGTTAGGCGTCCGAAGTCAGAAGATATAGTAAGAAACACACACGCAAACTCCAGCAGCCACCAGCTAGACTTGAGTAGAGAGAGCAGGTCCAAGTGGAGGTGGAAGTTGGAAAGTTGCATCTGCCAGGCAGGGCGAAAGTGGCCTACACCCACTCCTGGAGCACCCTGCTTGACGAGCAAGGTAGACGAGGCTGAGGGATACTGCTGGTGATGACGGTGGTCGTGGTGATGGTGCTGGTAGCTAACAGATCTTGAGCGTACCAGGCCCTGAGCTGAGTCCTCTAACGGGCAGAATGTCGCTGCATACGGACAGCAGCCTCAAGAGGACAAGGTGATTTAGTGACTCTAGCCTCTTCCCGCGGTGCCAGCCTGATTTCACCCTCTCCGGAACACACAAGCGAACCTCCGGGGAGGGAGCCAGTATCGGGTCCTAACGCAGGGAAGCGCTCCGCTTTCTGAGAGGGACGCGCCAGCGGAGGGACAGCCAGGGCCCGGCCTCTCCTGCTCCTGCCCCGCCCCGCCCCCGGCAGTGCCCCCTAGTCCGCCAGAGGGCGACTCCGCGGGTCGCCCAACCCGCGACCGGTCCACGCGGCACCCGCCTCTCCCTAGGCCCCCGCCCTGCCGGCCCGCGCGCGCCCGACGGGAGCGTGCGGGGCGGTGGGCGCAGGGTCACGTTGGGCGGCGCAGACAAAGGCGGGCGCGCGCACGTCCTGACGCAGCTTGGGCCCGCGGCGGCGGCAAGGGCGGGAGGGAGCGGTCGCCGCGGGATTTGGAGCTGCCTAGCCTCGCGGTCGGTGAGTAGGAGGGAGCTGGCCCCTTACCTCAAAGTCTCCGACCTCCGGGGAGCCGAGAGCGGGACGTGGGAGCCGGGCTTGGGCGGCCGCGCGGGGCCTGCGGTCTGGGACGCCCCGGCGACGCTGCGCCGGCGTCAGGAGGCACCATCGCCGCGCCCCGGGGATCCCCGGCGGGTGGAGCGGGTGCCCCCCGTCCGGGATGGAACGGTCCGCGCCCGCCCCGAACCCCGGCCGCCCGCCTCTCCGCTCGCCTGCTCTCCGAGCCCGGCTCCTCGGAGCCCCTCGCCTCCCCCAAGTCCCAGGTGTGCGCAGCCCTCCCGCCCCGGGAGTCCGGGGATGTGGGTGGCGAGGGCTGCTGGGCGTTGGAGCACCAGGAAGCGCCTTCCCCTGTCATTCCCCTTCCTGTGTTCTCTGGCTGCCGTAAGATGCATGTCTTTACCCTCTCCTTCTCCAAATGCATGCTCCCATTTTTCTTTAGGATTTCTTAACTCCTGAAATCCCTTGCCTTTCCTTTTTTATTTCAGCACCCTCTGAGGCATCCTTCTCCCAGTGGGGCTTGTTTATTTCCTCGCTTTCCATGTCACAGAGGGCTGAAGTTTAGCTGTTCAGAAGTTGCAGAAAATAGCTTATAGGAGACATACGGTGTAGCACGATGGAAATAAGTTCCATCCTCTGCCAAGTATTACCATGGATCTTCTCATGGATAACCTTGAGGTCATTTGAGGAATTTTGTTTTTGGTTCATTTTCCTTAATTTTGGCTGAACTTTGAGGAGCTCTCCTTAGTTTCATGTCTTGTAGATTCTATCTCAATCCAAGGGAAATGGTGTGAAGAGCAGTTATACCATACCAAAGTCTCCAGACAAAATCCTGTAATAATGCCAATCAAATATACTTCTCTCTTTGAAAGAGATGTGCTTTTCTTTTCTTTTTTAACTTTGTATTTTGGAGAATTTCAGACACAGGGAAATAGATGGAATAGGGAACCAGCATGTACTTGTTCTGGCCTCCTCAGCCACTTAACTGTGGCTATTCCTGTGCCATACACACCCCACCCATTTCCCCTCCCGTATGTCTCAGGGAGAACTTGATGCAAGATGAGTCTGTCAAAAGTAGCTTCAGTTCCATAATGAAAACCACCATACCAAGTCATAAGGTGCTTTTTGTTTTGGAACACAGCCTACTCATGAGGTCTTCAGCTAAGAAACACAGTAGAGTTGAAGAAAGAGCACAGCAAAAGGTATCTTAACATGATAGAACAGGTTAAAAGAAAAAGTATGGCCGGGCGTGGTGACTCACGCCGGTAATCCCAGCACTTTGGGAGGCCGAGGCGGGCGGATCACCTAAAGTCAGGAGTTCAAGACCAGCCTGGCCAACATGGTGAAACCCTGCATATACTAAAAATACAAAAATTAGCCGGACGTGGTGGCAAGTACTTGTATTCCCAGCTACTCGGGAGGCTGAGGCCGGAGAATCGCTTGAACCCAGGAGGCAGAGGTTGCAGTGAGCCAAGATTGCGCCGCTGCACTCCAGCCTGGGCGACAGAGCGAGACTCGTGTCAAAAAAAAAAAGAAAAGAAAAAAAGTGTTTCAGATCTGGATGAGAACATTCGGAACGTCCTGTTCAATGTTTTCATTTTTTTCTGAGCCCTTGGAGGTCCAGAGAAGTTCAGTGACTTGTCCAGAGCTGCAGGTCTTAAGAGGCTGAAATCTCGCCTCTGCCTCGAGGCTGCGGTTCCACTGACCCATACTACTTGCCTTCAGGAAAGAGAAATGGTGTAGGAAGGCTGTGGATGAAGACGCTTACATTCATGAAGGATTTGGATAGGCGAACATGAGCTTTTCCACCAAATTTCAGAATTTTAAGAAATGCCTTAAATTATTTCTTAAAAATCAATTTGGGGCAGACGAGAAGTTCTGATAATAGTTTTTAGGGAACATGATAAAATTCTGACCTTAGAAGTGGTATACCAGTTTGAGAAGAAGAACAAGCTATAAACGGTGTAGATAACATTCACGGCTATTTAAGAAAGAGTTACTAAGGGAAACCAGAATGACTTAAGAGTGTTACTCTTCTTTTTCTGAGAGAACAATAGCATCATCTCAGAAAGCCTTTCATGCCATTAATAGGTAAGAATCTGGGCTTCTTGGACCATGGGTTAGACTTTCTTACAAAACCATAATATGCATTTCCTAGCAAAATTTATGCTATTACATTTCCTTATCTCAACAAAGACTGGTAAATTCAGTACTTATTCCTCAATTTTCCTACCCTTAAAATGGGGATATTCTGCCTCTCCAAGGAATGCTGGGAACAAGCAAGTCCTCATGTTAGGGGTCTTTGAGTTTTCATGGAAGTTTAGGTTATTTATATGATGACATAGTTGTCAACTTACTTTCAGGATGGACTTTTCTTTTGTGAGTTTGTGACCTAAATACAATAGTTGTTATGCATGTCCAGTTTATGGAAGTACCACTGCAATAACAGCATTTGAGTGTCATGGTAAATCATTACCCCTAAAGATAGAGGAGGGAGGAGGAGGCAACTGTTGTGTGTCTATTTTGTGTTTGGTGTGAGGAGTGTTGTGGCTAGGCTCTTCAGAGGCTAGCCTAACTTGCTAAGTGGTTTCTGCTAAAGAAAAACCCACTTTTCTTGTGTGTGCTTGTCACCACAAGTTAGCTTTTATTAAAAACAAAACAAAACTCTCTAAGCTATCTGGAGATGATTTGGCCCTGGTTAAACATGAACTGTACTGCAGAATTGTTTGTTTGGGTAAAGTAGAACCTCATTATGACGTGTCTTTTACTTCCTACTGTGTCATTGTGCTCATGGAGAGAACTTGACGGAATATCATCCGTTCCATGTATCACTAAACCATGTAATAGCGTACACTATGATTAAGGCTTTTTAAGAGAATAGAATTTTAGAGTTAGAAGGAGTCTTCCAAGTGCTTAGAGTTTCCCCTGAGTCCTTTAATGTACTTTTTCACCTTTAAAACACATGCAGACACGTACACATGCCACACAAACACAGAGTCTCATCTAGGGCTCTCTTCATTTTGCCTTGTACAATCTTAGTATGTTTGGATCCCACCTCCAGTTAATTTGTAAACCGAAGATCTGCAATAATAGAAAAATGCTTTGTAAAACAGGAGCGTAATACATTTGCACTTGACTTTTATTTATTTATTTTATAGAGATGGTCTTGATCTGTGGCTCAGGCTGGAGTGCAGTGGCATGATCAAGGCTCACTGCACCCTCAGCCTCCCTGGCTCAAACGGTCCTCCCGCCTCAGCCTCCCAAAGGGTCGGAATTACAGACATGAGCCACCATGCCAGGCCTTTGTTGACTTTTTTTTTTTTTTTTTTTTTGAGACAGAGTCTTGCTCTGTCGCCCAGGCTGGAGTGCAGTGGCGCAATCTCGGCTCACTGCAAGCTCCGCCTCCCGGGTTCACACCATTCTCCTGCCTTAGCCTCCTCAGTAGCTGGGATTACAGGCGCCTGCCACCACGCCCGGCTAATTTTTTTTTTGTATTTTTTAGTAGAGACAGGGTTTCACCGTGTTAGCCAGGATGGTCTCGATCTCCTGACCTCGTGATCCCCCCGCCTCGGCCTCCCAAAGTGCTGGGATTACAGGCGTGAGCCATCGCACCCGGCCGACTTGTTTGAATTAAAAAAAAAAAATGATCAGGAAGCTTAAATCAAGGGAAGTTCAATGATTTTTTTTTTTTTTTTTTTTTTTTTTTTTTTTGGAGACTGAGTCTTCCTCTGTCGCCCAGGCCTGAGTGCGGTGGCGAGATCTCGGCTCTCTGCAACCCTCCACCTCCTGAGCTCAAATGATTTCCCTATCTCCCAAGTAGCTGGGATTACAGGCATGCGCCACCACGCCCAGTTAATTTTTGTATTTTTAGTAGAGATGGGATTTCACCATGTTGGCCAGGCTGGTCTCGAACTCCTGACCTCAGGTGATCCACCCACCTCAGCCTCCCAAAGTGCTGGGATTACAGGCGTGAGACACTGCACGTGGCCGAAGCTGAATGATGTATTCAGGGACACATAGACTAGACAGTAAGAGTTGCACCTAGAACCTAAAGGCAGTCCTGGTTCCAGATCTAAGCCCTTTCTGCTGTACCATTTTCTTCACCTTGGAGAAATAGGGTGGGAAAGTATACACACACACACACACACACACACACACACACATCTTTCTTTCTTTCTTTGCCAGTTGAAGATACATTATTTTGAGTCTCCTTTAAAAATTTTTGATCAGTGCTGTCCCATAGAAATATTATATATGCTATATACACAATTTTAAATTTTATAATAATGCTTTTTTAAAAAGCACAAAGAAATAGATAAGGTTGATTTAATCATTCCACAAGGGGAGGGAGAGAGAGAGAGTGTGTGTGTGTGTGTGTGTGGGTGTATCTCAAAACATCACATTGTGCTCCATACATATGTAAAATTATGTATCAATTTTTAAGAAATTGACAAACAGTAATTTTACGTATTTATAGTGTACAGTAATATTTGCCCACATGGATAGAATGTGTAATGATAAAATCAGAGTATTTAGGATATCCAGCACCTGAAACATACATCATTTCTTTGTGTTGGGAACATTTCAAATCTACTTAACATTTCAAATTAAAATATACAAGAAATTGGCCTGACGTGGTGGCTCATGCCTGTAACCCTAGCACTTTGGGAGGCCAAAGTGGGTAGATCACTTGAGGTCAGGAGTTTGAAATCAGCCTGGCCAACATGATGAAACCCCTTCTCCACTAAAAATACAAAAAAAACTAGCCGGCTGTGGTGGCCTGTGCCTGTAATCCCAGGTATGAGGGAGGCTGAGGCACGAGAATTGCTTGAACCTGGAGGCAAAGGATGCAGTGAGCAGAGATCGCACCACTGCACTCCAGCCTGGGCCACAAAATGAGACTGTCTCAAAAAAAAAATAATATATATATATGTACAAGAAATTGGTAACTATAGTCATCCTACTTTGCTATTGAATACTGGAACTCATTCGTTCCATTTAAGTTTTTTTTTTCTATCCATTAACCAAGCTCTCAACGTCCACCCTTCCCAGCTGCTGGTATCTATTATATTCTACTGTCTATGAGATCATTTTTAGCTCCTATATATTGACTTTGATTTGAAAGTCAATTTAAATTTTTTTAAAAAAATTGTATAAAGTAGAAACAGGTGAAAATAATTTTAACAATATATTTTATTTAACCTAGTTTATCCAGAATATTACTTTGAAACATAATCAATATAAAAATTATTAATGGGATATTTTACATGCATTTTTTTCATGCTAAGTCATTGAACTCCAGTGTGCATTTTACATTCACAACACATTTTAAGTGCTCCAAGGTCACACGTGGTTAGTGGCTGCTCTGTTGGACTGCAGAGAATCACTGTCAGTGGAACATAAAGATGAAGGAATGTTTTATTTTGCTTAGTAATGTTCAGGTCTGAGGTTAGAGTTTGTGGTTGTGGTCATTGGTTTTTTCTTTCATGTTTTAGTGATTTTCTTTGCACAATTAGAAGTATTTTGAATTTGCAGAGAGATGAACAAAAAAGTCTGCTGTCACGAATTTGTGCGCTTGTGATGAAAAGGTTTCATTTTTTAAGACAGGGTCTTGCTCTGTTGCTCAGGCTGGAGTGCAGTGGCACTGTCATGGCTCACTGCAGCCTCAGCCGACTGGACTCAGGTGATCCTCCCACCTAAGCCTCCCAAATAGCTGGGATTACAGGAATGCACCACCACGCCCAGCTAATTTGTGTATTTTTAGTAGAAATGGGGTCTCTCCTTGTTGTCCAGGCTGTTGTTGAACTCCTGTCCTCAAGTGATCCGCCCACCTCGGCCTCCCAGAATGCTGAAATTACAGGTGTGAGCCACTGCGCCTGGCCAGTGATGTGTGTAAATTTAAAAGACTGTATTGGTGAAGATGTGGAACAAGTGAGACTTCCCTACGCTGCTAGTGGGAATACAAAATGGTACAACCCATTTTGGAATTTGTCATTCCACTCCTAGGTATTTACCCAAGAGAAATGAAGTATATGTCCATACAAAGACTTGTAGATAGCAGTTTTATTTGTAATAGCCTCAAACTGGAACAACCTTAGTGTCCATCAGTAGGGGAATGGATGAAGAAACGGGTATATCCATATACTGGAATACAGCTCAGCAATCAAGAGGAATAAACTGTTGACACATGCAGCAACATGGATGGTTCTCAGTATAATTATGCTGAGTGAAGTAAATTGGATAAAAAGATTTTTTGAACAAGAAAAAGGCCAGGAAGTTGCTTCTAATTACATATGCAGTACTCAGATTTCAAGAACTGGTATTGAAATTGAGCCATCAGAGCAGTGTTCAGGTCGAATAATGAATTGTCTTGGGTCTTAAAGCTCCAGCAAATCAAATTGTCATCATCAAAATAGCCTCTTTTTTTTGGTTTTGTTTTCTGTTTTTTGTTTTGCCAGCTTCAAGAGATGGTTCCGTTGCTTTGGGGTGAACTTGGTACCAGTGCCGTGTTACTTATCCAGTTCTAACTCAAGAAAGTTCTGGAGGGCATAATGATCTTAGATAAGACCAAGGCCCCGAACCTGACCATGTTCTGTCTTCTCTGTGAGTTGAATCATCCTTTGGCCAGTTGGATCCTGGCTTTGTCTTGGGTAATTTATTTTATCCAGGATTGATGCCAGCTATGTGTGTTCTGGGTTTTTAGCACTTCAGGTTCATGTCAACTGAGTCGCTCTGAGAGCTGCCCTGTTTGGAAACATGCAGTTTCCCCACTAAGCAACAGCTTCCTATTCAAGCAAATTTCTTACACTCTACCAGTCCCGATACACTCGACGTTAAATTCAGCGTAGCACACATTTCCTCATGCCTGTGTGTGCGTGTTTGTTTACATTACAGTTGGGGCATTTGGTGGGCCTATGTATGTTCTGACAGTAAACTAGGAGAAATGGATGCTTTTTTCTGAATTGTAATCCACCCTAAAGCAAGTGAGGAGTCAGCCTGGGAAGCAAGAAGTGCACTCGACTGGACATCAGATGGGCGTGTTAGTCCTGCCTCTGTTACCAGCCATTCCGTAACTTGTCCCCATCATCAAACCCTTCCGAGGCTCGGTTATTTGAGCCATAAAATGAAGACATTGGGCTAGAATTCTGAAAGATTAACTACTAAAGTTGTGGTTTGTCATCATTTTATTATTATTGCCTCCAGCTTTATGGTGATGATTAGTAGTAGAAGCTTCTATTTATAGAGGATTTTGTGCCAAGCACTACACTGATAGCTTGATAGGCATCATGTTCAGTCTTGACAACAATACCACAGGATATGTATTATTCCCAATTTACAGATGAGAAAACTGAAGCATGGAATGTGACTTTTTTGAGGTCAGACAGCCAGAAGGTAGGGGAGGCTGGTTTTGAATGTAGCTTGTCTGATTCCCTGTATGTTTGGCCATCATGCTTTACTGCTTCCCTGACATTCTGCAATTTTAAATAAAGACGTAAGGACAAAAAACTTGTTTCAGGAAGGATTTTTAAAAGACATCCAGTCTAATCACCATAATGTATCTGCCACTCTGCAGAATGCAGTTGTAGGTGAAGGTCTCCCTATGCAGCCTATTCTTTTTGAACAACTTAATCTTAGATTCTTTTAAAAATAGCTTTATTGAGATACAATTCACCTAATGAAAGTATGTTCACAGATGTGTATAGTCATCAACAGAGTCAGTTTTAGAACATTTTTGTCACCTCAGAAAGAAACGTTTTAGCTATCACTCTTGTATCTCCCCACTCTCGCCAGCTCTAAAGTAACCAACAATCTACTTTCTGTCTGTGTAGATTTGCCTATTTTGTATAAGTGGAATCAATATGTGGTCTTTTCAATGGGTTTCATTCACTTAGTATGATGTTTTGAAGATTCATCCATGTTATAGCGTGTATCATTTCTTCATTTTTATGGCCAAAGGTTCCATTGTATGGATACACCACATTTTGTTTATCCAGTCATCAGTTGATGGACATTTTGGTTGTTTCCGTCTTTTGGCTGTTCTGAATAATGCCATTGTAAGCATTCATGTGCAATTTTTTTGGTGTAGACAGTTTGTCTTTCTCTTGGGTATGTACTTAGGAGTAGAATTGCGAGGTACATGGTAACTTTGTTTAACCATTCTCCGAGCTGCACTGTCTTACATTCCCACCACCAAAGTGTGAGGGTTGGATTCTTAGTATTGAGCTAGAATTTGCACCCCATACCTGCCAACCATAGCACCAGTTCCCTTGCTTCATGTGTCCCAAGCAAATCCGCTTTTTCTAGGTGACAGCCAGCCCGGTCTGACCTGAGTGCTCTCCAGTACTGAAGGGCTTCCACCAGCTTTCATGCCCTGGGATGTCGTTCTAGAGCCTCACCACCTCTCTTATGAATGTGATCCCCCTCCTTTTTTTAGAGAACTAGATGCCTTTTACGTATGGATAATTTGTGCTCAGAGATGGTTGTCTTCTCAGTTTCAGTTGTCCTTTCTCAGTTAACTGGTAAGAACCCTTAACCCAGTAGTCTCAACTGGCTCCACATCAGAATCGCTCGAGTGTGTTAAGAACAAATCCAGATTGTACCTGCAGAGATTCTAATTTATTTCATCTGGGCTGAGGCCCAGAGATGCAAATAAGCATCCTGGGTGGAGAACCAGTGCAGCCTTTAGTGGCCAGGGGATGGTTCTGGCTGGGTCTCTGAGGGCCCACGTGGCTCATGCCCCTGCCATCTGTGCATGGATACCAACTGTCCTGATTCAGAATTACTGTGAGAGTCTCAGTTTTTACTAATGCATTTACACAGAGTGCCATTTTGAAGCCTTAAGCATTTATGTTCCTGTTTTCTGGAGAGTCTCATTTGCCCCCAGTATGCTCTGCAGACACTGGCTGTGGCCATGTTTGCCTCCCTGTCAGGCCATGTGAACTTTCTGAATGAGAAAGCATGCTCCAGCCATTTCAGAGGCATATAAACACCTTTAGGCAAAAGTGGTAGTTGAAAACCTCATTAGTATAATGTCATTACTTCTTGGGAAATACATTCAAATTCCCCTTCTCCTTCCTAGTGACAGGGGCTTAGATGAATAGTATTCCATTATATCCTCTATTGGGAGACGTTGATGTTTGTTTTGATATTACAGACAATGCCGCAGTCAGTATCCCAGCACATATTATCACTTTGCTCATGCTTTAAAATACAGGGTTTATACACTTCTGCACTACTGACATTTGGGGCTGGACAGTTCCTCATTGTGTGGGAGCTGTCCTGTGCATTGTAAGATGTGCAGCATCATCTCTGCCCTGCGCACTGCACTAGATGCCAGTAGTAGCACTCCCATCCCAAGTCGTGACAGCCAAAAATCCCTGTAGATATTGCCAGATGCTCCCCAAGGGGGTAAAAAAATCACCCTTGGTTGGGAACCACTGGTCCGATTTATCCTTAGGATACATTTCTAGAAGTGGAATTGCTGGATCTAAGGTTACATACATTTAAAATTTTGATGACAGTCGCTAAATTGTTCTTTGTAGAGGTTGAACCCTTTTTACACTCCAACCAGCAGTATTTGAGGATGTTTTTCCATTCTCACCAGTGCAGTGGTTTATCAGAATTTCTTTGCCATCTCACTGTAGTTTCAATTCGAATTTCTCCATTTTACGACTAACCTTTTTATTGAACACTTCCTGCTTGCTAGGCAAGTTGTGTTTTTTGGCCTGTGGATTTTGTGTCATACGTTATAATGCTTTCCTTTCTAAGCCTTTTTGAAGTTTGGTACCTAGGACTGAAGACTGAGTTTCTTCTGATTCTAATGAAATGATAATATATACCATTCATTGAGATCTAACATGTGACAGGCATTGTGCTTGGTGTGCTCTAAAAATACGTGCATTCTTTTGTGATCTAAGCATGTATTAATAAAGTGGCCTTTCTTTTACCTTTTGAGTTGGCACAGGGCCTCTGTCTGCACATATTCTAGCAGTTATGGTCCCTGAGTTGGGATGTGTCACAGAGAGCCGACTGAAAAGTATTTGATTCTGCATTTAGGAGTGATAATAGTCCCAGTCCAATACCTTGTGATTGGGAGAGAATTGGTATAGATGCCTTGATTTAAATTAAGTTCTGTTCTGTTCTGTTCTTTTTTCTTTTCCTTTTCCTTTTCCCTTTCCTTTTCTCTCTTCTCTCTTTTCTCTTCTTTTCTTTTCCTTTTCCTTTCCTTCTGTTTTGTTTTCTTTTCCAAGAGTGTATTTTCCTTGTCAACAGTCATCATAGTTTGAAATTACAACTTTTTGTGTGCTTGTTTCCGGATGGGCATATCTTTTCACCGCTGAACAACAGCTAACACCTGATGTACTGTCTGGCACACACTGTGTGCCCAGTGAGTATTTGTTGAATGAATGAACTAGTCACTCCAAGAACTGAGGCCATTAGGGAGCCTAAAGGCCCAGATTTGCCATTCCATGGGTTGAAGAGTTAGGTTAGCTTAGTGATGGGCTCTGTTGCCTTCCTGGAATGGAGGCAGCTTCCTTCCTAAAAGACTCAGAACTAGCTGATTCTCTGGAATGTTTGGCCTGTGGGGGAACGTTGGCCCTGATGATTCTGGGTGAGTTTGGTTGGAACCCATCTGTGGACGTTGAGGGAATAAGTGAATATTCCTCTGAATGAATGGCTTCCCCAGCTCACATTCTTAAGGGGTCATGCTTATATTTACTTGAGGCAAAGTGATAGCCTCTCGTAAAAGAACGGTTATCTAGAAATTGTGGTTTGATTGAGTTCTGATGTGAACAGTTTTGATATTTCTAGACATCAAAGTCTGTATTAAGGGGACCTTAAGCCACCAGTTACCTCTGGCTTTAATGATTTTTCAGTTTCCAAACACTACCGATTTGATAAACTCAGTTGGCTTGCTCTTTCCTCTACTTCTAAGAATTTGTGTGAGTGTTGTTTAGTGTTGGCCAAATAACTTGTTAGGCCAGTTTGGTGTTCTCTGTCCTGGAGGCTGGCATTCAGCAAAAGGAACTCGGGGTGGGGTGTGGCGGGATGGGATGGGGTGGGATGGGATGGGACTGGGAGAGCCAGCAGGGGGCCTCTGAGCGGAGGAAAGACTAGCAAGGTCATGAGTGCAGACTCTTCCTATAAGGGGCAGATAGTGAGTATTTTAGGGTCTGTATCTGTAAGGGGCAGATAGTGAGTATTTTAGGGTTTTTCAAATCTTCTTTGTTTTTTGCATCTGTTTAAAAGAGTCTAAGAATGTAAAAACTCATGAGTCTTTGTGAAAAAGACTGTAGCCAGATGTGGGCTGTGACTGGCCAACCCCTGAACTAGGTGAAGAAATTGGTTTATTGCTGCAGGTGTTTACTGGTTTGGGGACATGAACCCAGAATAACCTTGGGAATTCTTAGCTATGATCCTTAGAGGAGTGATCTACACTCTGGCATGGGGGTCAAAGTGACCCTGGTGTCAATCACCTTGGGTCTGTGGAACTCAGGGTAACCCTGGCCAGTAGGACAGAGGCCCTTGCTGCCTCTTTCCCATGGCAGTGCTGTCCACAGGGAGTGGAGAGACAGCAATGGTGGAGGAAAGGAGATGTTGCCCTGGACAGGCCTGAGAACTTCGGTAACTCAGGTTCCTGAACTACCTCTAGAACACGGTTAGAAAACTGGCATGTACGAGCGTTTATCAAAACACAAGAGCGTGTCTGTATCTTGGATTCTGAGACCACCACCAAATTCTGATAATGGAGTCCAGATCTTGATGGTTTTCTCTAATCACAAGTTCTGTAGAGCAGGCTGGCTTGCTACTTCTTTTTTTTTTTTTTAAAGAGTCCCATTCTGTCACCCATGCTGGAGTCTTCCCAGGTTCAAGCAATTCTCCTGCCTCAGCCTCCTGAGTAGTTGAGATTACAGGCATGCGCCATGATGCTTGGCTAATTTTTGTATTTTTAGTAGAGATGGGGTTTCACCATGTTGGCCCGGCTGGTCTCAAACTCCTGACCTCAGGTGATCCACCTGCCTCAGCCTCCCAAAGTGGGATTACAGGCATGAGCCACTGTGCCCGGCCAGTGCTACTTCATTTTAAAGCATGTAGTTTGGGAGACAGGAAGAAGTAGGGGTTACAGAGCAGGGGCCTGGAGACGAATGCTCTTGTCCTGCTTCCAACTCTCTGCAGCCCTGGGTAACTTGAGTCCCTTAATCTTCCCAACCTCAGTGTCCTCACCTGTAGATCAGGATGACAATGACTCCACCGTACAGCCATCGTGAGGATTACTTGAGGGTGGTATATGTGAAATGCTCCTTAGCGCAGTGCTGGGCATGTTGTAAGCACTCAGTCAATGTTAGCAATCGCAGTGACAGTGTGAAAGTGGAAGGAAATGTAAGAAGTGGCCATCAGAACTAGGAACTAGGGTTCATGACCCAGCACCACTGAATAGCATGTCCTTGTAGACTAGAGCATTTTGTCTTCAGAAATGTGTGAATGTCATGGAGCCGTACAGAGGAACTGGGTCTGCAGCTACCTCTCTCAGCTTCCTGATGTGTAAAATGCAAATCATACAGATTGATGGACTGGGGATAAACAAACGAGGTAACAAGGGAAGGGCCTTGAGTTCTATGAAACTATAGCAGGACGAGCCATAGTCAAGAACCCCTCAGACACCAAGTTGTAGAAGGAAAGGGTTTTATTCAGCTGGGGGCGTTGGCGGACTCACATCTCCAAAAACCAAGCTCCCTGAGTGAGTAATTCCTGTCCCTTTTAAGGGCTTACAACTCTAAGGGGTTCCACGTGAGAGGGTTGTGATCGATTGGGCAAGCAGGGGGTACGTGACTGGGGGCTGCATGCACCGGTAATCAGAATGGAATAGAACAGGACAGGGATTTTCACGATGCTTTTCCATATAATGTCTGAAATCTATAGATAACACAAGAGGTTAGATCAGAGGTTGGTTTTTAACTACCAGGCCCAGGGTGTGGTGCTGGGCTGCCTGTGGATTCCATTTCTGCCTTTTAGATTTTATACTTCTTTCTTTAGAGGCAGAAATTGGGCATAAGACAGTATGAAGGGTGGTCTCCTCCCTTAAAACATTGCGCAGATTTTAAGGCGAAGTCAGTAGTTGTTCATTTCCTCCCTTTGAGAACCTCACTCATTAGTGGGAGTTCTCACTTTCTTCTTCACTACCCATGTCTTCTTGCAAGACAGATCGATAGTGATTCATATAGTACACTTATGCTGAAGCATTTTGGTGAACTAAGGTAATGATGAAGCTTTTTATCATTTGAAGAAGTACAGGTAGCAAACAAGGGAGTAGTAAGCAGGTTCCTATTACTATTGTAACTCCTATTATAAGAGTTTTAAATCCTCCTAGCACTGGGAACCATTTTCCAAACATGGCCCCAGGATCAAATCCATGCCACACTTGCATTGGCACATGTGCCAGTTTTGTCATATCTCTGTGTCTTCAACTACTGGCCCTTGATCATCTATGTGTAGACAGCAATTACTAAGTTTAAATTCCAGACAGACCCTTCCTTCAGCTGCTAGCAAGTAGTCAAGAGCCAATCTATTTTGATAGATAGCATTTCTCATCTGAGTTTCTTGCCAGGCCAGAATAGTCAAGGCTCTGCCAGTTTTATTAGTGATTATTTCTAAGACAGCTTGTAAACGTTTGATTCGGTTGAGCATGTAAATGGCAGTCCAGTATCCCTACGAGCCATCTTGTGCCCAATTAGCAGGCCCATAATATGGTATGATTCTCTTAGGGGGCCATTTATCATCTTTCCAATTTCCTATAGCTATGCTTCTTTTTTTGCAGGAAGCATAGACAGGGAAGCCCAGGAGTTTACCTGTTTTTATGGGCAGTAGGAAGAAAGATGGTTTAATAGTGCCAATAACACAACTACCTGCCCACTGGTTGGGTAATTTGGCTTAAGCTCTATGCCCACATATCCAGTATAATCCAGTGGGGGCTGTCCAGTCCCGGTGGGACTCCAGGTGGGTCCATGTGGTTTGCAACTTTGGGAATTTACTAAATGGATTCCTTTCTGTGTGATTTGAACTCCACCAAGTGACTGTTTTTGTGGTACCAATATACAGTTTCTGTCCCAGACAACTAAGTTGTCCTACGGGGTGAGTGAATTCTTTGCCTTCTCTAGCTATGCAATATTGTCCAAAAATTGAGGCTTTTAGGACCCAGAAATTATCAGGGTGATTCTTTTGAGCCAGGAATTCATCAGGAACTGGGTCTGTAGGTACTAATTCTCGGGCTTCTCATGGCCATTGATCTCCCATTACAGTTCCTCAACATACATAACATGAAGTGACATTGAGAGACTGGGCTAAATGCTCGGCTAATTGCAAAAACATTTCATGTTTTTCCTGGAATTTCTGGTACTAGCGCATTTAGTTCATCATAGAAAGTTTGAAACACTGGCTCAGGAGAGTGTTTGTAAACTTCTTCTTGAACTAAGATATTTACTTGAGGATCCAGTCCAGCCCCATCGATTCCTAAGGTCACACGCTCCCCTTTTTTCCTGTGAGGATCAAGGGGATTGGTTATTACTAGCTCTAAGGAGTTACATTGTCCCTTAGTACAGGAAGGGCCACTTTTTCCTTTCTGAAGGTGGACTGGATCCTTTTCATTTTTTATCCACGTGGCCCAAATGACACAAGACTAGTATCCACATTCATTTCCACACAGTCCTAATTCATAACAAATATACTTACTTTTGGTCATATAGCCTTTTTCCCCATCAAAAGAGCCACATCCTCTTCCTAACTTATTGCTGTTAATGACAGCACAGACATCAAATTTCAAGATTATGCGTTTGGGCACCCCTTTTTCTTCTGTTCTGGCTAATACTTTACTTGTATCACTTACGAGTCCCCACCAGTCTTCAGTCCTTAATCTTATTTCAAAAACTGTGGACATGGGAGGCTCAGAGGGGTTATAACACACATCAGGCTGGTCACTTCCTGGGCTACATACCTTGTACTGTGTGGCATTATACAAACAAGTCCTTTTTAGAGTTCCAGCACATTTATAATAACTATAGAACAAAAAGACAGTTTTAACTTTTTGACTGGATGTATACACTGGGAATAGTCCTTAGTTTGAGGAAGTTCAGTTGAAGTCCCTACTGTACAAGTCCAAAATTTAAGGAAAATAAGTCCCACGGTGAGTTTCCTCATGCTTCGGCCGTGTGTGGACCACTCAGCCTCAGGTGTGACTGGGACTATGGCCCACGACTCTGGAGGAGGTGCTGCTTTCTTGACTCGGGTGTGATGAGTCCATCCCTTTTTTGCTGTACGAACAGCAGTCTCTGTGGTTAACAGCACAAGGTAGGGTCCTTCCCAGGCTGGCTCTAGTTTCCCTTCTTTTCACCCTTTGATGAGAACGTGATCCTCAGGCTGGTGCTGGTTTACCGGAAATTCTGGGGGTGGTACATGTGCTAAAAGACTTTTAGTTTAGTGGAAGATAAACCAAGTATATGATTTTTGAGAAATTCACCTTTTGTTTTAAATGTGGGGACATCAGCAGTGGACTTTATAGTCCTTGGTGCCTTTCTACTGAGAAATTTCCTTTAGCACCTATTTTTATTAGTTTTTAGAACAAAGAAAGCCAAACACCATTTTATATTTGACAATGCTTCCTGGATGATTTTTATACCAGATAAGCTATATTTCATTTTTATATTAGTGTGTTATTAATGTTAAACTTGGTTTTAATAAAACTTTGTAGACATATTTATTCAATTTTTAATGTCTGACCATAAGGTAAGATATTTATAGGCTCTTTTTAACCTTTTATAATTTTTTGTTAAAGAGCAGGTTAGTGCTTTAAGAAAAACCCATTGTGTTTTTATTTTAATGTTCAGTTTACAGAAAAACTGGATGATACCTCTTTAACTTTAGCCAATATGTTTACACACAGAATTTTCTTTACAATTAACGTTTTAAAACTTGCGTAAACCTTTAAAACAATTTTTTTAACCTTTTAATGTAGGTAAAAATTTACATTCCTATGCCTGCTTATAATCCATTTACCAAAGGTATATTTTACTTTCCTAATATACCTTGCACATAAACTGTTTTTTTAAATAGTTTTACATTCAGGAGGCCTATATTATACAACATTTCTTGCATAAATTCCTTTTTTTAATAACTTCTTTTTCTCACAACTTTCGCAGACAATTCTTCGATATGTCTCAACTTTCTGACTTATTACAAACTTTTTTTTTTTTTTTTTGAGATGGAGTCTCGCTCTGTCGCTCAGGCTGGAGTGCAGTGGTCCGATCTCGGCTCACTGCAAGCTCCGCCTCCCGGGTTCACGCCATTCTCCTGCCTCAGCCTCCCAAGTAGCTGGGACTACAGGCGCCCGCCACCACACCTGGCTAATTTTTTGTATTTTTAGTAGAGACGGGGTTTCACCGTGTTAGCCAGGATGGTCTCCATCTCCTGACCTTGTGATCTGCCCGCCTCGGCCTCCCAAAGTGCTGAGATTTCAGGCGTAAGCCACCGTGCCCGGCCCAAACTTTTTTTTTAAACGACCAGTTATTTTATTTCAGGGCAAGAATTTACCATATAGCTTTTTTTTTACATAAATTCTGTCCCCCCTTTTTTTCTGAAGATGATAACCATTCTTTTCCAAAGTGAACTTCCTTTATGTCTGTGGACTAGACTGTCTAAGGCGACAAGATTAGAAGTTACTATAATATATGTTACACTTTTAACTTTTAGCAGACTTCAGTTTTGTTGAAAACCTTGTAAGTTTGGGATTTTAATTATCCTTTGCTATTAATAAGACCTTGTTTAGTCCAAATTAACTTAGAATTGGTATAGTTTTTTTTTTTTTTTTTTTAATTACCTGGGAGGAACCATCTATTGTCCTGTCCTGAAGGGAGTTCCTCCTAGGTCTGGTTGGACCTTTGTATGGTAATTAAGATTTAGATCTCCTGTTAGGAAACCTGCTGGGTTAAGGGAATTTTCAGTGGTTAATGTTAAATCTTCCTTTTTTTTTTTTTTTTTTTTTTTTTTTTACTTAGGATATTTCTGAACTGGTGAGGTATGCTCACAATGAGGTTTCCTCTAAAAGTTATTTTTCTACTTTCTTCTGTTAGCAAAGCAGTTGCCACTACAGATTGAATGCTTTTGGGCCATCTGCAGATTACTAGGTTAAGGATGGTTGATAGGAAGGCTACAGGTTGTTAGTGGCCTCAGTGCTTTCGGGCTAAGCCCTTGTTTACACTTACAACAAGGTGGTATTGGAGTGTTGTAGGGTCACGGAGAAGACCTTCAATTATCAATTATAGGTTTTAAATTTACCCTGGCTTTTAAAGGAATAGGGTACACTTTTTTTCTTAACTACTTGTATATCTCTTTCTTTCTCTCTTTAACTTTCTCTCTCTTTGACTTTTCCTTTTGCCTCTGCCTCTTCCTCTCTCTCTGCCTCTCTCCCTCCTTGACTCCGTCTTTGTCTCTCCCCCTCTTCCTGTCTCTCTTTTCCTCTTTTCCTCTCTGTCTCTTTTCTCTGTCTCTCTCTGCTGGTCTTTCCTTGCCTCTGCCAGCCACTTATGCTGCTGTTCTCTCAACCACTGTGGCGGGGCAGGGGTGGGGGGGTGTGATCTAAAACCAGCTGTAACCAAGTGTCTATGAACAGGAACTGGTCTAGGCGCCCTGGCTTTCAGGTTACCTTGTGCCGTACCTTTGAAACAAGGGACCTGTCCAGGCTTCTTTTCTGATGGCCAACGGCCACCTCTAATGTTGGCCAGTCTATTTCTGGCCAAACTTAGAACACAAAGTTCTAAGTTTTCCTGGTATCATAGTAATGCCGTAATCTCCCTTCAGTCCTTTCTTGAAAATTTTCAACGTAGTTCCTAGTGGGGTGGGCTTATTTTGTGCCTGACCCATGCTTCCTTGAGACAAAACACCACGCTCACCCCACACACACACCACAAAACAAAGAACGGGTAAAAAGGGCACACACACACTTTTACAGTTTACACCAAACCAGAATCAAAACCAAAATCAGAGTATCAAGAGATCCAAGCCAGGTCAAAACCAAAGTATCAAGCAATCCAAGTTAAGTCAAAAACAAAAGCCAAAGTACCCGTACAGCCATGCTGTGGGTGATCAGGCCACGCTTCCACTCAAATGGAGTGGGCAAGTTCCAAAGACCAGTCTTACCAAGTTTCAGATGTCTGGACTCCCAAGTGCCAGTTCCTTCCCGGTGTTCAGCCACTGCGTTGATCCTCTGGGAGCCTGCCACATGCTGCTCTGGCGACATGTCCCATGGGGCAATTGCCTACCCAGGAGCGCTCTTTGGATCCACATTGCTCAGGCTGGTCTGAGTCCCCCGCAGGGATGCTCCACAGGGCAGGCCTAAGTCACCTAAGGGGCTGCCTTGGCCTTCCTCTAATCACCTTGTTTCCAGTCAGGGAACCAAGAAATGCAACAGGACTAGCCGCGGACAAGAACACCTCAGACACCAAGTTGTAGAAGGAAAGGGCTTTATTCAGCTGGGAGCATCAGTGGACTCACGTCTTCAAAAACCGAGCTCCCCGAGTAAGCAATTCCTGTCCCTTTTAAGGGCTTACAACTCCAAGGGGGTCCGCATGAGAGGGTCATGATCGATTGAGCAAGCAGGGAGTACGTGACTGGGAGCTGCATGCACCGGTAATCAGAATGGAACAGAACAGGACAGGGGTTTTCACGATGCTTTTCCATACAGTGTCTGAAATCTATAGATAACACAAAAAGTTAGGTCAGGGGTTGATTTTTAACTACTAGGCCCATGGCACGATGCTGGGCTATCTGCCTGTGGATTCCATTTCTGCCTTTTAGATTTTATTTCTTCTTTCTTTGGAGGCAGAAATTGGGCATAAGACAATATGAAGGGTGGTCTCCTCCCTTAAAACATTGCGCAGATTTTAAGGCGAAGTCAGTACTTGTTCATTTGTTCAATTTCTTGTACTTCTAAGTGTTTGGAATAGCCTGAAGGTGATTAGTGTGAAGCCAAAATATTTGCCAGAGAGACTTGATAGGATACTCCCAAGTTCAGGGATTTGGAATGTGCGATGTAAAATTGGAATACTTTTGTGAGATATTTGAAATAGTGGAATTTCACAATGAGTGGCCAGTGTGGGGAGAGGCTGGAGGAGTTTAATCTCTATGTGGAAAATATGGCAAGGTCTTGCAAATTTAAAAATGTGTATTTTCTTTTCCTCTGCAATTCCATTTCTAGGAATTTACCCCGAAAATATATTTGCTAAGCACATTTTGTGTACTAAGTCATGCATGTACCTGGTTATTCGTTACAACATTATACAAAAAAAAAAGTAAAAATATCAGTGTTTAGCCTTAGGAGACTGGTGAACTAAGTTGTGGCACATTCTTAAGTTGAAAACTTTGCACCTGCAGAGTGAAGGAGCTCTATGTGTATTGATGGGACATTCTTCTAAGATGTGTTAAACTAAAAACAAAAACAAAAAGCAAGGTGAAGAATAATACGTCCTTGTTGCCTGGCCTGGGGGCCATTGGTGACGGAGAACCATTGTGATTTCCTTGTTTAAGCATAGAATGTCTTGGGAAGAATACAAAGGTGGTTACAACCTTTGGCTGCATCTGTGCGGAACCACTCTGAGTATCTGGGGGACAGGAAGGAGATGTACTTTCCATAGCACACGCTTTTTATCTTTTAAATGTGTCTTATATACATGTATTTTATATTCAGAAAGTTTGACCACCGATCATATCATTTGGGTTGAAAACTGTGAAACCTCTATGTTTCCCTCCCACATTCATGTCTGCCACCTGTTGGGTCTGCCTGGTCTCTTTGACCTTGATGACTTGAGAAGCAGTCATTGACCACACTGACAGTTTTAGGCTTACCCTAAAACAGTCCGCCTGGCCCCCAGCATATTGACATTTTTCCTCTTGATTTGTGTGACTGACAATGTTTCTGTTTCCCTCCCCCAGCTTTGGCAGCATGTAAGCAGCTGTTTGCCAAGAACCCAGGTCACTGCTAAGAAAGGGTGCCTTCGGGAGAAGAGTGTCCAGAGGATACCAATGCCAGATGCATCTGGAGTTACACTCAGCACTCGCAGTATGAGACATTGTGTGCCAGCATCTCTTTCCTTCTGGCAAAGACTGTAGCTCTCCAGGTAGGAGGATCCTGGAAGCTGTGAGCACCAGGAGCCTTGCCAGAGGAGGATGGGGCCAGATATGAACTCTCTACCATGAACATGGTTCTCGGCTTATGAAGGAATTTTAAGTAAAACAGTTATTTAATTTCCACATATTCAAGTCAAAAGCCTTCTGTGTGAAGTGCCAGTGATTACCCCTCCACAGGAGTTATCAGGATTTTTCTGGCACCAAGTTTAATTCTTCTTCGTACTTCTGGTAGTGACAGATCTGCAGGACAGATTTATCTGTTGAATGCTCTTGGGCAGGAAAACCATGTAAAACCTCTGGAAGCAGCATCAGGACAGCAGAGCAGAGCCCCCGTCCTCACTGCTCACTTGCACAGAAACTCCATCTGGACTCGGATGCTTTTACTGAAGACCCATCTAGCTTCAATCATCTTTAGAGTCCATCCATTCTGGAGAGACCTGGCGTTTGCAGTTGCCTCCTGTGGCCGTGTTTTTCTGTCATTCTGTTCCCAGGCCTTCTATTCAGGCGGTTGAAGGGTGTGGACTTTGGAATGGGGTTTGCTGTTCTTCGGGAACTTGCTTCCTTTCCCTGGCTGGTGCTGTCAGGAAGGACCATCTGAAGGCTGCAATTTGTTCTTAGGGAGGCAGGTGCTGGCCTGGCCTGGATCTTCCACCATGTTCCTGTTGCTGCCTTTTGATAGCCTGATTGTCAACCTTCTGGGCATCTCCCTGACTGTCCTCTTCACCCTCCTTCTCGTTTTCATCATAGTGCCAGCCATTTTTGGAGTCTCCTTTGGTATCCGCAAACTCTACATGAAAAGTCTGTTAAAAATCTTTGCGGTAAGTTATGCTGTTACAAAAGGTTGCTTCACAGAGGAGGGTAGAAGTGCATTTAGCAAAAAGTTATTCTTACAGGCCTATTATCTCTTTATTAGATAGGGAGAAAGTTGGGAGAATGGGAAGTGGCTTTTTGAGTAAGAAGAATAACTAAACGTCTACTTTTGAAAGGTACTTGTGTGTTTGATTTATGCCGAGCCGAGGGACCTATACCATGACTCCACATGTTGCCTGTTTATTTCAAAGAGAATGGGGCTTAGAATTAAAGAAAAGCACTGCCAATCTCTGTCTCTTCTTGCATAACTGATGCCATAGCTCGAAGCTGCTGCAGGCATATTCCCTCACTGAGAAGCATGGGAGAGCCTCTTCTCTTCCAGGCATTTATTCTAAGTAGGTCCTTGCATTTCAGACTAAAAGAATGGACAGAAAAGGGCATTTGAATTGTTTTATTAAAGGTAGAGGCAAAGGATACATTTCTGAACATATGTCAGAACTTACCTGACTGTTGAATTATACCAAACTGGTCACATTGTAAGGAAATAGGTGAGAAGTGATGTTTTTTGGAAGTTGATCTCTCCCACAAGACTTAAATACCTCTGCACAGATTTGGTGATTTCATTGTAATGTCTGTTTTTAGTAGTCACCAAATCTTTAGGGATTCATGTATAATTTGAGAAGTGCACTTATAGTAGTAAAAATAATACAGCATTGTTCATATTTTATCTTTTTCTTTTCTTTTTTTTTTTTTTTTTTCGAGACAAGAGTCTCACTCTGTCGCCCAGGCTGGAATGCAGTGGCGCAATCACGGCTCACTGCAACCCCTGCCTCCCGGGTTCAAGCAATTCACCTGCTTCAGCCTCCTGAGTAGCTGGGACTACAGGCCCATGCCACCACACCCGGCTATTTTTTCGTATTTTTAGTAGAGATAGGGTTTCACCATGTTGTCCAGGCTGGTCTCGAACTCCTGACCCCTCAAGTGATCTGTCCACCTCAGCCTCCCACAGTGCTGGGATTACAGGCCTGAGCCACCGTACCTGGCCCATATTGTATCTTCTGGTTTTGAGAGTAACTTTTATCGTTTTTCTTTGGTTCCTTATAATTCTGTGGTAGATGGGGCATTTTATCAACCTGCATTTTATTTATCTGCATTTTATCAATGAAGAAAAAGACTCAGATTAAGTGAGCTATGTGAAATGTTACATTATAGTGTGAAATATTTTTTATGTTTGTCATTGAATCTTGGGTTTTTTCTTTTTTGGTACTTAGTATGTCTATAAGCATATGGTGTTTTTTTTTTTTACATTTAAGAAAACCAAGGGGAAATTGACAACATAAAGTTAATAATTTTAGAGTGAACAGTTCAGTAGCGTTTACTATATTCACATTGTTTTCTGTCCAATTCACAACATTTTCATCAGTCCAAAGGAAACCCCACACTCATTAAGCATTCACTCCCCATTCCTCCCTCCGCCAGCCCTGGCAACCACAGTCTGCATTCTGCCTCTGAATTTACCTATTCTGCATATTTCATGTGAATGGAATCATACCAAATATGCCCTTTTGTGTCTGGCTTCTTTCACTCAGCATAACATTTTCAAGGTTCATCAGCATCGTAGCACGTGTCACTACTTCTCTTCTGCTTGTTTGTGGGTGAGGGGCTGAATTATATTTTACTGTATGTCTCTACCATAATTTGGTCATCCTTTCATCCATTGATGGACAAGGATGGGCTGTTTCTACCTTCTCTGGCTATTTTGAATAGTGCTGCTGTGGACCTGCGTGTACGTGCATTTGTTTGAGTACCTGTTTTTTTAAGAATATAATCTTAGAGCATTGCTTAAGGATGGACTTGGGGTTATCTGTATCTGGGTCCTTGCTACTCAGAGAGCGATCTGGAGAGCAGCTGCATGAGCATCGCCAAGCAGCTGGTTAGAAATGACCATTGCAGACCCACCCCAGACCTATTGAGTTAGACTCTGCACAGGTGAATCAGATGCATATTAAAATTTGAGGAGTAGTGATCTAGTCAGTCTTTGGACTGGCTGTTTTTTAATGTATTTATTTTAATTAGGAAATGTAATTTTCATATATTTTAGTCCAAGAAAATCTCGAGCAGCACACAGGATCCCTGCGGATGGTATAACTTACACCTGGGCCCTTTTACCACCATGAAAAACATCTATCAGGATAGAATTAGTAGAAAAGCTGATAAACTTAGGACACAGTGAGTGGTGTCTGGTGTCTAGTGTCTAGCTTTCATTTACATTTGTAAGCAAGTGGTTAATTCATGGACCTATGGAAGTTGTAATTATTAAAAGGTAGAAGTAAGAGTTATGAGCCTAGAGTTCTCTTGTAGTAGTTAAAATTTCACTTGGATGACTTTGGGTAGGGCAGAAGGCCTAGAATCCATGTATATTCCTTGCTCCATTTTGAAAATGTCCCCAAAATTAATACTTTAAAGTTTATAGCCAAATCCTTTGTATTGTGACTATTATTTAAAATGTACATCCCTATGACTTTTAATGTAGATTATGATACAATGGAAAATTCATCATATGTGTACTTTGGGCCAATTTATAGGACCTGCAGTCTTGAACCAACAGAGACTATTTGAAGCCACATCTTGAAAATTACTGGTTTGGGCCACAGTGGCCCAAATGTATTTATTTATGAGACAGAGTCTTGCTCTTTTGCCCAGGCTGGAGTGCAGTGGCATGATCTTGGCCCACTGCAGCCTCCTCGTCCTGGGTTCAAGCAATTCTCCTGCCTCAGCCACCCAAGTAGCTGGGATGACAGGCGCGTGCCATCACACCCGGCTAATTTTTGTATTTTTAGTAAAGACAGGGTTTCGCCATGTTGCTCAGGCTGGTCTTGAACTCCTGGCCTCAACTGATCCATCCGACTCAGTCTTCCAAAGTGGTGCTGGGATTACAGGCGTGAGCCACCACACCTGGCCTGGGGCACAGTGATTTAGAAGCGGTAATGGAAGTAGCATATGTATATTTGTGACCTCAACATTTAGAATATCAGAAACTAGATTTGCACTCCTTCCTTCCTTAGAGGTGTGTGCCAGCCACCGAAAGGGTTGTAGATGCCCTGTGGGGCCTGTCCTGTTTGTGGACCATTACAGCCTGGCTGTAAACTGAGTCACGTGGGCCAGAAAGGACTGGCGTATTCCTGCAGGGGCCTGGGGTGCTCCGGAAGAGTGCTGGTCTTTTTTCACCCTCTGTTACTGCTCTGAGTCGATCTGAATGGAAGGTAGGAACTGAATGCTGCCTTCTCAGTGGTCACATAGGTACAGCTGAACTTGGCCCAGTGGGCTTCAGGTCTTGGGAAGTCAGTATCTGTGTATCTGTCTAAAATACACCTAACACTTGTGGGTGTTTATGTGTACCTTTCTTAAAATTGAGGAGTGTCTTAGTCTATTTAGGCTGCTATAACGAACTACCATGGGTTGGGTGGCTTAAAAAACACGTTTAGTTTTTACATTTCTGGAGGCTGGGAAAACCATGTCCAGGCACCAGCAGATTCAGTGTCTGGTGAGGCCGCTTCCTGGTTCATAGACATCTGTCTTCTCTCTGTGCCCTCCTGCGGCAGAGGGATGAGGGAGCCCTCTGAAGTCCCTTTTTTAGGGATATTACTAGTGCTATTCATGACTGCTTCACCTTCATGACCTTATCACCTCCCAGAGGCTCCACCTCCAAATGCCATCACCTTGGGGCTTAGGTTTCAACATGAATTTTGAGGGGACATAAGCATTTATTCTCTAGCAAGGAGAGACCTTTATTTTACCTTTTTAAGCCTCTTCACCACTTCCTAAATTGGAATAATGGGTATAAGTTTAGAGCCGGAAGAAAGTTCAGAGATCGTCTTCATTTTGCCGTTCTCCCTCCTGTCAGTGCATTTAAATCGCCTGGGGAGGCATTTTAAAAAATACTTCTGGGGCTGGGCGCAGTGGCTCATGCCTGTAATCCCGGCACTTTGGGAGGCCGAGGCAGGTGGATCACCTGAGGTCGGGAGTTCGAGACCAGCCTGGTCAACATTGTGAAACTCCATCTCTACTAAAAATACAAAATTAGCCGGGCGTAGTGACGCACATCTGTAATCCCAGCTACTCGGGAGGCTGAAGCAGAAGAATCGCTTGAACCCAGGAGGTGGAGGTTGCAGTGTACGGAGATCCCGCCACTGCACTCCAGCCTGGGTGACAAAGCAAGACTCCGTCTCAAAAAAAAAAAAAAAAAAAAAGTAATTTTGGGCCCCAGAACCTGCTTTAACTGATCTGGGTAGGCGTTTTTTTAAAAGCTCCCCAGGGTATTCTGATGTCCCAAGTATGGACCTCAGTGACTGTTCCTGACACAGAGGATGTGGGGGGGCAGGATGCTGTGATATGTGAGATTAGGTTAGAAAATGCAGTAGGGCTTCTATCTGGCCCGTCTCTCAGGCCGCTTGCCCCTGGACCCCAGCTACCATGTTGTAAGGAAGCCAACCAGGTGTAGGCAGCCCAGCTCCCAGCTCAGTGAGGCCCTGAAGGCCAGCACCAGCCACCCCACACTGGAGGGATGAGTCTTCTGAGGATTCCAGTCCTCAGCTGCACAGAATGAATGAATGAATGAATGAATGAATGGTGTATTCACGTAGTTTTGGGGTGGCTTGTAATATAGCAATAAGATAGCCAGACAGACATTAGAAAATTTTAAACATTCATTCATGGCCCACAACTTGTAACACCTTTTAATTTTTTTTTTTTTTTTTGCCTTCTTCCTTTCAGTCTTTGGCAATAAACATTTATATTTTATGGCTGTATTAATAGTGTTTACTTGTTGTTGTGTGTCTACATTTTCTTTTGGCATTTTATCAGCCATTTTCACATTTTACTAAATAATCTTCATAAAGATCATTAAAACTGGATACCTAATAGTTCATGCAGTACATACACCTGTGCTTTTGGCAGACCTAAGCTAGCCCTGGCTTACAGCTCCTTTCCCATGACTAGTTCTCCCTATATAAAGGAACCAGGAGAAAGTATTTGTGTACCTGCCAAGGGAGGAGGAACATGGAGAGGATATGGGTGGATCAATATCTTTTCTGTTCCCTTTCCTGGAAGCCCTAACTCAGTGCAGGTCCTGTTCATGCTGAGTCACAGAAGATCTTTGTGTGCAGAGAGCAGCATGTGACTGGAAGGGTTTTAGTGTTTGCTTAATGTTTGTGCTTCACATGAACCCCCTCCACAGTGGTGATGGTATTACTAGGAGTAGAATTCCCAGGAGTTGACCCTCAGCTGAGTTGAAAATGACCTGGAAGAGGGGAGAGAAGAAAGCCTGGATGTAAAGGAGAAAGATGAGAACAAATGATGTGAAAGGAGTTGATCAGGTCACGTTAGAGAAGATGAGACAGCTATGATGTGATCTGTGTTAAACTCCAAGGTGGAACTTGTTGGTGGAGAGTCAGAAACCAGTGGCAGTTGTGGAGAAGCTGAAGAGACTAGTGGTGGTGGCATTGTGTGCGATGGGCATTTGTGTTGGGTCAGGCAGCTGTTACCTTGAATCCCAGGGCTTTCATTACTGGCTCTGAAAAAGGCATTGAACTTTCCAGTGTTTCTTCATTTAGAGAGTGGGAGTATTAATACTCCTTTCACATGGTTGTAGTGAAAGAGGTCATCCTACCCCCGATGAGGAGTGTGATTTTAACATAGCCTTGAGTAGGTTAAAGGACAGACTGAAGCAGACAGGAATTAAGGGGGAAGACGAAAGGAAATAGCTCCAGGTTTTGTCATTTTGGCTCTACTTTTCCATAAGGAGACCTTGATGGAGAAAAATATTGGGAGTTGATGAATTAAATTAGTGACTGCCTACTAAGTAGAAGGCACTCTCTCAGACTGTGCTGAAATGCACATAGGGGTAAGTTCTGGCTGCCGCCTCTTGAGGTTTGTGTAGTCTAGTAGGAAAGACATATGCATCTATAACTAACTCAGAATGAATTAGTTGAAATACCAGTTGAAATACACAGGCAGAGGTGAATTCTGATTGCAGGAATTGAGTAGGTAACATTTCTTAGATTTGACATTTGAACTGGATCCTAAAAGGGAGAAGGATAGAGCATTCTAGAAGCACAGTTGATAAAGGTGAAAAGGTAATATTGTTTAGAGATGGCACATAGTTCAGTAGAGCAAAAACACGGCGCATGGAGGGAATGAGGTGGGTTACAATACTGAACTTCAGGCATTGAGAAATCATTGAAGGTTGTGTTTTGTTTGTTTGTTTGTTTGTTTGTTTGTTTGTTTGTTTGTTTTTTGAGACAGAGTCTCCCTCTGTTGCCCAGGCTGGAGTGCAGTGGCGCAATCTTGGCTCACTGCAACCTTCGCCTCCTGGGTTCAAGTGATTCTCCTGCCTCAGCCCCGAGTAGTTGGGGTTACAGGCCTGTGCCACCACACCTGACTATTTTTGTAGTGTTAGTAGAGATGGGGTTTTGCCATGTTGGCCAGGCTGGTCTCAAACTCCTGACCTCAAGTGATCCACCCTCCTCAGCCTCCTAAAGTTCTGGGATTACAGGCATGATCCACTGCGCCCAGCCCATTGAAGATTTTTGAACAAGAAAGTGACGTGGCTGGACTCTGGCAGCATGTGGATCGGAGGGAAGCAAGAGGGAAGCAATTCAATAGGGAATAAGGGAGGGCAGAGGACAGGGCATGAACCACGAGGCAGCTGGGTGAGAGCATCCTCTTGGGAGGATGGCAAGGGCTTGCCGTATCTTGCCCTATGCATCTCTTCCATCTGGTGCTTCCTGAGCTGTGTGTGCTTTATCATAAAGCTATACATGTTAAGTAAACCATTGCCCTGAATCTTGGGAGTCATTCCAGCACATTGAACCTGAAGAAGGGTTGTGGGAACCCCGATTTATAGCTGGTCAGTCAGAAGTACGAGTCATGTGAGACTTTCAACTTGGATCTGAAGTAGGGGCAGTCATGTGGGACTGACTCTTAACTTGTGGGATCTGATACCAACTCCAGGTCAATAGCCTCAGAATTGAATTGAATTGAATTAGAGGACACCCAGCTGGTGCCTGCTGAAGATTTGCTTGGTTTGGGTTTGGGGGGGCATTCCTCACACATCTGGTATCAGGAGTGTGCTGTGTGAGTATAGTGCAGAGAAGCAGTGTTTTCCCAGAGGCATTTTGATTTGGTCCAGTAGGGTTTGTAGGGGCCAAGGGAAAGCATCCCCTTTGCCCTCTGAAGATTCACTGAAAAATCAACTCTCAAAAGCAGATTAATAAAAGAAAAGACGTACAAATTTATTAATGTGCACAGGAGTTTTACAAAGATCTCAAAGAAATAGCTAGATGGTTGATGCTTTTGTAGCATTTGAGGTTACAGAAACAGTGGGGGCTCCGAGCATGGCCAAAAAACAGGCTATGGCGGTAAATCAGGTGGCAGTAGGTAACAAGAGGGAGAGAAGAGGTGGCTTGGCTAGCACGGGTAGTCTTGTGTAGATGAAACCTCACAGATAGCAGCCCTTCAAAAGTGTAGATGCTAAGTGTTTCTTTCAGACCTTTAAAGGCGTCTGACTCTCAGTTCTTTCTAGATTGGGACAAGGAGGGAGTTGCTTCAGAGAAAGTCTATTTGCATCTGTTGTTTACTTCACGTTGTCTCCTCTACAGATGCAAATTCCTCCTACAAAAGACAGTTTCTCCGTTATTCTTGCATTTCCAGTCCTTCTGAACAGTCCTCTTGAAATATGTCAAAGAAGTATATTTCAGGATGAAATATTTTGGTTTCTTTCAGGCAGAAAGAGTCCAGTTCATTGATCAGCCATTTCTCAAACTCCTGGGCTTAAATGATCCTCCTGCCCATAGTGCTGGGATTACAGGTGTGAGCCACTGCACCCAGCCACCTGATCAGCCATTTCTTAACAGGCTGTTCAGCCCTCTCCTCTTTTCCCCTGCCCTTGTGACTTGGGGCAATTTTTTCCTAAACACAGACGTGTTTTGTCATGTTCCTGAAATTAAAAAGCAGGAGGCCAAAGGGATGTTTATTACTGAACTGCCACAGAACTAGGAGATGTAGAATCTCAATTAGCAGATCCCTTTCCCATGATCACAGAGCCTGCAGGCGTCTTGAATTTTGCACATTGAAACAATCCTCAGACTGAAATTGTCATCTGAGAGGCCTTATGTCATATATTCTCTGCCTATTGCAGTCTCATGGAGTATCAGAATTGTCAGTACAGAATCAAGTTTCTCTCTCTTTTTTTTTTTTTTTTGAGACAGGGTCTTGCTGTATCTCCCAGGCTGTAGTGCAGTGGTGCAATCTCCGCTCACTGCAGCCTCAACGTCCCCTGGCTCCCATCTCAGCCTCTGGAGTAGCTGGGACTACAGGCACACATCACTATGCCTAGCTAATTTTTTTGTATTTTTTAGATACGGGATTTTGCCATGTTGCCCAGGCTGGTCTCAAACTCCTGGGCTCAAACGATCTTTCTGCCTTGGCCTCCCAAAGTGCTGGGATTACAGGCATGAGCCCCACTGCGTCTGGCCCCAAGTTTTTCTCTTCTGATTATTCTTGCAGTGCCAAAACAGAGCCTGGCCAAAATGTAGAACCCTAAATTCTGGTTGAGTGACCTGTGTTTCTGCATGCCAGGATTGTTGTGAACTCTCTTGCCCCTTTTCACCTCTTCTCTAGTTCCAGGAAACCAGATGAGATTTACCTTCCTCCATTTTAGGTATTATATTAACATTTTTAAAGGAAAGCTCGTCTGTGCTTAGAGCCAAAAGACATCAATGGCCAAATATCTGAAACAGAGAAAATGGGTCATGTGAGTTTTCTTGCCTTTGAACTTTCTTTGCGTGGTGACTTTGTGAGCCACCTTCCTCTCTAGACTGTGTGGTTTGAGATTTCCAGATGAGGTCAGATCACTGATTAAACTCGCGTGCAGCATTCGGCTTTGCTGGACCACGTGGTGCAGTCTTGCTGACCCTTTGGGCTTTGCCAGCAGAACCCGCACCATGTGCCCTGGGCCACGTGCATCTTCCCATGCCATGGGATGATGGGCTCGTGCCCACTGTGCATAACCGTGGAAGCCGAAGGTTGAGGCTTTTGAATGCCTGTTCTGTTTCTCTGACTCACTGTGGACATGACATAGCTTTCTCTCTAGTGATACCATATCCAAGGGGGGATAAGTGCACCCATGTTTTCACCTCTCATTTGATAGTGGGAGAGAACCAGCCCCTGGCTGTCTTATACCAGCGAAACCAGTTTTAATGAAGAGGGATTCTAGGAAAAGCGTCTTTTTCCTAGGTCTTTTCCAGAATCTGTGTTATTTCGGTAATAATCAGGACAGAGTGCTTTGCATTTCCCCAGTTTTGTCCCATACATGATTTCATTTTATCCTAAGCGATCCCGTGAAGTAGGAGTTTGAGGTAGTATCAATCCTGTTTTGCAGATAAAGAGACCAAGATTCAGAGACTTGGAATGGGTTGCTTAATGAACGCAGCTAGTGAATGTAAACTTGGGAATTGAATCTGGGTTTTTTTTTTTCGGTCTCCTAATAGTGTTCTTTTTTTCCTTTAACACTATTAAGCCACTCCCAGGCCTTTCAGTGTTAAGTTGTGGGATTCTCCCATTAAAATGTTACTCCTGTTACTGGACAGTCCAAACATATGTATTACTTAAGCTCTTTGTCTCCTTTAAAATGAAAATTGCTGCTTTCTTGGAGTAATTTGGTGGCAGGCAGTAGTTTACAGGATACCTGGCTTCGCTGTTTTGAGTAGCTGCCGTGCGGCAGTGCAGGAGGAATCGTGAGGTCTGTGCTGTCAGCAAGTGAGCTCCCTACAGCCCGGAGACAGAGAGACGTAGGCAGTGAGGAACTAGGCCTGAGGAACTCGCCCCAGCTTCTTGAAGTTCCCAGTGTTTTGCTATAGGTGACTTAACTCTTGGTCCCAGTTGTCAAGGAAGGGGCTGCTCTGGGGAGAGGTGGTTTGAGTTTCCTTCTAGACTATGTGCTTCTTGGCTACGGTCTTAGGTGACTGGGACTGAGGCTTTCACAGAATAGAGATGGAGGTGTTCACTGATTGAAAACAGGTCTCATTCTTGCTCTTGTATCTTGCTTCCTTCCCCTCCCAGTGGGCTACCTTGAGAATGGAGCGAGGAGCCAAGGAGAAGAACCACCAGCTTTACAAGCCCTACACCAACGGTAAGATGGGGGTGTGATCCTTGTCCTGAGAGGTCCATTTGAACAGTGTTCCCCAGTGCTTCTGGTGCCACACACGCTCTTCCCTGCATTAGTGCAGGATGTGTGCTCTGAGTATGTCTCACGTGCTCTCCCCCAGCGTGCTGCTTGACAGGGACACATTCTTTTGCAGGAATCATTGCAAAGGATCCCACTTCACTAGAAGAAGAGATCAAAGAGATTCGTCGAAGTGGTAGTAGTAAGGCTCTGGACAACACTCCAGAGTTCGAGCTCTCTGACATTTTCTACTTTTGCCGGAAAGGAATGGAGACCATTATGGATGATGAGGTGACAAAGAGATTCTCAGCAGAAGAACTGGAGTCCTGGAACCTGCTGAGCAGAACCAATTATAACTTCCAGTACATCAGCCTTCGGCTCACGGTCCTGTGGGGGTTAGGAGTGCTGATTCGGTACTGCTTTCTGCTGCCGCTCAGGTGAGGCAGGGCCTGCGGGAGTGGGGCTCGCTGCTGCCACCCCACGTGGTGCACAGCCCACCTGCCTGCTCTGCTGTGTATTCCCGTTTTAGAAAGGAGGAGGGAATGACTGTCGTTAGCCAGGCCACGTGACTCTTTGGAGGGATACACTGGTGATTCTCCTTTAGAGGCCCTTGGATTCTCTGCATATCAGACAGAAATAGTTGGATTTCTTAAAGACAGCTTGCTTCTCTAGATGACAGCAAACACAGGGACAGGGAACATTGTGTGCTTTCTGCCACTCCTTCCTGGACATGGCTCATTCTTTCCTGAAGCTTGCCTCTCAGGTACAGGGGCAGTATTGATCTTTCAGCTTCTCTGCACCATGTGCTGCTCTGAGTGTGCCTTGCCAGATGCTAATACCTTCAAGCTCCACCTCCTGTTGCTTCAGAGGGAAGCTGTGCTTCCACCGGGGTTTCCAGCCAAAGGGAAGGGGAGGGCAGCAGGGAGCAGCCCTGTGGCAGAATGGCCAGCTTAGGGTTTTCCAGCCTTCCAGCTGCCTGAGGCCTCAGGAGATGCAGGCAGCTGAGAGCCAGACCCATGGCTCACTGTCAGCTGGAATCAAAAGGATCTCTGGTTCTGATAGGCCTGCTTACATTTCTAGGTGAACTCTGGTCCAGGTCCCAGGTGAGCAGGTCTTGGGGGTGGTTTTTGTGATGCCCCCTTTGATTTTCACACCTTCAGTTCTGTACTTGGTAGAATGATTTGCTGGCTGTGCTCTAACTTTTCTTCTTCTTACAGGATAGCACTGGCTTTCACAGGGATTAGCCTTCTGGTGGTGGGCACAACTGTGGTGGGATACTTGCCAAATGGGAGGTGAGTAGAGTGTGGCAGTCCATGCCTGAAGGACAGTTAGTTCTGGGAATGGTGCTCAGATATCGAAGGCAAGGACACTTCTTTGGACACAACCAAAGCCATGGAATCTTAGATGGATTAAATAACCCAGTGGTGGCCAGGCACGGTGGCTCATGCCTGTAATCCCAGCACTTTGGGAGGCTGAGGTGGGTGGATCACCTGAGGTCAGGAGTTTGAGACCAGCCTGGCCAGCATGGCGAAACCTGTCTCTACTAAAAATACAAAAGTTAGCCAGGCACGGTGGCGGGTGCCTGTAATCCCAGCTACTTGGGAAGCTGAGGCAGGAGAATCCTTGAATCCAGGGGGCAGAGGTTGCAGTGAGCCAACATCACACCACTGCACTCCAGCCTAGGCAACAGAGCGAGACTCCATCTCAAATAATAATAACAACCCAATGGCAACAACGGCATCAGCAGTAAAGTCTTTACTTTTTTTAAATTTTGATCTATGACTGTTCTTTTTGTCCTTCAGCCCTCACATTCTTCCCATTTTGAAGACAAAAGGGAGGAGCCACAGACATGTAGAGTCCGAGACTCAGATGTTAACAGATTTTACAGCTTGTTGTTTAGTTTTGAGCATTTGACTGTGTGGATAAAGTGATGAGACAATACAGTTTTTAAAATGGTTTGAAATGTAGGGAGGTTTTGTCTGTTTGTGTGAAGAATATTTTGCTCCCTTTGGGAAGTTCTGGGGTTTAGAAACCTTTCTTCTGCCTGGGCGGGTGAGGAGGTTGGCCTCTGGCCTTGGACCTGCCTCTGGATGTTGACTGGGGGAACGGAGTTCAGCCCGCCTGTGGTCTGCGGATGCCGGATTCTAGGCTGTGAATTCTCCACCCACTGATTTGGGTGGATGTAAGTGAGTCTCCCTGTCCCCTCTTTCTCTCCTCATGTGTGAACATAAAGGTGCTCATGCATCACAGGACTTTCCTGTAGGTGCTGATGTCTATACAAGCACTTTGCTGTTATAAAGGACTGCTGAGCTGTTGAAGTCAGTAACTCTTTCTGTCTTCCTGTATGTAAAATAAAACCCAGAATCCTTGTCCTGTTATTGCAGGTTTAAGGAGTTCATGAGTAAACATGTTCACTTAATGTGTTACCGGATCTGCGTGCGAGCGCTGACAGCCATCATCACCTACCATGACAGGTGAGAGCGCTTTGTATTGATAGGAAGGGAGATGGCGCTGCAGGAAACACCACCCACCTATACTTAGCCAAATGGGAAGACACTTCTGAGCTTTTAGTTAGAGCAGATGAAGCATGTGAGGTGAGAGGTGTGTTACATGAACTGTTTCACACTAATTTTGGTTGCTTTGCATACATTTTAAACCCAGGGAAAACAGACCAAGAAATGGTGGCATCTGTGTGGCCAATCATACCTCACCGATCGATGTGATCATCTTGGCCAGCGATGGCTATTATGCCATGGTAAGAGCTCTTTCCGGTGCGTTCTTGAGGCAAGACTTCCTGCTTTAGAGTGGTCAGGGCTAGGAGGCTCCTGGACCCTTCACATAAACACATTTATGCGTGGGCCAGGCCCCCACCTTACTGTCACTGTGGGGGCTCTGTGGGACTGTGATAGGAGATACCCTGGGCAGAGTGATTGGTGAGTGTGGCTGGAGAGGATGCCAAGGGCAGTCAGGCAGACCAGCAGGGGCAGAGGGAGTTGCTGGCAAGGACTGTGTCCAGGGCATCTGAGAATCTGCCCAGGGAGGGGCAGTTTTACACAGGGAATTGCGCTACTTTAGTATTTTAGTATTTTGTCTTAGGGGTTTCAGTTATGTTTTTAATTACCTATTTCTAGTATTACTGATTAAAAGGAGAAGTTTAAGATTTGGGGAGTCTTGGTAGTGGTTTCTTGGCAGTGAGCAACCTTCAGCCGGCAAGCGTTAGAAGTGAGAAGTTGGACTGCTTATTTTGTGAGATGTGGTTCTTCCTAGAGTGGGGAGATTCGTGTGAAGATGGCTTCACTACTAATGAGTCCTGTGCCTGCGCTTAGGTGGGTCAAGTGCACGGGGGACTCATGGGTGTGATTCAGAGAGCCATGGTGAAGGCCTGCCCACACGTCTGGTTTGAGCGCTCGGAAGTGAAGGATCGCCACCTGGTGGCTAAGAGGTAATGGACAGAACACTGCTGTTCTGCTTGGCCAGTTAGAATGCTGAAAAGGTTTCAGGGTAGTTATCCCTCCACAGTGCAGTTACGTGCCTTCTATCATAAGCCTATACTGCTTTCATAATAATTTTTTCCTAAAACATGAAATTTTAAAAGTGGCCGGGTGTGGTGGCTCATGCCTGTAATCCCAGCAGTTTGGGAGGCCGAGGTGGGCGGATCACTTGAGGTCAGGAGTTTGAGACTAGCCTGACCAACATGGTGAAAATACAAAATACTAAAAATGCAAAAATTATTGACGGGCATCTGTAATCCCAGCTACTAGGGAGACTGAGGCAGGAGAATAGTTTGAACCAGGGTGACAGAGGTTGCAGTGAGCTGAGATCGCGCCATTGCATTCCAGCCTGGGCGATAGAATGAGACTCTGTCTTAAAAAAAAAAGTATAGAAACCCTAGTATTATTTACCAAGTTAATAATGTTTCTTAACCTTTTTTTAATTCATTGTACCCATCATAATAAACAAAATACGAATTTTTACTGCTATTTGAAACCTCAAAATGAATTCATTTATCACAAATAAAAAGAAACCTAAGGCAGTGGAACAAAGTACTGCCCTGTTTTCAAACTTTAAGAAGGTGAATCTGCTGTAAGTAATGCAAAGAGATTTGCAGCAGACAGAGACATCAAGACAGTTGAGACCAAGCCACACATGGTGGCTCAGGCCTGTAATCCCAGTGCTTTGAGAGCCCGGGAGTTCGAGACCAGCCTGGGCAACATAGGAAGACCCCCATCTCTACAAAAAATTTAAAAATTAGCTGAGCGTGGTGGTACGCTTCTGTAGTCCCAGCTACTTGGGAGGCTGACGTGGGAGGATCGCTTGAGCCAGGGAGGGTGAGACTTCAGTGAGCTATGATTGCACCACCGCATTCCAGCCTGGGCAACACAGGGAGACCCTGTCTCAAAAAATAACACATAAGAAAAGACAGTTGAGATTATCTTCCATAGAGACAGATGAACTCTCCCCTAACTCCCTTTGCTACATCTCAGGGACAGAGCATCGAGCCAGCAGGGCTGGGCCCAGCCTCACAACTGTTACATAGTCTAGTGACACAGGTTTATTGAGGGGGCCATGCCCAGGCCTTGTGGCAGGTGTCTCTTTCAGGTGGCCCCCAGGTTGAGTGGCATCATTGGTGCTCCGATGTTCGCACAGAATTGAACAGTTCTGTGAATTAAATGGTAACCTGATTTTTCTCTATCCATATACATTTTTTCTTGATGAGCATTAGATTATGGGTTTAAAAGGATACAGTTATGCTTGTTAACTTTTTATAATCGAAACTAGTGTCACAAATAAATAGGTTATTTATAAACATATTTTGACGATGTGTATAAGGTTGTCTGACCCTTTATTTTATTTTCTTCTTTGAAAGACTGACTGAACATGTGCAAGATAAAAGCAAGCTGCCTATCCTCATCTTCCCAGAAGGTAAGAAGGGGTTGGTTGCCACGAAGGGCTTCTGTGGGGAGTGCAGGAGTGTGATGCTGATGTTTCCTGGGAACCAAGGCCCTCAGCCCTTGTTGGGGTTATCTGTTTTCACTGAATAATGTTAGGTCCCCTTTAGGTTGGAAGTAGGACTAAAAACTCAGGTAAGTTCAGAATTTGAACTAAGAATGCCATAGTGTGAACTCCCCAAATGCAGGAATTTCTTCTGTAATGTTTCAGCTCCTCACAGAGCTCATGGTGTCCTCCTAAGGCCACTGCGCGTCTCTGCTTTATCTAGGCTGTGTGTATGAATCAGGGAAAGTGGTCCTGTAGAAAGAGAATCGGAGGCACCATCTTGCCTGTCTCTGTTAAGTGTTTGTTTTTAAGTTAGGGAGATGACAGATGTATCTTACTGGAGGAACCATTAGAAGAATTTTGACTATTATACTTAGTCTTTAAGAAACGCCTAATATCTGGGGTAAAGGGCCAACAGAAATAGCATTTTATTGTCTCCTGCATTTTAGGAACCTGCATCAATAATACATCGGTGATGATGTTCAAAAAGGGAAGTTTTGAAATTGGAGCCACAGTTTACCCTGTTGCTATCAAGGTATAAGACCTCCGATGGTACACACTGTCATTACTGGAGCTGCTGTGAGTGGGGTGCAGCAGGAGGAGGTAGAGGAAGGAGCTGGGGTCACCAGTCTGTGGTCGATGCCCTCAGCAGAGTGGCGTGGGGCTGGGTTGACGTGGGTCAAGTGCTGCCGGAGGAGGATGGTGAGTGCTCAGCACCCCTTAGAAGGGCCTGGGGAGTGTGGAATGGGGGACAGCCAGATTCCCGCCTGCATGCTGCTGCCGCCACCATTCGGGAAATGGCAAGCCCTTCACTTATTACCTTGCTTCATAAACCTAGCTGGAATGTAGGCCCCTCCACATGGAAAGCTGGCTGATTGCAGGGCACAGTGGTGTGGTTTTAAGCTGGATTTTTGCATTTTGGGGGAGCCATGAGGATTGGGGGGGGGGTCATTACTCCAGCCCAGTGGGAGAAACAGCTTCACTGCTTTTAGTTGTGTCATCTTTTAGACCTACAACAGCTCCTAACAATGAGATGGACCCTGGGAGTTTATCTAGTCTACGTCGACCCTTTAGGAACTGCTCCTCTAACCCTTCAGACACCCAGAGCTATAGGATGTGATTAGCTAGTCATCTGCACATTGTTCCTCCCCGCTCTTACCCTCTTCACATCCACCAGGCCTCACATCATGACACCTACAAAACACAGGCCATCCTCAGTGTGGTTAAAGTATTTAGGCTGCAGCCTGAGAGCTCGATAAAATGGTGAGCAGATATGAGTCAGGCTCACACTTAGAATTTCTTTTGTAGGGGACTGGGTTGTCTGCAGAGCATTCTGTAGAGTTGGTTCTGACTTTCTTTTCACCTTGCCAGTGCCACTGGAGAGGTGTTGCTCCTGGTGAGGCCGATGCTCACCAGCCACTCACTGTTTATCATTTAGGCAGAGGACCAGGCCAGGGATGGCAGATGAATATTGCCTGCAGGGGACTCTGATTGACAGGCTAGGACTCACCAGAGCCTGAGGATGCTGTGTCTGGAAACAGCAGGAAAGAGGAACATAGTCTGTTAGCAGAGTCTGCCTTGGGTGTGGGAGTGGGGACTGGCATCTGCATCCTGCATTCTGGCAAAACGAGGACAGGTGCTTTGCAGTGTGACCGTGATGCTGGATGGAAGCCCTTACTGCTGCCTCCAGAACAGCAGCTCTTGAACTTAGGCTGCATCAGCATTGCCTGCAGGGATTGTTTAAATGCAGATTGCTGGGCCCCACACCCAGGGTTTCTGAACTTCCTATTCTTTTTCTTTTGAGGCAGGGTCTCAGTCTGTCACCCAGGCTGGAGTGCAGTGGCACAATCATGACTCATGCAACCTTGACCTCCCACATTTAGGTGATTCTTGTGTCTCAGCCTCCCAAGTAGCTGGGATTACAGGTGCACACCACCACACCTGGCTAATTTTTTAATTTTTGTAGAGACGGAGTTTCCCCGCGTTGCTCAGACTGATCTAGAACTCCTGGACTCAAGTGATCCGCCTGCCTTGGCCTCTCAAAGTGCTGGGATTATAGGCCTGAGCCACCCCGCTGGGCCTTCTGATTTTCCATTCTAACATGTTCTGGGTGGCATTGATGGTGCCAGTTGGGACCACACTGTGGCGGCCACAGTTCTGAAGCAGTGGCTCTTAGCTGCTGTCAGAACACGAACCCTGAGGAGTTTCCGCTCCTCTCCAAAGTAAAATGCTTATAAATTTTAGATACATTTCCATTTAGTCCACAGAGTAGAGCCCATGTATGGCTAAGAACATCTGGTCTACAGATTACTGGTTTTTGTGAACTCTTTATTGGTAATCAAACTTGGATAACCTTAGCGATTTCAAGGCTCTTCTTATATTTCCACCGGAATCCAGCCATGACCTGATGTGAGGAGTGTGTCGCTGTGTTGAGCTTCTGCCTTTTTTCTCTGTCCACACACACTGCCCAGTGTGGAATAGAGAATCAGCCCGAAACAAAGGGTTCTCACACTCTGGTGACATCAGAATTTCTGTCCATATCAGGCTTTATAAAATACAACGACATGACCAGATGCAGTGGTTCACGCCTGTAATCCCAGCACTTTGGGAGGCTGAGGCCGGTGGATCACTTGAGGCCAGGAGTTCGAGGCAAGCCTGGCCAATATGGTGAAACCCCGTCTCTACTAAAAATACAAAAAAATTAGCCGGGCGTAGTGGCAGGTGCCTACAGCCCCAGCTACTCGGGAGGCTGGGGCAGGAGAATGGCGTGAACCTGGGAGGTGGAGCTTGCAGTGAGCCGAGATAGCGCCACAGCACTCCAGCCTGGGCGACAGTGTGAGACTCTTGTCTCAAAATGTATATTATTATATATAAAATTAAAATTAAAAAAATACTTTCTGATCATACACATTGCTTAGTTTTAAAAACTTATTATTTTCCCTTGTTTCTGTTGGTATTATAATAACACATTAAGTCTTCTGTAGTTAAATCTAATTTTCTTAGCTTCTATAATTAAGCCTAAGTTATCTTCATTTTTGTAGTTAGGGCCACAGTCTTGTCAAAATTGTCCAGTATTTATACTGTGGATCATAAAACTTAGGCTGGAAAGGCCTATAAGATCATAGAGTTCAACCCTAGCCCATCCCACATGCAGGACCCTGCCCTGGGCTCCTTCTCAGGCTTTCCCAGGGAAAGGGCATTTTTGATGTTGTTGGCAGCATGGCCGTGTGGCATAACTCTTGAAATTCTGGCTCCTTTATTTTTCCACTCTGGTCCTGGGTGTTTGCACAAGGTCAGCCTACTGCCTTGTGTACAGGATCCCTTCAGACATTCGCTGGCAGCACCAGGCACTTTGTCCAGGCATTCTCAAGCACCCAGGTCCTCCTGTTGCTCCTTGCGCAACTTCCTCTAGAGCTTACCTACCCTGCTCACCTGCCCCTCCAGCTACTTGTTTGGTGAGAATGTGGGTCACAGCTGCAGCTACATTTTCTGCAAAATGCCAATGAAATAATGAAAGGATCTGATACCTGCTTCATGGTAGATGCAGGCCTGTGTGGTTGAGACCTCCCAAGGCTGTCAGCGTGAGCACAGAGCCGCCTCCTGAACAGACGACTGACTTTGTTGGAAGTGTAAATGTAGAAGCTTTCTAATAGTTTCCTCCCTGGTCTGGGCACCAGAAATCATATTTAAAAGTTGGTGTTTGTGTAAGAAAATATCTTTATTTGGGGGAGGTACACTAGATGAATGACAGGATGCTGAGAGGGGACAGGTGGAGCAAGTGGGAAACGTTGGCGGTGGTTGAATCAGGGAATGGGTACATGGGAGTGCATGATCCTTTTCTCCCTGGTTTTGGAGATGTTTGAAAACTTTATATACCTATGAGTAAGACCTGAAACTAATCAAGGAGGGAAGACATTTGCTTGAGGCAGGCTGTCAGGGGAGCCTTCCTTACTGATCTGTAGCAGAGGCCGGGTTCCTCGGGGGAGATCAGTGTTGCTCACAGTCAGAACCGGCCACATGGAGAGGGGCTTCCACAGTACTCATGCAAGGTCAGGGAGCAGCACCCCAGTACCAGCACGGCCCAGTGGAGTCACTCACAGCAGTCACTGTGGACTCGCAAACGTTGTGAGAACTACTCATGTCTTACCTCCAGCTTTCCATTGTTTTCAGTATGACCCTCAATTTGGCGATGCCTTCTGGAACAGCAGCAAATACGGGATGGTGACGTACCTGCTGCGAATGATGACCAGCTGGGCCATTGTCTGCAGCGTGTGGTACCTGCCTCCCATGACTAGAGAGGTGAGTGCCTGCCCCAGGCAGGTCTGCGCCTGCTCTGTGTAACGTCAAGCCGGGGCTGAGTGGTCTCATTTGTTCTTTCTTACAGGCAGATGAAGATGCTGTCCAGTTTGCGAATAGGGTGAAATCTGCCATTGCCAGGCAGGGAGGACTTGTGGACCTGCTGTGGTAAGTTTAGAGCCAGGCCTTTTCAGCTGAGTTTCTGCAGCAGATGCTGTGTCATTGACTTCACTTACATGTCATTCCCCGTGGTGTGGAGAATTAAACTTGTCAGCTCTAGAGAGAGCAGTTTGACTCTCCCCGAATTCCAACCCAGAAGTGCCCTGTGCTTCCTTGACCTTGGGGAACCTGGATCAGGGATGCCTGGACTGAGGCAGTTGATTCTGTGTACCTTTCTGGGGTTTGAACCAGTCTTCCAGGACACCTGGACAGTGCCCATCTCTGGGTGGGCATGACCTGCTACTGATCTGAAAACTTCAAGAAGGAAGGAGGACTTTCCCAGGTCCCAGTGTATCTGGCAAAATTGAACCATTCTTAGAAAGGTAAAGGTTGTGTTTGGTGTATTCAGCTTGTTACCTAATAGAGCAGGATTGACATACTTTTTCTGTAGTCAGTAAATATTTTAGGATTTGCAGGCCATATGGTGTCTGTTGCAGCTACTGATGATCTCTGCCATTGTAGTGTGAAAACAGACAGTCTATAAACCAATGAGCATGGCTGTGTTCCAATAAAACTTTATTTACAAAAACAGGTATCAGCTGGATGTGGCCCGTGGGCTGCATTTGACCAGCCCTTATACTAGAGTATGAGGTAGTTTTATCCCAAACAGTAGGAGACTGACAGGGGTCAATGCTGGTTCAGAGAAAGTTTTCCACTCTGTGGGGCATTTAGGTTTAAGAGCCAAGGGTCAACTGGGGAGAGCATTTGACTTAGATGGGCATTATCTATGAGAAAAGAAAGGGTAGAAATTCACATTGTAAACCCAACTGTAGAGTCTCAGGGAATAGATTGGCTCTCAGATGATGGCCTTTTAAAAAATGCTAGTGTGGATTGTGCACTCACTGTGTGCCAGTCACTGAGCTGCTGGGGCCCTGTGTGATCGTCTCTTTCGCCCTCACAGTAGCCGCAGCGCTGTAAACAGTGTTCCCATTTTGCAGATGAGAAACTGAGACTCAAATCACTTTTTTCCAAAGTCATAACATTAGCACTGGAGCTAGATTTTGAACCCACATCTCACAGACTTTTAGAGCTTGAAGGTTTAACTTCTGCCCCATGTTCCCATCTCTGAAGTTTAACAAAGACAGAGTGGCTGCTTTTAAAATCTATGCCTTTGCTATGGATTTTAAAGGGTGTAGCGGAGAGACTGAAAGCGGGCTTGGATTTTTATAAGTTGTTGAAGGTGGTGATAATTCTAGAGTGTAGGCACGGAGGGGGCCAGCAGGCAAGAGGCAATGGGACTGTAATGAAACAATCCCAAGTCTGGTGGGTTGGTTTGGGGCTGCTGCAGGGAGGCACGGGGGCAGTGAGGCTGGAACTCTGAGAGGCAGCCCCGGAGGTAAACCTCCATTCCTGACGGCACTCTTTTTTTGAGCATGGAAGAAGTCAGAACACGCGTTACCCCTTGTGTTAGCTCTCTGCATGAGTTCAGAGTATCCCTGGGTCTGAATTAAACAAATGACATTTTACAGATAGATTTTACAGATACGTTATGAGTCGATATTTCTTAAAGCATGTCTACCTTCCATAATGCCAGAATTCCTCCTTTTCCTTTGTGAGGTGAAGATGAATGTTAGAGTAGAAAGAATTGTAAACTCCTTGGTAGGTTTAAGCAGTTATCAAGTACCTTGAATGTGAGTAGTAAATTCTCACCCAAGGGCAAGGGTAGACCTTTTGAGATAGAAAGGGTGGATATTGGGATCCCGGAGCCCCAAATCCCCTGAGGTTGTCTTGGTGAGAGTGCCACGGGGTACCCTGTTTCTGGCAGGTTTTTCTTGGTGTTTGGGCAGCATGGTGCATCTCCCATGGTGTGAGCGTGGCTGGGAGCCCTCTTGGCTGTTACTACATCCAGCCTTTGTCTCTCCAGGGATGGGGGCCTGAAGAGGGAGAAGGTGAAGGACACGTTCAAGGAGGAGCAGCAGAAGCTGTACAGCAAGATGATCGTGGGGAACCACAAGGACAGGAGCCGCTCCTGAGCCTGCCTCCAGCTGGCTGGGGCCACCGTGCGGGGTGCCAACGGGCTCAGAGCTGGAGTTGCCGCCGCCGCCCCCACTGCTGTGTCCTTTCCAGACTCCAGGGCTCCCCGGGCTGCTCTGGATCCCAGGACTCCGGCTTTCGCCGAGCCGCAGCGGGATCCCTGTGCACCCGGCGCAGCCTACCCTTGGTGGTCTAAACGGATGCTGCTGGGTGTTGCGACCCAGGACGAGATGCCTTGTTTCTTTTACAATAAGTCGTTGGAGGAATGCCATTAAAGTGAACTCCCCACCTTTGCACGCTGTGCGGGCTGAGTGGTTGGGGAGATGTGGCCATGGTCTTGTGCTAGAGATGGCGGTACAAGAGTCTGTTATGCAAGCCCGTGTGCCAGGGATGTGCTGGGGGCGGCCACCCGCTCTCCAGGAAAGGCACAGCTGAGGCACTGTGGCTGGCTTCGGCCTCAACATCGCCCCCAGCCTTGGAGCTCTGCAGACATGATAGGAAGGAAACTGTCATCTGCAGGGGCTTTCAGCAAAATGAAGGGTTAGATTTTTATGCTGCTGCTGATGGGGTTACTAAAGGGAGGGGAAGAGGCCAGGTGGGCCGCTGACTGGGCCATGGGGAGAACGTGTGTTCGTACTCCAGGCTAACCCTGAACTCCCCATGTGATGCGCGCTTTGTTGAATGTGTGTCTCGGTTTCCCCATCTGTAATATGAGTCGGGGGGAATGGTGGTGATTCCTACCTCACAGGGCTGTTGTGGGGATTAAAGTGCTGCGGGTGAGTGAAGGACACATCACGTTCAGTGTTTCAAGTACAGGCCCACAAAACGGGGCACGGCAGGCCTGAGCTCAGAGCTGCTGCACTGGGCTTTGGATTTGTTCTTGTGAGTAAATAAAACTGGCTGGTGAATGAACTGGGGGACTTCTCCCTTTACTTTCTCCCCTGGCTGTGGCCCTGAGTAGCAGGCTTCTCGTGAGGATTCCCGTTCTCTTCTGGGAGCATGGCCCTGGGGCTGCGGAGAAGCCAACTGACTGCTGGAGCGAGGAACCCTGCAGCTCAGAAGGTGAACAGCTCGTCTCAGATGCTTGCAGATCTTTGGTTAATTTAGAATTTCCAGCACAGACGTGGATTTCTCCAGAGACGGGGTGTGTGCGGGTCGCTGATGTGAGGCCTAGGGGAAGCAATGAGTAAACTCCAGGGTGGGGGAGGAGCAAGGGCCCGGGGAGGGCTGCAGAGGGGCCGGGGCGGGGCAGGGCCTGTGCTGCATGGTGGCTTCTGCAGGGGAGGGACAGGGGAGGGCTGCAGAGGGGCAGGGTGGGCAGGGCATGTGCTGCATGGCAGCTTCTGCACAGCCAGAGCAGGCACCACAGGAAAAGAGTCGGCCACTGGTGCCTGCTGTACAGTCACAGTGGAGGCAGAGCCAAGGCCAAGCAGCCCCTGTGGGTTCTGGGGTTTCACCAGTTTCATGCTCCTCAGCTCCCCATTCATGCCCCACCAGCCCTCACTTGGGACCCATGCTCCCTCGTGGCACAGTCATGATGCCTCTCAGGATTTTGTGCCTGTGGTGCTGAGTGTCACGTCCCCAAGGTCGCCCTCTGGCCTGCAGTTCAGGGAGTGGGTGGGAGTGAAGCTGTGCTCCTGGGGCTGCAGACAGATCCACTTTGCATGTGGTACCTGCTGGGTTGGCCCTGCAATCTCCTTTTCTCTGCACCTACCTGTGACCTCCCTGGGAGAGCCTCCCATTTCCTCACCTGCCCTGTTGCCAGCCCGGGGGAAATCTTTTTGCTCTCAAATGAAGACTGAAAAAATAAAGTCAGTGTTATGACTAATAAGTCTCTTAGGAACTGTTTTACAAAATGCTTAAGAATAAAAAGTGATTTTCAGCTTTTATAGGTGATGTTTACAGTGTTTGTAAACCAACTGGAGGGATCAGTAATTGGTCTTAAAAGATCAGGTTCTCTTTTAAAAAGTTCATCTGAAACTTTATGGTTTGTTACTTTCGTGATTTGCATAGGTATTTATATATACACACACACACAGGTTTTGCTTTTGTCTCACATTCAGCACAGCTGTCTGCGGCCCCTGCCGGCAGGTGTGGCCGCACCTGGTGTGAAGTCACGTGGAGTCAGTGCTGTGGAGGGAAGTCCTGTGCGGGCCGGGCAGTGAGGAGAGCACTGATTCACGCCTGCAGAAACGTAACCTCCCCTTTCCGTGTATGCCTTTTACCATCATCCAGGCGACTGCTCCATCCTTTTAAATTAGGGGTCCTGCAAGCCCCAAGTGACCCATAGTCAGAGTATCTGGTTTGGGGTAACCGAGTTGGTCTTATGGGGCAAAAACTCAAGACACTTAGAAACATGCAAAGTACAAAATAATGTGTTCCCTCCTGTTACCCCAGCAAGGGTGGGGCTGAGCTGGGAATGACACCCAGTGGTGTAATGAGTGGAAAGTGCTGGTCAGCTGCTAACCCCCCTCCAAGCCTGCTGCACCTTCACTTCTCTGCATCCGTCTCCTGAGTCATAACTAGGGACTTGGCTAGATGACCTCAGAGACCTCGTCCACCTCTGAATTCTCTGTTTTTAAGCCCATAGTTCAAACTTTGGCTTTGATCTCTGAAGTCTTCTGGGTTTGGAAATACGGGAAGTCAGCTTTGAATCCATTGCTTCTCTAAAACATCAGGGCTAGTGGAACTAACCCACTTGAGGGTGACCTCAAGGGCTTTAGGCAGCCATGGGGCTGGGGCCATACTGCTCTCAGGCTGGGCAGTATCTTCATTGTGGTTCTCAGACAGCCTTTTTTACTCAAACATGAGACTTTCCACCCACCAGTTAGGGAACTTTTTTTTTTTTTTTAAACACGGAGTTTCACTCTTGTTGCCCATGCTGGAGTGCAATGGCACAATCTCAGCTCCACTGCAACCTCTACCTCCCGGGTTCAAGTGATTCTTCTGCCTCAGCCTCCAAGTAGCTGAGATTACAGGCATGCACCACCACACCCAGCTAATTTTTTGTATTTAGTAGAGACTGGGTTTCACCATGTTGGTCAGGCTGGTCTCCAACTCCTGACCTCAGGTGATCCACTCTCCTTGGCCTCCCAAAGTTCTGGGATTACAGGCGTGAGCCACTGCGCCCAGCCAAGAGGGAACTTTTTAATAAAGCTAGTGGGATTCCCTTGACAGCAGAACCAGCCTTGGGACTTGATGCTTCACCGTGTCAGAATCCGTCCCTGGTGCTGCCTTTCAGAGAAGAGGCTTGATGTGTGAGGGGTCAGGGGGAGTGCTCCAGATCCCTGAAATGCCCTTCCCAGACCAGTGACAGGCATTTTTGGGTGCCATCGTGTGACCTTCACGGCACAGCAAACAGTGGGCACTAACCCTGTTGTCCTGTGGAAATCTGGGTCTCTGAATCCTGCCATTTCCTTCCTGGAATTGGCCAGGAACTTGATTTTCTGGGCTATTGCTTGCTAGTGTCCCCTGATGCATGAAGGATCCCCCCATGTCATAGGTCCCACCTGCCTGCTGTGCATCCCGGGTGGCCAGACTCGGCTTCTCCAGGTGCACTTGTCCCAGGTGGCCCGGTCCGTAGGCTGGAAGGGCAGCTGCAGGTGCACTGCCTCGCGGACAGGTTAGGATATGGCCACGCAGCCATCCATCTTCTACAGCACGCACACCCCACTCTCTCCCCCAGTCAATATGTCTCTCTCCGATGGGAAAGTTAATAAATTTTGCTCTAGATTAAAAGTATTGATCATTTCATTTGTAAACGATAAATAAAAAGGGGGAACTTTTCATTGCGCCAGGGGTGGCACCTGGCGTGTGTTGCGGGGGTGATTGCGCTGGCTGCCGGGGGGTGGGCTTCTCATATGCATTCTGGCCGGCCAGCTGCATTGATTTCCTATTAGTCTCCCAGCACCACCCAGTAACACATCATTTCAGTACCTGCTATTAATGGTCTTTTGATAAATAATCACTTGTAAGTCAATAAATTTTTATTAAACAGTGTGGCTCTTTGATTTATTAAAATCCGACCGTGTTTGTCTGGGAGAAAAGGGATGCCGAATTGAAGTGGAGGTTTTCATACATCTTCCTGACGCGGAGCAGTCACCACACACTCCAGAGAAAAACAATTGCATTTTAACAGAAACAAAACGGCCGAGTTTGGAACTTGGGCCCAGGCAAACTTTATCTCCGTCAGCCTGAGGCTTACTCTGCAGGGATCAGCTGCAGGCTGGAGGGCGCCGAGTTGAGAACTTTGTGTTGGCCTCCAAGAGTGCCCAGGTGCCAGGGCTGGATGCCTCTGCTGGGCTGCGTTCTGAGATGGCACGTACCGGCCCTCTCCCAGCTGGGGATGCACCCTGGGGCAGGCACCCTTTGTCAGCAGACATCTGTCATCAACAAGAGAAGCTCGTGTGGCAGGACCCTTTAGCTTCCTTCCTGGCCAAATCGCCACCAGAGTCACCTGTGGCAGGAAGATGTGGCAGGAGACAGTCTTTTGCAGCAATCGGGCTGTGTGGATTATTTCTTACAGTGTGGGCCAATAGCTGAAGACTGGAAATGCCTTTTTGTGAGATTTTCATTGGCATAGAGTTTGCTGTAAAGAGTTTGGCACTTTATCGAGACAAATATGGCCCCAAACAGATGGTCTTACATAGATCAACCCAACCACTGACGATACAACCAGAATTCTTACCCAGGGGAAGTTGTAGGAAAGGGAAAACACTTTTTTTTTTATTGATCATTCTTGGGTGTTTCTTGCAGAGGGGGATTTGGCAGGGTCATAGGACAATAGTGGAGGGAAGGTCAGCAGATAAACAAGTGAACGAAGGTCTCTGGTTTTCCTAGGCAGAGGACCCTGCGGCCTTCCGCAGTGTTTGTGTCCCTGGGTACTTGAGATTAGGGAGTGGTGATGACTCTTAATGAGCATGCTGCCTTCGAGCATCTGTTTAACAAAGCACATCTTGCACTGCCCTTAATCCATTTAACCCTGAGTGGACACAGCACATGTTTCAGGGAGCACAGGGTTGGGGGTAAGGTCACAGATCAACAGGATCCCAAGGCAGAAGAATTTTTCTTAGTACAGAACAAAATGAAAAGTCTCCCATGTCTACTTCTTTCTACACAGACACGGCAACCATCCGATTTCTCAATCTTTTCCCCACCTTTCCCCCCTTTCTATTCCACAAAACCGCCATTGTCATCCTGGCCCGTTCTCAATGAGCTGTTGGGTACACCTCCCAGACGGGGTGGTGGCCGGGCAGAGGGGCTCCTCACTTCCCAGTAGGGGCGGCCAGGCAGAGGCGCCCCTCACCTCCTGGACGGGGCGGCTGGCCGGGCGGGGGGCTGACCCCCCCACCTCCCTCCCGGACGGGGCGGCTGGCCGGGCGGGGGGCTGACCCCCCCCAACCTCCCTCCCGGACGGGGCGGCTGGCCGGGCGGGGGGCTGACCCCCCCCCCAACCTCCCTCCCGGACGGGGTGGCTGCCGGGCGGAGGGGCTCCTCACTTCTCAGACGGGGCGGTTGCCAGGCAGAGGGTCTCCTCACTTCTCAGACGGGGCGGCCGGGCAGAGACGCTCCTCACCTCCCAGACGGGGTCGCGGCCGGGCAGAGGCGCTCCTCACATCCCAGACGGGGCGGTGGGGCAGAGGCACTCCCCACATCTCAGACGATGGGCGGCCGGGCAGAGACGCTCCTCACTTCCTAGATGTGATGGCGGCCGGGAAGAGGTGCTCCTCACTTCCTAGATGGGATGGCGGCTGGGCAGAGACGCTCCTCACTTTCCAGACTGGGCAGCCAGGCAGAGGGGCTCCTCACATCCCAGACGATGGGCAGCCAGGCAGAGACGCTCCTCACTTCCCAGACGGGTTGGCAGCCGGGCAGAGGCTGCAATCTCGGCACTTTGGGAGGCCAAGGCAGGCGGCTGGGAGGTGGAGGTTGTAGCGAGCCGAGATCACGCCACTGCACTCCAGCCTGGGCACCATTGAGCACTGAGTGAACGAGACTCCGTCTGCAATCCCGGCACCTCGGGAGGCCGAGGCTGGCGGATCACTCGCGGTTAGGAGCTGGAGACCGGCCCGGCCAACACAGCGAAATCCCGTCTCCACCAAAAAAATACGAAAACCAGTCAGGTGTGGTGGTGCGTGCCTGCAATCGCAGGCACTCGGCAGGCTGAGGCAGGAGAATCAGGCAGGGAGGTTGCAGTGAGCCGAGATGGCAGCAGTACAGTCCAGCTTTGGCTCGGCATCAGAGGGAGACCGTAGAAAGAGAGGGAGAGGGAGACCGTGGGGAGAGGGAGAGGGAGAGGGAGAGGGGGAGCGGGAGGGGGAAAACACTTTCTAGTGTTTCTAGTAAACGTTTTTATTAAAGCAAATAGTTGGAACACCTTCTTCTTGACCCTCCCTCGTCCAGGCTGCTGCTGCGGACTTCCCATTCATGCTTAGTGTGGCAGGTAGGAACACACAAGGGCTTTTGACAGCAGGACTCTCAGTAAGAAGTGTGGCTGCAGGCCCTAGTGCGCTCCAACCTACTGCAGGCCTTCTCTGGGGTTGTTAGGATTTCCTTCTCTCTCCTGGTCTCAGGGGACCTTGAAGGCGGTTAGGAAGCTGGACGGCAGAAAACAAACAGGTATGAATGTCCCGCAGAGCAGGCAAATGCTAGTAGAGTGGTTTTCAGGAGTGTGGTCCAGGCTGTGCCCATGTGCAGGAGGCTGGTCAAGGACCTAGTTTCTCTTCCAAGGACTTCCAGCCCCGCCCCCAGGAATGTGCCAGGCTGGCCAGCGAAGCCGGAGGACACCATGGTTGTGGATTCCCAGCACACGGGGAACTGTAGGAGCACCTGGCATTTTACACATAGAGACTTCAAGTCCACTTTCAGGGTTAAGCAGGACACTTCTGAAACGCTTCACTGGGGGCTTCCCTCTAGCCTGCGCTGGCTCCCCGACACCTCACTTCCTGTGCCCACACCCATCCCACTGCACTGTTAGGAGCACTTTGCTGGGGAGGCTGAAGAACCATCTCAGGCTTTCTCGTACTCCATGAGGTTACTTCCTATGCAGGAGTCAAATACATTAAACTGGGAAAGGAATGGCTCTTGCTTGTCAGCTGCCATTACAGCTGCTGATGGGGATCAGGGAGTGAGGTTGGCTAAAGGCAGGACAAGGGGCATTTGGGCCATCACCCGGCAGGTACCTGTACCACCTGTTGATGTCACCAGCAGGAAGCCACAGCAAGGGGGATGTCAGGAGGCTCTGTCTGCCTTTAGAGTAAGAAAGGAGAACTGGTAATTCCAAGAGTAGCCATGACCGCACTCCCTTCCCTTGAACCCACAGGTCCCAAAATGCATTTTTTGGGTTTTCTTTGGGGTTTTTTGTTGTTGTTGTTGTTGTTTTTTGAGGCAGAGTCTTGCTCTGTCACCCAAGCTGGAGTGCAATGGCATGATCTCAGCTCACTGCAACCTCTGCCTCCCAGGTTCAAGCAATTCTCCTGCCTCAGCCTCCTGAGTAGCTGGTATTACAGGGCACGTGCCACCATGCCTGGCTAATTTTTGTATTTTTTAGTAGAGACAGGGTTTCACCATGTTGGTCAGGCTGGTCTTGAACCCCTGACCAGGATTACAGGCATGAGCCACCGCGCCCGGCCCAGTTGTTGTTTTAAGAGACAAGGTCTCACTCTGTTGCCCAGGCTGGAGTGCAGTGGTGTGATCATGTTCATGGCTCACTACAGCCTGGGCTCCTGGGTTCAAGCAATCCTCCTGCCTCAGCCTCCCAAGTAACTGGGACTACAGGCGCACCACCACACTGAGCTAATTTTTAAAAATTTTTATAAAGGCAGGGTCTCACTATTTTGCCCAGGTTGATGTTGAACTCCTGGCCTCAAGCAATCTTCCTTTCTTGGCCTCCCAAAGTGCTGGGATTACAGGTGTGACACACCTTGCCCAGGTGACGAAAATGCACTTTCAGTGCATTTGAACCCCTCCATATGCACAGACTCAGCTCTGGATGGCTGGATGTGAGATCAAGAGGTTAACTGGTGCCTTTCCTTCTGATTCATCCAGAGTCCTAGGCAGATGTTCGGAGGCTCCCTCTGCACCCTCTTGCCCTGTGTTCCAAATACAGACAAACACCTTGCTCCTCCCTGCTGAGGAGTCAGGGCTGGGTGGGGGGCACGGAGGCCCTGCTCAGCCTCTGCAGGAGAGGCTGGAAAGAGAGGCTGGGAGGGCCCAGCCTGGGGCCGGGGTCCCGGTTCCTGCTGCTCGGCGTGGGCTTGGGGAAGGGCTGTGCATACGCAGATTGATCCGCCAGCTGTGATTTGTCATTTCTCCCAGGCAGGCGCTGTTTTCTCTTGGTTCAGGAGGCCCCTTCGACACCTGCTTTATTTTTCTTCCTGCGCTGACGTGACGGGAGACAGGTGTTAAACTACTTAATCACTTTAAAATTGTTTTAATTTTCTGTTTTTTATTGATCTCTCCAGCACCAATTAATCAGCTCACTGGACCAGGCAGTTAGTACATTAAAAATTGTCAGGGAGGCCGTGCATCTTGCAAAATGTCTAAAAAATATTCGGCTGGCAAATTTTGCTTTTCTTTGGCATGCAACAGTCCGTGGCCCATGAAACTCCCACTCAGAAAAGGCCTCTGCCTCCGGGACTCGTGTGCAGGGAGTATTCAGGCCACTGCAGGAGCTCTGGCCAGGGGCTTCTGGTAGGGCAACACTGGACGCAGGTGCCTGGCTCATCAGTGATTTGCCACCTTTCCTTCCACTTTTGTTCTGTTTCTTACACATCCTGGGTCTGATTTCCCCAAGGACTTTGGGAGTTTTTGTGGAAGGGGACTTGACAGTCTGTAACTGCCCCGTGAGGCCAGGACAGAGGGTCTAAAGCAACTGTCCATTTCCACAAAATCTCCCAACATCCGGCCCCTGAGCCCACAGCCAGATTTCCCCTCCCTGGGACATGAGCACTTTTGACTTGTCCTTCTGACAATGCCAAAACCACCTCCCTGGGGCAGGGGACCCCTATGCTGGGTACACTCCGTCTGCTGGCGGGCAGCGGTTGTGTCATGCTGCCTCTTCCCCGGCACCCAGTGATGGGCCTGAAGCCCTTCCACAGAATGTCCTGGGCAGCGCCACTCCACACCCACTGTCACTGTCACTGGCTCCTGTGCTGCAAGCCTTCACTGCCTGTCTTTTGTCACCCCTCTGGAAAATGATTTATTAACTACTTGGCTGTACTTCTCATTCAATAAAATATGGATGGAACAACCAGAGACTTCAACCTCACTTCTTGGGGTGAGAACTGTGTTTTCCAGTTTTCCCATGTTCGCCTAGTTTCCTATGACTTTCCAAGAGCAAGCCTCTTATTTCTTCTGGGGTGCTTTAACCATCCCGCAGACTGTCCGCAGGGTCTGGGTCACCCGCTTCTTCCTGGGAGCACCACCCTCCCACAGCAGCCCTTGTTCCCCTACCCCTGTCTGCAGGCCCAGTGGGCCCCGTGCAGATGGACATTTCCTCCCCTCCTCCATGCTTCCGGCTCACGGGGCTCCGCAGAGAGCTAAGCCCAGGCCCTTGAGACTCAGGGGTCCCAGTCCCTACTGAGAAGGGCTGCCCCCGGCCCCCCACCCCACATTCTGGAAAGTTGGAGGGCGTGGGCCTCGGGGGCCGGCACAGCCAGCCCTGGTTCTGGCCATGGACTTATCTCCCTCACCCCACCCTCTGGTATTAATTGGTATATGATTGGGCCGGGACATATAATCTAGTATTGATTTTCTCTCTGGACGCCACAGTTTTATTTGCTCACATCTGCCTTGTGTTTAATTGGTGCTTTGCTCTGGAAACAGAGATCTTATCGGCCTGCTGGGTTTCTTTTCCTGGGGCACACAGGCACGCACAGTCCCAACCCTGCCTCAGGCACGCACAGTCCCAACCCTGCCTCTCCCGGACCCTCCCACAGCCAGGCCTGCCCAGGCTTAAGGGGATGGCGGGGAATGACCCAGGGGGTTTGCTTTACTCTTGACCTCCCGAGCTGGGGCTGATCCTTCCTGGAGTGAATGTGTGTGTGTCTGCGATGATCACTGGGGAACGCTGGCTTTGGGTGGGGCCTGGGTTCATACCCGCTTCCTCCATGTATGTCTTCGCGGCTGGCATCTTGAGTTTTTCGGCACAGTAATATCTCTTCCTTATCTGAGAGAAAGGTAGAATGGATACCTGCTCTGTAGGACTCCTGGAGATTACCTTTCAGGCCCCATACAGCACCTGGCACTTAGTAGGCGTAATGAACAGCAGCTCCTTTGTCACTTGCCTGGTCCCACTCAGCCCATGCAGCTCTGTCAGAGGCCTGTGAACCAGAGCAACTCCATCTTGAATAGGAGCTGGGTAAAATGAGGCTGAGACCTGCTGGGCTGCATTCCCAGGAGGTTAAGGCATTCTTAGTCGCAGGATGAGTTAGAAGGTCAGCACAAGATACAGCTCATAAAGACCTTGCTGATAAAACAGGTTGCAGTAAGGAAGCCCGCCAAAACCCACCAAAACCAAGATGGTGACGAGAGTGACCTTTGGTTGTCCTCACTGCTACACTCCCACCAGTGCCATGACAGTTTACAAATACCATGGCAATGTCAGGGAGTTACCCTATGTGGTCTAAAAGGGGAGGCATGAATAATCCATCCCTTGTTTAGCATATCATCAAAAATAACCATAAAAATGGGCAACCGGTAGCTGTCGGGGCTGCTCTGTCCATGGAGTAGCCATTCTGTTATTCCTCTACTTTTTTTTTTTTTTTGAGACAGAGTCTCGCTCTGTCGCCAGTCTGGGGTGCAGTGGTGCGATCTCGGCTCACTGTACCATCTGCCTCCCAGGTTCAAGCAATTCTCATGCCTCAGCCTCCTGAGTAGCTGGAACAATAGGCACCTGCCATGACATCCAGCTAATTTTTGTATTTTTAGTAGAGACGGGGTTTCACCATGTTGGCCGGGCTGGTCCTGAACTCCTGACCTCAAGTGATCCACCTGCCTTGGCCTCACAAAGAGCTGAGATTATAGGCGTGAGCCACCGGGGCCGGCCTGATTCCTCTACTTTCTTGATAAACTTGCTTTCACTTTACTGTATGGACTCACCCTGAATTCTTTCTTGTGAGAGATCCAAGAGCCCTCTCTTGGGGTCTGGATCGGGACCCCTTTCCTGTAACAGTTCCATGTAACTGCAGGCATGGAGGGAGAGAGCCACAGGCATGTGCATTGGAAAGGCGGTATCTCCCACTGACACCTCTGTTTGTAGGGCTGGGCTGGGGGTATCATGTCCTCCTAGGGACCCACAATCCAATGACAGCCTCTGACCCCAAGGCCCTGTGGTCACCACCCCCCGCCGCCTTGTCTGAGGTTGAGGGCTTTTGTCCTCTGCACCCAAGAGCTCACCCTCAGGAGGGGCTTTCCTGCCCCTGCCCTCCCAGCTCCACCACACCCCGGCCCCTGCATGTTGGGTTTTTGTTTTTCCCTTGTCTGGCACTGGGGCTGTTCGGCCCTGCCTGGGCTTTTTGTAGCAAAGGGAAGAGAGAAAGGCTGGGGTAAACACTGATTTCCTATTGACACAACATTAATTCTCTTGCTCGGACAGGTGAATGTGCTTTCACTCACTTTACCAAGATTAATGATACTTGTTTGCTTGCTAAGAGAGGCCTAATGAGGGGCTTTGGAACACATGCCTTCTGGGCTGGCGGAGGGAAGGAGGCTGCAGGCTGCTGGACTTGGGAAGAGAAGCAGCCTCCCCATGCTGCTTCCAACACCACGGCTCCTCCTTGGGCACTGGTGCCTTTCCCTAGCGGCAACAGGATCAAGGAGTTATTGGATAAAGAATGTGGGCTCTTTGTGTCCTGCCCCTGGGGTTATTTCTGACAAGGAGAACTTCTCAACAGACCTGCAAATGGGGTCCCTAGTCAGTCCGCCCCTACCCCTGCCCCTACCCCTACCCCTGCCAGTCACCAGAAGCTCTCCTCCTACCTGTGCAAACCATAACTTCCCTCCATTTGTGCCCAAGGCCAAGGTCAAATATAGGATCAGTCTTTGCTTTATGGCTCTGAAGAGTAAAAAATAGTATCGGAGAGGACAAGCTGGGGCTTCTGAGGTGGGACAGCTGGCAGAGGAGCATTGGTTCCATGAAGGATGCCCGTGACTTTAAGGGAGGGGACTCCTGGGCCTGTGAGTGATGTGGCAATAAGACTGGATCAGAGCCGTTTCTGCCTTGTGACTTTGTAGGTTCAGCACAGCTTGAATAAGAAGTCCTACAGCCTCTCTTCTCAGCAAAACAGCCGGGGGCAGATCACGAAAGCGGGTGCAGGGGTGGAGTCGTTCCAGTCTCAGGCTGTTCCAGATTCAGGGACTGCTAGGATCTCCTGAGGACCCCCTCACCTGGTGGGAGGCAGACCAGGCCATGCCACAAGCAGCCAGATGCAGCAGGCCTCCACCGAACAGAAGCACCAGCTCTCAGGCAGAGCCATGCTAGAATTGTAAGGCCAGCGTTGCCTTCTTTCCAGCACTGAGCAGCAGCAATTTAGCAAATTCTGCTAAAGCAGGGTCTCTTGAGAAAATAAATAAATACAATCTTAAACCCCAAGAGCCTACGGAGGTTTTCTTCCATAAGACCTTCTGCAGGCATTGCGCGGCAGGACACCTGGACCTGTCATTGCTCTGTCTTTCACCCTTGCCACCTTTCTGGGTCATTCGTATCTTTGTCATCTGGGGAAGAAGGAAAAACCACAGAAATCAATTAGGTCATATGTGGACAACTCCATAGAGGGCAGGGAGAACCAAAACATATGGATTTAAATCAAATTGGGCTTTAAAAATCACTCTTTCCCAGGAGGGAGAGCATTAGGACAAATACCTAATGCATGCAGGGCTTAAAACCTAGATGACAGGTTGATAGGTGCAGCAAACCACCTTGGCACATGTATACCTATGTAACAAACCTGCACGTTCAGCACATGTGTCCCAGAACTTAAATTTTTTTTTAAAAAATCACTGTTTCTGACATGCCTCCGTCGCCAGTCCCTGAGGCCCTTGTTAACCAGACAGGTTCCTTGGCTGCCCCTCCCCTCCCCTCCCCTCCCACCTCCCACTGGGTCCGAATATCCCTGCTGGCTCTGGGGTCTACGTGTCTGACCAGTCCTGTCATCAGGCGGGTTGGGAAGCTGCCTACATGAACATTGCTTGCTGTGGGGTATCTGCTCCATCCAGGAATACTGGCAGCTAGCTATAAAACAGCAGGAACCACTCCAGTAAACATGATGCTTGCTGTGAAAATGAACTGGAACACATTTGATCAGTGTGCCTTTGGTTAGAGGATGTCCTCTCATCTTCTTGTGTCCACTGTAGCTTGGAATTTCAGGCTTTTATACACCTGGGGAGCGGACACAGATCTGGATGAAAGCTGGAAGGCAGGGTGTCAGCCCCAGGCCTCACGCTTACTAGAGTTCTGGCCTCAGACAAGTCTTCTCAGCACTGCATGCCTCAGTGTTCTCATCTGCAAATTGGGAATAAAACTGGATGGTCAGTTGGAGAATTACAAGAAATAATGTTCAAGAATGCAATCCCTATCAAAATTTCAATGTCATTTTTCATAGAAATAGAAAAAACAATCCTAAAATTCACATGGAACCACAAGAAATCCTGAATAGCCAAGGCAATCACGAGCAAAAAGAGCAAAGCTGGAAGCATCACATTACCTGACTTCAAACCATACTACAAAGCTATAGTAATCAAAACAGCATGGTACTGGCATAAAAATAGAAGCACTGAACAATGGAACTGAGTAGAGCCCAGATATGATCCCACACATTTATGGGCAACTAATTTTTTTTTTTGAGACACAGTTTCACTCTGTCTCCCAGGCTGGAGTGCAGTGGCACAAACTTGGCTCACTGCAACCTCTGCCTCCTGGGTTCAAGTGATTCTCCTGCCTCACCCTCCCAAGTAGCTGGGAATACAGGCACCCACCACCACGTCCAGCTAATTTTTGCATTTTTAGTAGAGACAGGATTTTGCCATGTTGGCCAGGCTGGTCTCAAACTCCTGACCTCAAGTGATCTGCCCACCTTGGCCTCCCAAAGTGCTGAGATTACAGGTGTGAGCCATCATGCTCAGCCTGATTTTTTTATGAAGATGCCAAGAACACACAATGGGGGAAGCATTTATCTCCAAAAAATAGCGTTGGGAAAACTGGATATCCACATGCAGAAGAGTGAAATGAAATTCTTATCTCTCATCACATACAAAAATCAACTCACATTGAATTAAAGGCTTAAATGTAAAACCAGAAACTCTAAAACTTCTAAAAGAAAACATAAGGGAAAAACTGCACAACATTGGTCTGGACAATGATATTTTGGCTTTGATCCCAAAAGCACAGACAACAAAAGCAAAAGTAGACAAATGGGGTCATATCAAATGAAAAAGCTTCTGCACAGCAAAGGAAATGATGACGAGAGTAAGAATCCAACTTACAGACTGGGACAAAAAAATTGCAAATAGGCCAGGCGTGGTGGCTCATGCCTGTAATCCCAGCACTTCGGGAGGCCGAAGCAGGTGGATCACCTGAGGTCAGGAGTTTGAGACCAGTCTGGCCAACATGGTGAAACCCCTTCTCTACTAAAAATACAAAAATTAGCCAGGTATGGTGGCTTGTGTCTGTAGTCCCAGCTACTCGGGAGGCTGAGGCAGGAGAATCGCTTGAACCCAGGAGGTGGAGGTTGCAGTGAGCCGAGATGGTGCCACTGCACTCCAGCCTGTGTGACAGAGCAAGACTTCATCTCTAAATAAATAAATAGATAAAATAAAATAAATTTGCACATTATACATCTAGTGAAGGGCTATCCAAGATAGATAAAGAACTCAAACAGAAGGCCGGGCGCGGTGGCTCATGCCTGTAATACCAGCACTTTGGGAGGCTGAGGCAGGTGGATCACCTGAGGTCAGGAGTTTGAGACCAGCCTGGCCAATACGGTGAAACCCATCTCTACTAAAAATACAAAAATTAGACGGGCATAGTGGCGGGTGCCTGTAGTCCCAGCTACTCGGGAGGCTGAGGCAGGAGAATTGCTTGAGCCTGGGAGGCAGAGGTTGCAGTGAGCTGAGATTGCACCACTGCACTCTGGCCTGGGTGACAGAACGAGACTCTGTCTCAGGAAACAAAACAAAACAAAAACCCCCAAAACAAATCAAACACTTCGATAGCAAGAAAACAAATAACCCAATTAAAAAATGGGCCTGGGACGTGAATAGACATTTCTGAAAATAAGACATACAAATGACCAACAGACATGAAAAAACAATGCTCCACCTCACTAATCATTAGGGAATGCAAATTAAAACCACAATGAGCTATCGCCTCGCACCTGTCAGAATGACTGTTATCAAAAATGCAAGTGTTGTTGAGGATGTGAAGTAAAGAAAACCCTTGCCTGCTCTTGGTAGGAATGTAAATTAGATTAGCTATTGTGGAAAACAGCATGGAGATTCCTAAAACTAAAACCAGAGCTTCCATATGATCCAGCAGTCCCCTACTAGGAAAGGAAATCAATATATCAAAGAGATACCTGCACTCCCATGTTTATTGCAGCACTATTCACAATGACCAAGATTTGGAATCAACTTGTGTCCATCATAGATGAGTAGATAAGGAAAATGTGGTATATGTCATCATGGAATATTATTCGGTGTTAAAAAAGAAGGAAATCCTGTCATTTGCGACATCGTGGATGGAATCGAAGAACATTATGCTAAGTAAAATAAATCAATCACAGGACAAATACCACATGTTCTCACTCATATGTGGCGTCTCAGACAATTGAATTCATAGAAGCAGAGAGTAGAGTGGTAAGTACAGAGACCAAGGGTTGGGAGAGTGGGGAGATGATGGTCAGAGGGCACACAATTAGACAAGAAAAATGAGTTTGTTTGTTTGTTTGTTTTTGAGACAGAGTCTCACTTTTGTCACCAGGCTGGAGCTCACTGCAACCTCCACCTCCCAGGTTCAAGTGATTCTCCTGCCTCAGCCTCCTGAGTAGCTGGTACTACAGGTGTGCACTACCACACCCAGATAATTTTTTGTATTTTCAGTAGAGACAGGGTTTCACCGTGTTAGCCAGGATGGTCTCAATCTCCTGACCTCGTGATCTGCCTGCCTCAGCCTCCCAAAGTGCTGGGATTACAGGCATGAGCCACCGCGCCCGGCCAGGAAGGTCTCAATCTCCTGACCTCGTGATCTGCCTGCCTCAGCCTCCCAAAGTGCTGGGATTACAGGCATGAGCCACCGCGCCCGGCCAGGAATGAGGTTTTATTTGAGCTCTATTGCACAGTGTAGTGAATATAGTTAATAATAGTGTATTGTACATTTAAAAACTGCAAGGAGACTAAATTTCTATGCTCTCATCACAAAAAATGATAAGTATTTGAGGTGATGGATCTGTTAATTAGCCTGATTTAATTATTCCTCATTCTATTCATAAATATAGCATCACTTTTAACACCCAAGATATACACAATTATAAACCGTCAATTTATAATTAACATTTTAATAAAACAAAAAATAATGTACAAGACAGCCAGGCACAGTGGCTCACATCTGTAATCCCAGCATTTTGGGAGGCTGAGGCAGACGGATCACTTAAGCCCAGGAGTTCGAGACCATTCTAGGCAACATATGAGACCCTGTCTCTACAAAAAATACAAAAAATTAGCTGGGCGTGGTGGCACACACTTGTGGTCCCAGCTACTGGAGAGGCTGAGATGGGAAGATTGCTTGAGCCCAGGAGGTGGAGGTTGCAGTGAGCCATGATTGTGAAACTGCACTCCAACCTGGGCACAGAGTGAGACCTTGTCTCAAAAAAATAATAATGTATAAGGAAGTGTGTAGAAAACTTTGGCTTGTGATAGTGAGTATATTAATATTGTTAAAAATGGGAATTCGGTCACAGCTTTTCATATACTGTACAGCCTCATTCAAATTATATGAATTCTTAATTTTAGGTAATGTAGACACGATGATTCTTACCGAAACACCTTTATTTTAGTACTCCTTATATGTTAAAGTATATGTTTAGTAATCCTTATATGTTAAAGGATATAATGCTTTTGGTGAGAATGGTGCTGTGTGGATCGACTGTGAGTCGCATTATTGCTAGTGTACATTATTTAATGTTCTTGCTTCTTAACCACCGCCTCCCACAGGTGTCTCTGTCCCCAGTGAAGGCATTCCTCAGAGCACTAGCAGCCGCATTCCCTTTGTTTCTTGGCGCACTCCTCTAGACTGTGAGGTCAGCAAGGTAGGGAGCTCACCCTTGTCTCTATTCCCAGCTCTAAGCACAGAGCGAGGCAAAAGGCAGACCTCAAATGTTGATTACATAGATTTTCATTTACAGCACATATGACCTTCATTTTCTTTTAAACAGTTCAACAGCCCAGCCTTAATTCAAATAGGCCTTCTTTCCTTTCCCTTTTTATGGTGTTTTTATGGTGGTTAAGAGCGGGAGCTTCAGGGTCTGTCTGCCGGGATTAAGCTGTGTGATTTAGGGCAGGTTACTTAACTTCTGCGTGCCGTGTCCTGGCAAGACAGCGGGCATAATAGTAGTGCCTATTTTACATGGATTTTTGAAAATTACATGAGCTAAGTAAAGCACCTAGAATGGTGCCTAGCACATAGTGAATGTTTAATAAATGTCTGCAGAAAGTAGCAGCAGGAGTGGGGCAGGCTTGGCTGTTCCGTTGCAGTGTGGTGAGGGTGCAAAGCATGTGCTTTGGAGTGGAGCTGAATCACCGCTGAGCAGCCATGGGCCTTGGGCACTCCAGTGAACTTGCCTACCTCAGCTTCTTCATCTGGAAAATGGGGGTGCTAATCACGCACAGCTGTTGGAGGATAAATGTGTGAATGTGGGGCATTTATTAATAGAAAGAGCCCATTTCTTCTTTTGTTTTCTTTCTTTTTTTTTTTTTTTTTTTTTGAGACAGAGTCTCAGTCCCCCAGACTGGAGTGAAGTGGTATGATCTCAGCTCACTGCAACCTCCGCCCCCCAGGTTCAAGCGATTCTCCTGCCTCGGCCTTCCCAGTAGCTGGGATTACAGGTGCTCGCCACCACGCCCAGCTAATTTTTGTATTTTTAGTAGAGACAGGGTTTCGCCATATTGACCAGGCTGTTCTCAAACTCCTGACCTCAGGTGATCCACCTGCCTCGGTCTCCCAAAGTGCTGGGATTACAGGCGTGAGCCACCGCACCCAGTCGAGCCCATTTCTTAGAAGGTGCTGGAGTCTCCCCTGCACCTGGGCCTCCTGCATTGTAGGGAACAAACAAGCACCTCTTTGGCATCCTGGTCTGATGCCAGATGGGTCCTGTCAGAGCTCCCAGGCCCTGGGGATGAGATGACCTCAGGGAACCTCTTAGCCTCATTCCCAGGACCTCTGCCTTGGGATGAGGGGAAATCCTTTCAAGCAGAAGTCTGTATTAGATTCCTCCATAAACTCCCAGCCCAATCTCAGAACCAAGCTGAAATGACGTGATCCAATAGTAATTACAGGATTTGTACGTATTTGGTACCATTTTGTTTATCTGCACATTGTCAGCGGGTGAATGAATTGTTCTAAGCAAGGTAATGTTCCAATGAAAATCTTCTAGAATATTATGCTGTCCTGGCCATTTGAAGCAGAAGATAAAAGACAGAGCTAATCTCAATTACTGTGGAGCCTCATTCTAAACAGGAGCCCTGGTGATGTCCTCTGACTTTGGATTGGGTTTTCAGTGCTATCAGAAGCTGACCTCCTGGGCTTTCTCCTTCTGCCTCCTTCAGCCTCTGCTAGTGGTTTGCTTCCCTGTGTCTTCACTGATGGGACCCTCGGAGTCTAGTCTTGCACTCATTGAATCTCCTGGCCTTACCTAGGAGAGCATTGTGTGGGCTCTATGGCAGCTACCCTCTGGTCCTCAGAAGCTTTTCCTTATTCTGCTCACAGTCGAGTTACAGCTGTGTTGCCCATGCTCATCTGCCCATACCCATCTGTAGTTGTTTAACAACTTTTTCATTGAGACTCCAACTTAGGCCAGTGTCTTAGTCCATTTGTGTTGCTATAAAGACATACCTTAAGGTGGGTAATTTATAAAGAAAAGAGGTTTCTTTTCTTTTCTTTTCTTTTGAGATGGAGTCTCACTCTGTCACCCAGGCTGATGTGCAGTGGCACAATCTCAGCTTGCTGCAACCTTCGCCTCCCGGCTTCAAGCAATTCTCCCTGCCTCAGCCTCCTGAGTAGCTGGGATTACAGGCACCCGCCAACACACCCAGCTAATTTTTGTATTTTTTAGTAAAGACAGGGTTTCCCCATGTTGGTCAGGCTGTTCTCGAACTCCTGACCTCAGGTGATCTGCCCACCTTGGCCTCCCAAAATGCTGGGATTACAGGTGTGAGCCACTGCACCCGGCTGAGAAAAGAGGTTCCTTTGGCTCATGATTCTGCTGGCTGGGAGACTGGGCATCTGGTGAGGGCATCCACCCCTACGACCCAAACACCTCACATTAGGTTTCACCTCCAACATTGGGGATCACATCTCAACATTGGAGATGGTGGGGACAAATATCCAAACGATAGCATCCAGGCACTGTGTCTGAGAAGAGGGGTGCTGTCCACACTTGTGCACACAGACATGTTCGCTCTGGATCTCCTCACACCAGCAGGGAATTTGTTGAAATGCAGATTCCGATTCAGGAGGTCTGAGATAAGTCCTGAAATGCCACATTTCTAAAATTTCCCAAGGGAGGCTGCTTCTTCTGTGCACGGACCACTTCTTTGCATAGTGAGGTTTATAGCAGGTGCACAGACTCAAACACCTGCCTGAGCCAGACAGGTGATGTTGCTGTGGAGCCCAGGTGTGGGACATGGGAAGTGGTGGGTCACTCACTGGGCCAGGCTCGCCCTTCCTAGAGGCAAGCTACAGTTTCTTTCTTTCTTTTTTGAGACAGGGTCTCGCTCTGTCACCCAAGCTGGAGTGCAGTGGTGCAACCTCGGCTCACTGCAACCTCTGCCTCCCAGGTTCAAGCGATTCTCCTGCCTCAGCCTCCCAAGTAGCTGGGATTACAGATGTGTGCTACTACGCCTGGCTAATTTTTGTATTTTTAGTAGAGACAGAGTTTCACCATGCTGGCCAAGCTGATCTCGAACCTCAGGTGATCTCAGGTGATCCACTCGCCTCGGCCTCCCAAAGTGCTGGGATTATAGGCATGAGCCACTGCACCTGGCAAGCTACAGTTTCTATAAAAGCACTGTTCCATGAATGAACACATCTGCACACTGAATTCAGCCTGGGGCACCTAGTTCAGACCCCTACTCTGGAGTCCAGATCTCAGAGGTTTGCAGGTAAACTAATCTGGTCACTCATTGAGTCCTTCTGTAGCCTCCCAGCTAGCAGTTGACTTGCTAGGACTGTTACAAGAGTGGGTAGCTGCAACTTTGGAACTGCTTGTCCCATTGTTGAGAAGACCAGATTAGAACTGTCTCCACCACTTACTAGTGGCGTGAATTTGAGAGGAAGGAGAGAGTGTGAGTGTGCCGGTGTTTAAGTGCCTGCAGTATTCTACGCTCTGTGCGTGATTCCATTTGAATCTTCTCATCTGTCTTGCAGAAGTGGTTCATCCGCTTCATTTTACAGATGAGAACAGTGGAGTTGAAGAGCTTAACTAACCAGTCCTGGCAGCCCAGCTACTACTTTGTGACGTGGGGATTCAAACTCAGGACTGCCAGCCTTCGTCTTAGTCCATCTGTGGCACTTTAACAAAATATCTGAGACTGGGTAATTTATAAATGATAGACATTTATTGCTCACAGTTCTGGAGGTTGGGAAGTCCAAAATCAAGGCGCTGGCAGGTTCAGTGTCTGGCAAGAGCCTGGTCTCTGCTTCCAAGTTGGTGACTTGAATGCTGTGTCTTCACATGGTGGAAGGGATGGAAGAGCAAAAAGGGCCAAACTCACTCCCTCAAGCCCTTTTATAAGGGCATGAATCTGATCCATGAGGATGAAGCCCTGATGGCCTTATCACCTCACAAAGGCCCTACCTCTCAATACTGTCACCGTGGGAGTTAAGTTTTGACATGTAAATTTTGGAGGGGACACTGACACTCACATCAAAGCCTTCTCTGAATAATACAGGGCTACTGTTTACTGTCTGTGTATGCCAGGCACATGCATTAGTTCTAATCTCACAGAAACCCTGCAAGGTGTGTGGAATTATTCCTATTTTATAGATGAGTAAACCGAGGCTCAGAGGTTAAGTAACTGGCCCAATGATACAGAGAGTGGTGGAGCTATGGTTTGAGCCCATATCTAACTGACTCCTTTCCCCTAACCCATGCTGCGGGGACAGCTGGTTTCTGGGGTCAAAACCTAGGGGTGGCCCGAGGATGAGGAGGGGTTACCAGAAGTGGGACTTCAGCCCTTTGTCACCTTTCTTTTGCCCAGGCTGGAGTGCAGTGGAGTCATCTCGGCTCACTGCAACCTCCGCCTCCTGGGTTCAAGTGATTCTTCTACCTCAGCCTCCCCAGTAGCTGGGATTACAGGCACCTGCCATCACGCCCAGCTAATTTTTGTATTTTTAGTAGAGACGAGGTTTCACCATGTTGCCCAGGCTAGGCTCCAACTCCTGATCTCAGCTGATCCGCCCACTTTGGCCCCCCAAAGTGCTGGGATTATAGGCATGAGCCACTACACCCGGCCTCTTTGTCTACTTTCTGATTGTTACCATCAGGATATGGCCACTGTGAGCCTGGTAAGGCATGGACATCCACCCACCCTCGCCCCGACCTGCTGAAGACATATCCCAGGTCCTGCTAATAGCAGAAGCCACAAAGGTGACAGCTATGGCAGAATCCGTCCCTACTTGGTGGAGCCCATGGAGCCACCTGTCAGAGCAGACACCACAGCTGTCATGGACGTGGGACTTAATTTCTTTCCTTTTGTCTCTGAAAAGTTTGTGATGTGGTAAGAGAGGAGCTGCAGGGAGCATGCATTTCCAAAGTTCTTTTGCTTTTTGTATGTTTGTTCATTTAACCCAGAATATACAATAAGTTCTATTTATGAGCAGGGATAAAAGTGGGGCCTATAGTTTATGATTTTTTTTTCTTTTTCTTTCTTTCTTTCTTTCTTTCTTTCTTTCTTTTTTTTTTTTTTTTTTTTTTGAGACAGTCTCACTCTGTCACCCAGGCTGGAGTGCAGTGGCATGATCTCAGCTCACTGCAACCTCCACCTCCCGGGTTCAAGCAATTCTCCCACCTCAACCTCCTGAGTATCTGGGACTACAAGCCCTCACCACCACGCCCAGCTAATTTTTGTACTTTTAGTAGAGACAGGGTTTCACCATTTCTCACCATGTTGGCCAGGCTGGTCTCGAACTCCTGGCCTCAAGTGATCCACCCACTTCGGCCTCCCAAAGTGCTGGGATTACAGGTGTGAGCCACCACGCCTGGCTGGCTTATGATTTCTTTATGATGGATGAAGTGAGATAGCCTTGTGTTCTCCCAAGTAACACACACATGTATGCACACACAGGCATGCACATGCATTCACATGTGTGTGCATCTGCAGAGGGCCAGACTTATCTTGAATGACCCTTGGGAATCTGGGTCTTCCACATATGAGTTTTCTCCTCCTTTGAACTCCAAATCTAGTCTTTTGAATATGCTTCAGCATGATTGTTAGGGAAATGGGGGGCAGTGCCTCTCCTGTGCTTGGCCCTATGTTCAGTCTGCACATGGAAGGTGGTGTGGGATTAGAGGAAATGGCCCAGAAGGCTGTAGTCTTTTAGCTAAAGGTTCCAGTGGCAGGTATCCCAGAACTTTGAGGTCAAAGGAGGTTTTGTTTAGCTCAGCAAATATCTCCTGGGAAAAACTTTCCCCAGGCTTGATTTCATACTGACCTCAAATGACTTGAATCAGACATGCAGGAATTATAGCTACAACAGAGCAGTTAAGATTACAGCATGCTTCAGAAAAAGATAAGTAAACACAGTTTTTATGTCACTTGCATCTTCCTCCATACCTGCTTGGTGACTTTGCACCTGGGCTATGTGATAGCCTTTTCCTGCCTGCAGCACTCAGGAATCACAAGCCTCCCAGAACCACAGAAACTTTTTATCTTTGAAGTCTGTGCTGAATTCTAGGGTCCTCTCCTGCTGCAGCCACTGTAGGACCCATTCAGGACACTTGTGACAGAGCACGGCTTCTCAGTGTGCACACAGAGATTGTGCTCCATTCCCTTCTTTTCTCCTTTCTGCTTTTCAAGGGAAAAGACTGACACCTGAGCATAGGCATCTTCACAGATGGAGGGTGGAAATTTATACACATTCTGCATTTTCTGGTCATGTTCCTCTCTGTCCTCTGGGTCCTCTAAGGGTCTTAGGAAAGGTGGGTGCCCTACTTTCTGAGATGCTCCTAGCTAGGGTCTTCCTCCACCCTCATCCCCTCTCGGGCTGGTTCCAGGGCCAGGTTCACCCATCCTGGGGGTCTGGGGGTCCAAGGATGGACTTCTTGGGAGAGCAAAGGGGTCAAGCCTAGTTGCTAGTTGCACAGATTGTTGAAGTTGGAAGGGCCTTAAACTACTTTTGGTTCTAGCCTCTCATTTGACAGAAAAGGCTTCGAAGGGTGCCCTTCACAACCCAAGGAAGTGGCTGAAAGGGCCTTGGGATCTACTCTGAGGTTGCCTCGTCCCACTTCTGTGACTTGGTTTAGGAACTTTCTGAGCTTTGGTTTTCTCCTCCATGCATTGAAGATGATACCTACTGCCTAGTTTTCTTGTGGGGTCAGTGATAATCCAGACATTCTACAGGGGAGAAATTAGCAGGTGTTCTGTTAAACTTAGCTCTTCTAGTCTCTCCCTTCTTATTTTTCTTATGATACCCAATTCTCCACATAGATCATCTTCCCCACTAGGCTATAAATTCCTGGAGATCAGGGACCCCATAAAATTCACCTTGGGTTTCTCAGCACCTGGGGACAGTGTCTGGCATCTACCAGTGAGGTTTCAAATAACTTGTATTGTGCAACCTGTCAGAGCACGAATGTCCCCAGGAGACTAGACAACGGCCCTCGGGGAAGGCCCCACAGCTGGCAAGTCTGGGACCTCACAGCCAGTTTCCTGCCGTTGGTCCCTTTCACAGAAGCACAGGAGCCGTAAGGTTCATGGGACTTTTATTTTTACTGTTTATTTTTTGAAAGCCAGTGAGGATGGGCAAGTGCTTGGTCCCTTCTGGGCTGCATTCCTATCTAAGACCAGCCCTCACCCGCCTCCCCCAGCCCACCCCCTACCTGCCAGCAGCTCAGATCACCCGGGTGAAAAATACCACCCTGTTGGCCAGCGTCCCTGTCAGCACCAGCTCCAGTGCCAGGCCGCAAGGCGATCTGAGGAAAGGAAGGGCCGTGATTCCCAGCAGGCCGTGGTTCAGCCCCTTCCTGGCATCCTCCACCCAGCCGGAGGGGCTGTCCTTCTCCCTTCCTGCCTTGTTGGAGGGGTGCCGTTCTGGGGTCTTTCCCAGCCCTTCCTTTCCTCCCCAGGTGGGATGCTTTTTCTCTCTGGGTGGGCCTGTCCTTATATCAGCACCAAATGATGCCCAGGTGGGTGGCCCTTGGGCACACCGTCCCCGCCTCCCCTCTCCCTGCACCCTCCCCTTTTCCCCGGCTGTCAGGATGAGGAGGGCACAGCGGTCTCAGAGGTATTGACCCTGAGGGTAAATCGGAGAAAGGAGGCCAGGGGGATTTCCGCAGCTCAGGGGCCGTCATCCTGCAGTGTCAGGGGCATTTTTTCTCCACTGGGATGTCCCACTTCCCCTCCTGGAGGCAGATTTCCTGCAGCCTGGGTTAGGTGCTCAGCTCTGGCCCCTCCAGTGGGACCCTTCCTGTGCACAGGTCTGAGGAGTGCACCTGGCCACTCACCTGTCTTTTCTTCTGCAGCCAGCAGCTGGCTTGGGGCCCAAGACTCTGGACTTCTGACTCCCCAGCCAGCTGCCTCCCTCCCTGGGAAGTCCTGCCCACTCCCCCCGCCCCAACAGCTGGATCACAGTGGCATGTCTGGGACCCCACAGCCAGTTTCTTGGCTGCAGAGCCTGGTCATTTTAGTCCTCTGTCCACTTGTGAATCTGCAGAACTGGCAGGCGAGGCCCGAGGAGGTGCAAGGGGCAGCGGCTTCCAGGTCTCAGGAGTGCTGTGCCTCCCTCCTGGCCTCCTCCTCCCTTAGCTAGGATGCCTGTCCCCTTTCCCTCCTTTTCCTCCTCCTCCCCCGCCTCCCCTCCTCCTCCCCTGCACCTGCTGCTCCTCCTCCACGCGCCCCTCATCCAAAGAAAGACTCAGTCCCTGCGCCCCCAGGAGCGTGGGGAAGGGGAGGGGAAGGTAGGCTCCTCGGCGTCCCCCCGCAGGCTGCAGCCAGGATCCCGGGCCTGGACGGCGGGCGTCAGACGCTGTGCGCTCCCAGGCTGAGCACCGAGAAGGCGGCGCGGTGCTTGCGCAGCAGCAGGCGGATCTTCTCGTCGTCCGAGTCGGGGTCCAGCGGCTTGTTGTACTCGTCGTCCTCGTTCTCCGAGGGTGCGCGGTCCCCGCCTGCGCCTGCACCCGCGCCGCCCGGGGCCCGGGGCGTGGAGGACGAGGGCTCCAGGGCGCTCTTCTTCCGCCACTTGGTCCTGCGGTTCTGGAACCACACCTGCGATGAGAAAGAATGTGAAGGGCACAGGGGCACAGCGCGCACGGGACGCGAGAACAGCCATCCTGCTTTTACAGCTAAACAAATGGCTCAACAACGGAGTGACTGTCACATTCACGTTTCTGTTGGGGAAGGACAATAAAATTTAAAAACGTGAGCGCGGCAGCCCTCCCCTCCGCCCCCCGCCCCCACCATTTGCTTCCTCTTCCACCGCCGCCTCCTCCCCCTCTCCCTCCCCCTCCCCCTCCCCTCCCCCTCCCCCTCCCCCTCCTCCTCCTTCTCCTCCTCCTCCTCCTCCTCCACCTGGGAACTCGGTGGAAGATGCGGAGTGCGCGGGTGGAAGGCTTAGCCCCGGTGCTCATTGGAAGGTGCTTATGAGCAGTCCCTACTCTGGGCTTCATAGACCCTCACCCTACTTCATAAATAATTGTTCCCCTAGTTAGTTAGAAAAGTAACGTAGGTCCATTGCTTGGGATAGTTGAAGAGGGCAGGAACGCACCCCAGAAGCAGAAAGACATGCAGGAGTGTCTGCTTCTTCCCCCCAGCTCTCGCCCCAGGGCAGCTGAGCGGCTGATGAGGAGGGCGCAGCGGGTTGGAGCTCGGGGAGGCCCCAGGGCCCTGAGCAAAGCCTAGACCCAGGTGCCAGCTGCCCCTGCTGCATCCTTAGGCCCGTCGCCGAGTCACTGAGCCAGCATCAAAGTGGGGAAAGTTGCCCCCAGACTCTAAGGCGGTAGAAACCGGTTTCCCCGGGTCTATTTAGGGGGCATTTGGGGCCCCTGCGTGTGGAGTGGGAGAGCCTGGGCTCACCCTCCCTAGCCCTGGCGTGGGCGACAAGGCTCCAGGCCCCTGAAGCCCATCTGATCCTGCTTAGTAGAAGGAGACGTTGTCTTCATCTTAAGGATTGGTAAACTGAGGTCAGCTCCTTTTGCTGACTGGAGCATCAAGCATGAATCTGGGCCAGAGACTGCCGACCGTGCTTGGAATTTTTGGCCAAATACGGGGGGAGAGGGAAAGCCTCAGGTTGGAGTCCCCCACATCTGGGGTTGAACCCCAGCTCTGCCAGCTCTCCCAGCTCTCCCAGCCGGGAGACACTGATCTTCATCTGCGAAATGGGTGATGATACCGACCCCCCGGGTTGCTGAGAGGATGAAATGAGGTGCCGCACATAAGGCTCTGAGAATGGGGCTCAGCCTTTCCCGGCTATGGTTAATTACCACAGGCTCCAGGGTTAGGCAGGCAGGCAGTGCCCAGACACCAGGACAGCTGCCCTCTGGGGGGCTGCGTTGTGTGGCCACCTCTCTCCAACGCAGTGGCCTCCTGTCCGGCAGGCTCCTCCCTGCAGGGCAGGTGCCATCTCCCGCACAGACTTACCTTGACCTGCGACTCGGTCATGCCCAGTGAGTATGCCAGCCGTGCCCTCTCGGGGCCAGCCAAGTACTTGGTCTGCTCAAAGGTTTTCTCCAGGGCAAAGATCTGGTGCCCCGTGAAGGTGGGCCGGGTGTGCTTCTTCTTGTGTATGCTGTCACTCAGGGGGTCTGGGGCTGGCAGGAGGAAGGAAGTGTGGGGTTAGTAGAATAAGTGGGGACCCTGCGGCTAGGCACGTCTGGCAGGGCAACCACCATGCCTGCCCCTCTCCCTCCTGCAGAGGTTTCCAGGACACCAAGATTCCTTTCCCCTGAGCAGCATTCTTGATATTGGGGAACAGTGACTGTGACCTCTGCCCCGCCTGGATGGGCAGGGCTCCGAGAGGGCAGCTGCCCTAGTGTAATGGGACTTAGGGGCAGCAGAGCCTCATGCCTCTCTGTCTAAAGTTCTCAATACTCGCTGATGTTGCCTTCCCCTGAGGGGCAACAGGAGTTCCCTCTCTGTCCCAGGGATGTCCCTTCAGGTCACCCTCCTCCTATAATTAGGGACCAGGGCCTGTGAATTCCCTCCACCCCCGGCTTCCGCCAACTTCCTTGCTCTTGAGACTCAACTTCCCAGGTCTCCAGGAAACCAGGGAGGGGCAAACCTGACGCCCCAAGCTGCCACTTCCCCATGTCACCAGGCCTGGAAGTTATGTGGCTTCAACCACCCTGGAGAGCCTGGCACAGAGGCCAGAGACCCTGACCCCCAGCCTGGCCAGGGCAGCAGGCTCGGGAAGGAGCTGTGGGCAGTGGTTCCCACATGTCAGGCCTCGTTCTGTGCAGTCTGACAGCTCAAGTTACAGGTGAGGAAACTGAGGCACAGAGAGAGGAAGAGCCCTCCTGAGAGATCATGTTCAAGTCTCTCTGCCTTTGCCTTCATTAGCCACTGACTTTCTTGGCTATGTCCCTGTGTGTGTACCTGCATTCAGGACTGAAGAGGTGGTGTGTGGGATGTGGAGAGGGGAGGGGGAGATGGAGGGAAGAGAGAGTCAGCTGAGGCTTAAAGCACCCCTGAAGCCAAGCCTAAAACAGGATCTGAGAGAGGAGGCCTTCACCCCCAGGGGCACAGCGATGGGTGGCAGCCCATGGAGGGGTGGCTGTCAGGCACTGTGACCGGCAAGGCAGAGTAGCAAATGGGGGGACAGGTGTGCTTTTGGGGTTCCCTAGGTTGGCCCCAAGCCCCCATTGGCGTAGGAGAGCCCGGAGATCAGACAGAAATGGAGGCCCCTGCCTGACGTGGGCAGGGCTTCGGTGGCACGGAGAAGATTCCAAAAACTCTCACCTCCCTGCCTCCCAGCAGAGCCTCACCTGCCCTGCCACCTCCTCCAGTAACCCTGACTGGCATCACGGGCCCACCCTCTGAAAACCTTGGCTGAGGGATGGGTCGGCTGAGAAGAGGCCCCCTGCTTCCCCACAGCCAAGGCCAAGTTCAGCTGGACTCAGCAGCAACTCCCCGAGACAGGCTACTTGGTGTGGCTGCTGTTGCTAGAAACCCGAGGATGTGGTGGGCAACAGCCCCCTGGCTCAAAGGCTGGACCCGGATGGGGTCAGGGTGCGTTCTGCACCCTTGAGTGATGCCAGGGCTCTCTGGGAAGGTGAGCTAGGACATTTTCCTCACGGGGGTAGCATTTGCCTGCTTTGGGTGAAGAAGTGGTTGCATGGGCCCTGGGCTGCAGAAGCCAGCTGGGCTGCCTACTGGACCTCGTGCAGGGCAGGCGTGGGCTGTGGGGCCTTCTCTACATCTGGAACTGCCGGGGGCCCTAGGAGGGCAGCTGAGGTGGCTGGCATGTGAGGGGGGTGGCTCAGACACCTGTGTCCAAGCACTGCTGGATGGGAAGGAGGAGAGGGTGGAACTCAGCCTGCACTGAGCTGAGGCTACGAGTCCAGGGGTTAATGGCGACTGGGGGAGAGGGCGGAGGTGCAGGGTGCCCGGGAGGAGGCCCCTCCTCGTCCTCTGCCCCCCGGGGCCTGGCGGGTGCCGGGAGGTGGCTGGGGAGGACCCGTACTCACTGTTGCTGCACTGCCGCCCGCCTCGCCAGTCTTGGCCCGTGTCCGCCCAGCAGTTCCGGGTCCGGGTCGGGTACTCGTTCCCAGCCTTGGAAAAATTCCCTACCTGGGGGCTGTAGTAGACCCCCTGCGAGCTGAGCCCCCCAAAGCCTGCCACGTGGGGGTAGCCGGAGAGGAGGCTGTTGTTCGGCGCAGCCACGGGCCTGCTCAGGATGTCCGTGATCCCGTGGGGGGTTCCGGCGGCCAGCTGGGGGCCCAGCCCTGGGGGGCTGAGCTTGTAGAAGGAGTTCTGCACAGAGTACTGGCACACCGGGGCCTTCATCTCCGGAAACTGAGCCAGCGGCGTGTTGTTCAGCAGGAACGTCCCCTGCAGGTTGGACTCCATGATCTCCCAGTCAGGACAGGGAAGGCTTCTCCAGGCCCCTAAAACCCAAGAGCCCACTCTCTAGCCCCAAATCTCATGGCAGGCCTGGAGGCTTAGGACCGTCTCCGAGCTCCTGACTGCCTCCCACCTAAGGCATGGGCCAGGCCCTGGCCCAGGAACCGGCACCCGATCAGCTGCTCGGAAGTCAGGTGCTCGGGGCAGGTGGGAGGCCTCCCCAGGGCTCCTGGCCTCTCTCCTTGCCCTGGCCGGACAGGGTGGCCCCCTAAGCCTCAGCTCAGACCCCCTTTCTGCCTCTGAGTCGGGGGACCCTCCATGAGAAGTTTTAAGTTCAGAGAAGGAACATTTCCCTGATAAAGATACGGCCCATTAGAATACAGGCCGGAGACTGGCTGAGCCGCCGGAGCCGCGCCGCCATTGGTCGGGGCGCACACGGGCCTCACATTGGCTTTTCCTAGACAAATTGCACTTTGAAAGATTGACTGTACAATCAGCCAGGGTGTGTGTGTGTGTGTGTGCGCGCGCGCGCGCGCGCGCGCGTGTGTGTGTGTGTGTATGCGCGCGCGCGCGAGAGAGAGACAGAGAATTAGCTCTAGAAGCCCTACTCATCGCCGGAGGGTCCATTTGCTCCCCGCAAGTCTAGCATCTAGGAAAAGGTGAGCGTCTGGGGGCCCCTGGAGGCTCCCAAGGCAATTGGAAGTCACTGTTCCTACAGCTGCTCCCCTAGGGAAGAGGAGGCTGGACTCAGAGGCCACTGTCCGGAGCTGCGCCGGCCCCTTTATGTGCACATGTCCAAGCTCCACAGGAGAACGCAGCCGCTTCCTTCCCTTCCGCATGCGGGGATGGGGTAAGTGGCATAAGATGGGGGTAAGTGCGGGGATGGGGTAAGAGGCTGAGTGGCATTGCTTTCTGGGGGATGCAAGTCCCTGTGGCTGGCTTGAGAGCCTAGGGTGGGAGCCTGCTGGGAAGAGGGCAGCGCGGGGCGTAGGCAGCCCTGACAGTGCCGGGGTGTGAGTCCTCCAACTGCAGGAGGCTGAAGAGAGGGCCGCCCTGCACGCATGTTCTTGCCTCCACCTCTGGTCGGCCTTCCGTGACCTCCCTATCAGAATCTCTTCCTCATTTGTGCCTCTGCTGGAGCAATGGCCATGCTCTGTCTGGCGTGGTGCCCGGGTTTGAAATCCCTGATGGCTGAGAGGGTGGTGGAGCCCCGTGCCGGGCACTCCGTCGGTGCTCAGTTAGTAGTTGATGCAGTGGACTGGGCTGAATCACAGAACATGCATATGCTTTTTTTTTTCTCGAATAAATTTTTACAACATACAAGGCTCTATTGGGGGAAGCTCTCATTTTACAAACAGGAAAACCAAGGTATAGAGGAATTGGAGCCCACTTTCCAGGTACATGGGTGATTTCTGGACCAGGCAGGATTCTTCCCTGCAGTTTTTCTCTAAAACTGGAAACTAGCATGCCACTGGCCTGAACATGTAAAATGCTAGGAAAGACTGTGACTGCCAGACAGATGGACTTCTGCTCCTCTCTGTGCCTGGTGGCCCCAGAGCCCTTCCTGACCAGGCGTGGGCTCTGCAGGGCTTGCTCTCTCACTCCCCAGAGGCCGCCCTGGTAGGTGGGAGACTAGAGGCACTGCTTCACTGAGCTTCTCCTGGGTTTCCAGGCCGTCTTGGTTTTCAGTGGGGAGCAGAGGACCCAAGGCTCAGGGCAGGATTCCTTCTCATGCAGAAGTTGACCCTCTGTAGCACAGGGATTTAGGTTATGCAAGAAAGATCTCACAAAGGGTGTGGAATGATTCCCTACAAATTTGGTTTAAAGAGAAAAGAGCTACGTCTTCGTCTGAGATGGCTTTGCCACCAGGTCGCGTGCCACAGCCATCTGGTAGACCTGGTTCTGGTTCCCGGTGTCACCACCCAATTCCCCCCAGGCAACTGTGATTCTGAAACTGCATTTTTAAAAGCCCCATGGGTGCTGCAGATGACCTGCTGCGGTTGCCCACTGGCCTGAACGGCCTGTCCGATTCCAGGAGAGAGGCTGGGAGTGGGGTGGGGCTGGGGTGCTCCAGGGGCCTTGGGATTGTGACTCCGTCATCCCCTCATGATGGGAATTTATGTGGCAGGAAAGCCGCAGCCAATGATTTGATTCTTAATTAATGCCAAGCCTGACAAAGGCGTTGGTGTCTGGCGCCCCTAGGATGAGAAACTGAAGAGACTTTAGCAACCACCTAATCCATTCTCCCATTAGAGAGATGAGGAAACTGAGGTCAGCTTGGTGACCAGCCTTGCAGGAAGTGTTAGCAACTAGTTAGGAATAGGGCAATTTTTTCCCTACAGCAAGAACAAGTTCTTGAACTTTGAATGGCATTGAGTACTGGGGCCAGATGCCTTCCTAGGGAATGCTGGGGGGCCCCCTCAGTGCATGCCAGCTGGGGGCCTGGCCAAGAACCCTGGTGGGTTGTGGTGGCCCCTCCCCAGACCCCCAACTTCTCCCCATCTCATGGGAGCCATCAGGTGGAACAGAAAGCTACTCTGCCACCTCTCTGGAGGCATCTCTCAGGTGGGTGGTCCTGATTAAAGGGTTGTCCAGGCTTCTGGGAGGACTGGGCATTGGCGGGCTCTCTGGGACCTGAGCCCCACCCATAGACTCCTTCACATCACAACCCAGGCTTTACGCTGGCCTCAGCACCCCTAACCCCCCAAAGACGAGCGGGAAGGAGAGATAGAGCCCTGTGCCATTAGTCCATTTCTTTATTAATTTTGACATTGGTTCGGCTGGTGAAGGGAGAATGGTCTATACATCAGAGTAGGGTAGGGGATTCTCTCCCATAACAGAGCATGTGGGAGAGTCAAGAAAAGATCCATTTTCATAACAATTAAAAAAATCAAGGTAATTTCAAAACTTCTAAAAAGCGTCTAATGTGCAGACTGCAGCATTCTCTAGGCATCGTGTGGAGACCCCAAACTCCTCCCCTAACGGCTCCTACTAGCAGCCGGAGCGTGCAGCCATGCCAGCCGGAGCAGAGGTGCCAAAGCGGAGTCTGGAGCTGCGGGGTCCGCGGGGGCGCTAAGGGGGCTACTGGGTTGGCTGCAGCAGCGACCTGGGAGAGGAAGGTGCAGGATCGAGGCGGGAGAGGCGAGCCCTGAGCCCAGCTTCCTTGGGCCGTCACCGAATCGGTCCCAGCCGCGCTGTGCGGCCCCCCTGCCGTGGCCCCCGGGATGGGGGAGGATGGAGGGGGGCGCCTCTGCGCCCTGGAGGCCGGGCCGGGGTGGCCTCTGGCGGAGACGGCAGCCGTCCGGGCTCGCCCTGCAGCTCCTCCGACGCAGCCTCGGGGAAACTCAGGCCCGGAGCTAGAGCTTCCTCTCCCTGCCCGCCCCTCTAAAGGAAGCAAAAGCAGCCCCACCCCCGGCCGACAAGGCGCCTAGGCCGCCCCGGGGCCTGCCTGGCCGGGGGTGCACCGGGGCGGATTTGTGTGGGAAGCAGGGCCCCTCTCCGCTCACAGGCCCCGCGGCCAGGGGGCCTCTGACGTGGAGGGGGCTTCTGTGCTACTTGGAAGGTTTAAGTGTGTCCCGAGGACACTCCCGCAGAGCGGCGGGGCGGACGGGGCCGGGCCGTCCACACCGCGGCTCCAGGGGCGAGAGGAGCCAGCCCTGTCTCTCTCTCCTGGCCCTGGGGGCGCCCGCCGCGAGGGCGGGGCCGGGATTGTGCTGATTCTGGCCTCCCTGGGCCGGAGGCTCTAGTGGAACTTAAGGCTCCTCCCTGATGGCACCGAGGCGAGGAACTGCCAGCTGTCTGTCTCCTTCCTGCCTTGACCCAGAGCCTGGCCCCGGCCTCTGGGCGTCCAGGCTCTCCGCCTCCGACTCTACTCTCACCGGCCATGCGGTCCGGGGAGCCCCCTGGCTCGCCTCTCCAAGAGGCCACAGGGGCTGGGCAGAGGGGAGGCACTGAGGCAGGACAGGGAACAGCCTCGAGCCTGGCACCTGCACCCAGGGTCCCCAGCCTGCAGGCTGCCTGGACTTAGAGCACCAAGTTCACTCTGGGAGACCCTGGGTGGTCCTGACTTCTAAGACCTGGCAGATACATTCACTAGCCCTACTCCTTTCCTTCCTCTTTCACTGAAAGACAGGCCACAGCTCCTTCTCCTGCAGCCGCAGAAGTCCTCAGGAGCTGCGCTGTCAGGCTCTGTACGTACTGCTAAATGTTTCTATTGGTTTGCATAGTATTTATTGTTTTTCATATACACAAGGCTGATTACTGTACAGTTTACACTTTGAACACGGACTATGATATAGTGCTTGAAGACATAGAAAACCTCTTCTCTATGGACATGCTGGTGCAATCCTGGGTCAGCCACCGGCCTGTCCCCCAACTGAGAGAGGAGACCCTTTCAGATGGGGTCCTGGCTCCCTTTGAGTCCTACAGGTAAGCCTGGGGGTCCTCGCCTCAGATTCTTAAGTCCCTAACACAAGGAACCCCGAATGCACTCTTCAAGGTAATGATTTTCCATTGGAAGATGATTCGTATTGAAATTGGCAGAGAGAGAGACAACATAAAAAATTCCAATTTATCCACAGCAGAGTCTATACAGCTTCAGAAGTCACAGTAAAATCTGTGTGTAGATTCAGTGGAGGCGAGTGGTGTGTGTGTGTGTGTGTGTGTGTCCTGAATGTCATGTAGAGCGATCTGGGAGGAGCGTCACCAGGGAGTCGAGGGGGTGTCACAAGTGGAATGGAGGTATGTGGGTTGGGGAGGGTGGGCAGATGAGGACATGGCTTAAGATTAAGGTGTTAAACTGATTTCATGCCTAGTTTTCTTTTTTTTTTTTTTCTTTCCAGGAAGCCCACATGGATTTCTGACAGATGAGGTTGGGAAAAAGTACCCTGTACGAAGTCAAAACAATTTAAAAAAAAAACCCCAAAACCAAAACCCATCCCCAGCCACAAAAAGCCCTCATTCACTTTTGCGTTCGCAGGCTCTCCTGCGCTTGTTTTCTATCCCTCTCTCTCCCCGCTTCTTGCTGCTTTTGTGTCCTGGTTCCGACAGATCAGCTGTCATTGCAAGAGGCAGGATTGAAGCCTGGAGGTCATGCGTCTACAGTCAGTCATTCATGCCAAGAGGGGACTAGCAGGAGTCCCTTACAGAGGTCATGCCGTCAGCCCAGAGGAATGTGTGCACCGCTGCGGTGGCCCTCAGGTCCAGCTCTCCTCCTGTGTGCATGGCAGAGTGTGTGGGGTTCAGGGGTTGGGTGTCGAGGTGTGATCCTGGGAGACACAAAGAGAGAAGGAGTCACTTAGAATGCAAAAGTGCAACGTCCAGCAAAAACCCCACACACAGAGTTTTGTGCTGGCAGCTCAGGCCGAATCTGACTCAGGAAAAGCAGTCTCCCCAGGCAGGGCGATGTGCTGAGGGTGCTGCACTTGCAGCCCGACTTCCTGAGATGCCGCCCTCCTTCTCTTGCTCCCTATGCAGAGGCTGTTCCTCAGAGCCGCCACCCAGGCCTCATGAATTCCTTCTGAGTGTGCAAGTGTTCCAGGATGCCTCTCTGTATGGGCCAAGGAGAGCACTGTGCTCTGTGCCCTTGGAGAGGGGCAGAGGCCCCCGTGCCTACGTGGTCACCTGGGGAGACATCCCCCAGCAGATCCTTGTACTTAGGAAGAGCCATTTTTCTTGAGCCAGGGCTTGTGCCAAGAAGGGGCTAGGTGAGGCTAGGTGAGGCCTTCACTTTCTCAGTTCAGCTCTGCCAACATGCACTGATGTCCGCCATGCGCCAGCCTTGGGAACCCAGGGATGGAGCGGATGTGCTCCCTGGCCTTGGGAGCTCATGCCTCAAGGGTGACAGCTCCCCTTCAGCTCTGGCCCACAGCACTTCCTGACCGCTGCCTCTGGCTGCTCTCCCCATGCCCCTCAGATGGACAGAGATCTCTGAAAAGCAGATGCATCCTCCTCTCCTCCTCCTGTATTGAGTCTTAGGCTGGAAAAGAGCAGCTTTGCTGGAGGAACTAAGCCCACATTCTTCAGCCTGGGATTCGCAGTGAGAAACCTCTCCTGCCCCCATGGGGCCTCCAGCCTCCAACCTGGGGTGAAAACTCCATGTTTTCAAGACCAGCCACTCATGTTCTATCTGCAGGGGCCCTGGGACCACTGGGGAAAGGAGGATGCTTCAATAAGGAGGAGGTGACAATCTCTTGGGCAGGGTGGGAAGTGACACAGGGAGGCAGGAGCTCATTCGGAGGTGGAGCCATCCCCAGACATAGAGCTGTTTTGGGTCCTCCAGGTGAAGGGGTTGGGGAGGAGTGTTGGAAGGGAGTAGGGAGAACTCAGCTCTTGGGTGGTTCCCCAGGGATGGGAGGGTGGTGCCAGGTTCCTTGCCAGGGGCTGCTGTAGAACTGTAAAGCCAGGAACTGCTGCTGCAGTGGGTGGACAGTGCTGCCACCGTAGAGGGAAGATGCTTTCATCACTGCTGGGCCATCACATCGGCCAAGTCTGACTGTCTCCTCTAAGCCTCTGAACACGCTCTACCCTCCTGTTCTCTGCCTTCGGTCACGCTTCTGTCAAGGCTGCCTTCCATTCTCTTTTCTGCAGAGGTTCTGCCTGCCGCCCTCAACACCTCCACCCCACAAAACCTTCCTGATCCTTCCTGGAGCAGGCCCCTCTCCACTCTGGAAGCTCTCCCTTTTGTATTTTGTAAAAATACAAAATACAAAAAAGAAAAAAGCTGCCTTTTCTGTTCAGGAGATGGCAGAGTCGAGTGGGTAAGAGCATGAACTCTGGAGCCAGACCACCCGGGTTCAAGTCCCATGCTGCCTGACCTCGGTCAAGTGCCTTACCTGCTCTGTGAGTCAGTTTTCTCTGCTGTAAAATGAGGGCAGTAATAGGGCCTACCCATTAGAGAGGTGTGATGTTTAAAAAAGCTAAGACACATAGGTGCTTAGCATTGTATGAATGCAAACAATTACTTGGCTCTCTAGAAATGTTACCGTCTCTGTCCATCTGTGCTTTTTGATGTCTGCATATTTCCCTGACTAGATTAGAAACACTGAGGGCAAGAACAGCCTCCTGGTGCTCCCCACGGTGCCTGCCCCAAGAAGTGCTCCTCAAATAAGAGACCATCATGGAATATGCAGCCTGGGAAAGACAGGCTAGGATCTCCCATCTACTTTACCGCCCAGGCACTGAGCAGAAGAGAAAGTTCAGACCTCAGAGATCATGCTGGCATGACTGCCCATTTCATCCCTTGGTAAACTGAGACTCTAGAGGCACAGTGGCAAGAGCAGGGGTGAGATGAGGACCTAGGCCACCTCACTCTGCCCAGGACTCCTGCATTGTTCTGGCCTCTTCTCCTGGGTCCCCTCACCTTTCAAAAGCTTAGAAAAGAGTCTCTTTCATTCTTTATTTTTATTTCATTTAGAGACAGAGTCTTGCCCTGTTGCCCAGGCTAGCGTGCAGTGGTATAATCATAGCTCACTGCAGCCTTGAACTCCTGGGCTCAAGCGATCCTCCCACCTCAGTTTCCCAAGAAACTGGAACTACAGGTGTATGCCACCATGTCCAGCTAATTTTTAAACTTTTTTTGTAGAGACAGGGTCCTACCACATTGCCCAGGCTCATCTCAAATTATCCTCCTGCCTCAGCCTCCCAAAGTGCTGGGATTACAGGCATGAGTCACTATGCCCGGCCCTAGACAGCCCTTTCACAAACATAAACTCAGCAACCATCATAACCATCCTACAAGGGAAATGCTGGCATTATTGCTAGTTTATGGCTAAGGAACCTGAGGCTTAGGGAAGTCATTTGACTTGCTCCGAGTCACACTACAAACAAGACCTGCAATTGTTTGAGTCCCAGAGCATATATGTTCTTATTTACTCTCTTCACATCAGTGCTCACAGTTACCATTATTATTTCTAAACCTTTTTCTTGAAGTGTAGCACATTCGAAAGGGACATTTTCATCCTCCCTTGAGGAGACTGAAGCTTAGGGCGGTTAAATGACTTAAGGCCATACAACCTGGAAGCAGGAGGAGGCCTTGATTCTAGACTCACAAGCTCCAGCTTTCACTCTCTGAAACAAATACAGCCATTTGCCATAGCTCTGTTCTATAAATTAGTCGCTGTTTGAGGCTGTGCACAGTGGCTCATGCCTGTAATCCCAGCACTTTGGGAGGCTGAGGAGGGCGGGTTGCTTGAGGTGAGGAGCTCGAGACGAGCCTGACCAACATGGTGAAACCCCGTCTCTACTAAAAATACAAAAATTAGCCAAGGGTGGTGGCACATGCCTGTAATCCCAGCTACTCAGGAGGCTGAGGCAGGAAGATCACTTGAACCCGGGAGATGGAGGTTGCAGTGAGCCGAGATAGTGCCACTGCACTCCAGCCTGGGCGACAGAGCGAGACTCCCTCTCAAAATATAAATAAATAAATAAATAAATAAATAAATAAATAAATAGTCGCTGTGAACACGGAATTAGCAAATACTGAACCACTGCTCCTAAGGGAAATACAAGGTTAGGCTCCCATGAGCCTCTGGCCACAATATTTTGGTCAACTGATGAATACATAACTTTGTGTTAAATGCGTTTCTGTTTCAAGACGCCTTATGTAATATATAGGGTTGACTCATTAACACTGACTTCACCACCACAAGCACTCTAACTCATCCCTGAGCAGAGCTTATCTGATGTCCATTCCCTCCTTAAGGAACATCCCAGCCTTCTTGCACTTCGCACCAGACAGCACTTCAGCACTGCCCTCAGGGGCCATTCTAAACAATGAAACCAAAAATGTGAAAAATGTGGCACTACACAAGCTGCAAGGAGGACACTTATTTATAGTATGAGGCACAGAGGCAGAGTGTGGCATTGTTCATCCTCAGCTGGGATTGCACGGGTTGGGCGACTCAAACTTTCTGCCCTTGTGTGTGTGTCCATGAATGAGCCAAAGCACGGTGAGTGCCAGCTTTGGGGCTACAGATAAATGTTAGCGAGTGGACGAATTCGCAAATGCAGAATCCGTGAATGATGAGGATCGACTGTACATGCTTGTCGGGGATGCGGATAGTAAATTAGGAAGCCTTTGGGCCCTCAACCGTCTTCTCTGTAGCCTTTGCCCTGGTTGGGAGGGTAGGGCATTTAATGCTGTCCCCTAACCCTCTGGGACTTTGGCAGGAGCTTTTCTCCGCCTCTCCCTCACCACTGCTCTCGCCCCACCGCCCCACCCCCCTGCCACCCTCACACTTGTCCCTGTGCCTGTCACTGACAGAGGGCCAAGTGCTGTCCCAGAGCCAGGCTGCTCCGTGTTTCTGACACCCATGCTAGTGTGGTCCGGTCCTTAATCACCTGAGGTTGGGGGGCTTCAGCCACATTGCAGATCACTTACGGCAAATTAAAATGAAATTCAAGGCTCCCTCCTTCCCCCTAGCCTGGCTTTCGGGCTGCCTCTCTCCCACTCAGGAGCATCCATAGAGCCTGAGCCAAAGAGAAATTTAAAGCCACAGCCGCCACTGCTACCATAAGAAAAATAAGTCAGAAAAGTGTACTTTTCCTTTCCCTTTGCTGCTTTTAAACATTATTTGCATCTTTGGGTTCTTTCCAGGACCCAACAGCAGCTACTCAGAGTCTTCTAAACCAGCAGCCTAGTGGGACCCCTGGCAGTGCAGGGGTTAACACGGTGACCTCCTTAAGCTGCTGAGGTGTCAGGTCTAATTTTATCCTATAACTGGATCTGCCAGTCCTCTTTTTTGCCCAAGTGCTGAGATATATTGGGAAGCCCAGAGTCAGCACTTTTGGTGGCTCAGGAGGCAGCGGGCCCTGATTTTTGCCGAATGCAGAAAGCTAGAGCCTCCTTGCTGCTCGGTCCCAGAGTCAGGCCCTGGGGTGTGAATGGTAACGGCCTGGTTAGTGCTGCACTGGGGCCACCATGCCCCCTCACCTCCTGCTGACTCCCACCCCGAGGTATCCTGTACTGAGCTGCCCCGAGCTGGGCAGCATGAAGGGCCTCGGGGCAGCTCAGTACAGGATGCCCCAGGGAGGATGGAGATCAGAGCCGGCCGCTGAAGCCCCCAGCACCACACACACCTGCTGGAGATGGTCGCACAGCGTCTTCATGTCCCTTCCTCATGGCACGGCACGGCACGGCATGCCCCTGCTCTGTGGCCACACTGCCCCATGCTCACACACATGCACCACAGCCCAGGCCCCGGCCCCAACCCTGACGGTCTCCTGACTTGCAGAAAGCACGTCGTCCACCCCTTAGGCCTGTCGGCTCAGCCCTTTCCTAGAAAGCAAGGGAGCAACGTGTTTCACAAAACACCAAAGAGAAGCTAAGCCTTGGCCTGGTGAGAACTGTAGCTGGGCTCCAGGTTCAAGAGACAGTCCAGTCCTCAGTCTTGGAGCTCTTATGTTGAAGCATCACAGCCCAGACCAACTCTCCTGTCCTCTTCAATGCCCTGTCCACTGCTTTCTAGATCCCCATTGCTTGGTTTCCAAGATAATATTACCACTTAGATTTACAGAGTGCTTTTACTTTTCAAAGAGCATTTTTTTCTTTCTGGCTTTTTTTTTTCTTTTTTTTGTGATGGGGTCTTGCTCTGTTGCCCAGGCTGGTCTTGAACTCCTGGCCTAAAGCAATCCTTTTGCCTCGACCTCACAAAATGCTGGGATTACAGACATGAGCCACTGTGCCCGGCCCAAAAGGCATTCTTACAAAACCGTGCGGTCCCTGATAAGTGGATATTATTAACTCTGTTTCCTTGATGAGGAAGCTGGGGTTCAGAGCCAACTGTTAGCAGGGTTGGGAAGTGAGAATCTCTGCCTCGAGACACAACAACAAGTTGTTTGTCCCACATCATGCTGGGGTGGCTGGGAGGGGATAGGGTGAGACAGGGAGCAGCCACTCCACTGAAGACCAGGCCATGCAGAGGGGATGAGAAGGGCAGCGTTACCTCCCGAGAGGCTACTCCAAGGAGAGCGGCTCGGGGTCACTGTTTCCCCCTTTTCAGGCTGGCCCGCTTCACTATCTGCGCCCCCTTCCTGCCCTCTATCAGGTCCGGCTGTAGGCCACTCCCTCTCAGCTCCACCTGCAGACAGCAGCAGAGACAGAAAGCAGGACAGATCGCAAAGACGGGCAGAACACAGGCAGAAGATCGAAAGGAGGCCACACGGAGGTGGCAGACACACTGCCCACCAGGGAGAAGAGAGACTGGAGAGAGAGCTCATAAAGAGGTGAGTGGAGGGAGGTGTCATGCAGACGGCCCGGCAGAGCAAGGCAGCAGTGATGGCGCTGGGTCCCCCAGGGCCGCGGGCGCCTCAGTACCTTGGAGTGTTTCATAAAGTAATCAATATCGACCTCCAGCTCACTGGGATCCTCCAGGGGCCCCTCTACAGTCACCTCCTCGTGCTCCTGGGCGGCATCGGCGCTGGACAAGTCTATCTGTCGAACCACCTTGCGAATGATCTAGGAAAGGAAGGGAAGGAGGAAAGGGCTGGTCAGGCCGGGCTCGGGGGCTCATGTCTGTAATCTCAGCACTTTGGGAGGCTGACGTGCAGATCATCTGAGGTCAGGAGTTTGAGACCAGCCTGGCCAACATGGTGAAACCCTGTCTCTACTAAAAATACAAAAATTAGCCCGGTGTGGTGGCAGGTGCCTGTAATCCCAGCTACTCAGGAGGCTGTGGCAGGAGAATCACTTGAACCTGGTGGATGGAGGTTGCAGTGAGCTGAGATTGCATCACTGCACTCCAGCCTGGTTGACAGAGCAACACTCTGTGTCAAAAAAAAAAAGGCGGGGGGGCTGGTCAAGCCCTCAAGACAGAGCTTCAGAACAGCAGTTCCCAGGAATGAGCTCCGAGGGGGAGGTAGCTTTTGTCCTAGGAGCCCCTCCTTGAGAGGCCAAGAAGAGGGACAGCCTTTGCCCCATTGCTTAATGGAAAACCCTCTGCTAGACAGCCCTGAAGGGGCCTTGGCAGTGTCATTTCATGACCAAGGTGTGACTGGGTGTGACCTCCCCCTCGAGCCCACAGCCTTCTGTTTTGCTTTTTGATATGGATGGGAGTTTGTGCTCTTCCCCATTCTACTCCCATGAGCCTAAGGGCAGAGGGCATCTCTTTTTCACCCACCCATTCCCGTATTCACCTGTCCAAATCTTCAAACCCTTTACTCTGTATCTGCCGTGTGCTCTGAGTGGGAGGTGAAACATCAGTGAGACACTGTCCCTGCCTGCAAGCAGCTCACAGTGCAGGAGGCAAGACAGACGCACAAGGAGCCTTGCTCAAGGGTGATGAGAGCTGCGCCTAAGCAGAAGCACATTCGAGATCCTGCCTCAGCTCCTCCTCTATTTTACCCATAGCTAGCACCGTGCCCCACACTTGACAGGCAAGGTCATGTCTCTGAGTTAATATCTGCTACCAATCCAATGCATTTTCACTTCCTTTTAATTATTTAATTATTGTGATGGGGTCTCACTCTGTCACCCAGGCTGGAGTGCAGTGGCTCAATCATAGCTTATGCAGACTTGAACTGCTGGGTTTAAGTGATCCTTCTGCCTCAGCTTCCTGAGTAGCTGTGACTACAGGCATGCGCCACCATGCCTGGCTAATTTTGTGTGTGTGTGTGTCTCTCTCTCTCTCTCTGTGTGTGTGTGTGTGTGTGTGTGTGTATTTATTTATTTTTTAAAATTTTTTTTAGAGATGGAGTCTTGCCATATTGCCCAGGCTGGTCTAAATGTCTGGGCTCAAGCGATCCTCCTGCCTTGGCCTCCCAAAGTGCTGGGATCACAGGTGTGAGCCAGCACACCCGGCCCACATTCTTTTTATTTGAGGAGGCCCATGGTAGGCCAGGGATGCTCAAACTGCTTGTTTAACAGCTGTTTTCAGGGTTAGGCATCATGGGACTAGGTCTGGGATGTTTCCTGGGGGCTGGCCCTTCTGGAAAAGAGCAGCAGAAGCTATTCAGGTTGACTCAGACAAAGCGGTTGTGAGGACACCATGACTGGACTGCAGATGACCAAAGCTCCCAGCTCCTGGGCCCTCCATCCCTCCTGAGCACGGGGGCAGCCAGCCTGGCTGTGCTCACCTGCTGTGAGGGCAGCAGGGAGAAGCCACTGGCTTCTACCACCTTTTAGCTTCTAGCCCACCTGCCTCTCCCCAGCACAGAGGGGAACACTCTGCACCCACCTTCTTGGTGACAATGTTGCCCTGCTCATCCGTGAATTGCTCCTCTGTCACCTGCTCCCCTGGAATATTCTGAAACTCATTCCCCTGGAATTAGAGAAAGGGAGAAAATGCAAGATTGGTGAGTGGGAGTCTGGGAGGAAGGGTGGAGGACGAGGAAATGAAACAGCAGTAGCCACAATAGCCATGGCCCAATAACTCCCCCAGCAGGAAACCCGGCTCAGCATGTAGCAGGAGCCATGCCAGGGCTCCCAGGGCGTGGGCGGCGCCCCTGAGGGTCTGGGAGGCCTGAAGACGAACGGTCGAGCTCACAATTGTGCACTTGGCCCTCACAACACCCCCTGGGAACCTGCAAAATGGGGGCAATTATGCAAGTCTGACGGAGGAGGCCCTGAGAGAGGAAGTGAGGCACCTGTTTCCTATTTTTACAGCACTTTGCAGTATAGAAAAGCCCTTCGACAGGCAGCATCACCCAGAATGTGACTTGCTTGAAACCCCAGAGCCAGTTGGTGACAGAAACAGGACGATCCGGGTGCAATCCCATGGTGGCTCACGCCTGCTATCCCAGCACTTTGGGAGGCCAAGGCCGGAGGACCACTTGAGCCCAGGAGTTCAAGACCAATTTGGGCAACATAGCGAGCCCCCATCTCTACAAAAATTTTTTTAAAATAGCCAGGCATGGTGGTGTGTGCCTGTAGTACCAGCTACTCAGAAGGCTGAGGCAGGAGGATCACTTGAGCCCAGGAATTTACAGTAAGCCCAGGTTACAGTGAGCCATGAGCATGCCACTGCACTCCAGCCTGGACTAAACAGCAAGACTTCATCTCTAAAAACAAAAGAAAAAAGAGAAGAGAAGAGAGAGAAAGAAGAAAGAAACAAAGAAAGAAACAGGATGAGCGCAGCCTCCCGAGACCCAAAGCTGAGTGTTTAATGTCACTGTCACAATGCACTGGGCACCAGAGGGCAGGTTCTGGTGGGCGCACACACACTCTGGCTCCCAGGGTGGAACATGATCCCTGGGGGCCTCCTGGTCCTTTTCCTCCGGCGTCTCCCAACTCTGGGTCCGGAGCTCCCCACAGCAGCGTCCCCTCAGCCCCGGCCTCCGGCGCCCACACCACCAGCCCTGCCGGCCTCCTGCCAGGCGGTTACCTTCAGGAAGACCCGCCGCCGGACCACCCTGGTGGAGATGGTCTCCTCGTCGTCACTGAGGCCCTCGCTCTCCCCCAGCTCCTTGTCCAGCTCCTGGTGGATGTGCTTTAGCACAAAGCACAGGGACCCCCTGACAATGTGCATCACGTTCTGACAGCTGACCAGGAAGAAGCTCAGCAGCACCAGCGTGACCAACAGCTGGGTGACGAAAGTCCACATCCTCGCCTCCTCACCAGCCCGGTCCTCTGGCAGCCAGGGCCCCGGCCACCACGGGGGGCCTGCCTCTCATTCTCCACTGGGACTCCTGAGTCCCCCAGGGACCCCTTGCATTCCCCCTCCCTATCTCTCTGGTTTGCTCTCTTGGTCTCTCACTGTTTCTCTCTCTGTGGGCAGGACACCGAATGGCCCTCTCGGCTGAAGCAGCCCGGCCCAAGTGCCCTTCTGCCCAGCAGCCAGGCTCTGCCCTGAGTGGCCCGGGTGACATCACGCTCCTATAATTTTACCTCCCCAAACCAGCTGCCGGAGCTGTCCAACCGGGCTAGAAGGAAGCCGGCAGGTGCCCATGTCCTGAGCACTGAAAGCACAAGTGAAAGTCACTGTGTGAGTGACACCCGCTGCTGCCTAACCCCGCCCTGCCCAGAGACCTGGAAGTGGGGGCTCGGCCTCTCACCTATCCTGCCCATCCCCATGGGAACTAGAAAGAGTTCTGCCCAGGGAAAGTTTCTTACTTTCAGAAAATAATACAGTCCGAGAAAGCAGCTACTTGTGTGTCTCCTTGGGCTGCTACTGCGGTGATCCAAATGCTGTTCCCCGGCATGGTAGGGATGAGACCAGCTAATACCCTGGGTACTTAGCGGTCTGTTTCAAAAATTGCTCCAAAAGGGTGAGTGATGGGCTCAGGGACAGTCAAGTGAGCCCAGCAGGGGCCCAGCACAGGTGGTGGGGCCACCTGGAAGCCGGTCTGTAATTCCTGTCAGCCCACAGGCCCTTGCACCCTTCCTTTATGGGGTACAGCCTCCCAAAACTGAAGCATGGAGCTGGTGTGTCTATTTAAGGCCTGTTCTTAAAGGCTCTTCCAGGGCTGGGCTATCAACGCCCACTGAGCAGGAACAACGCGTATTAAACTTGTATTTACAGAGCTGATTCACAAATGTAGCCGCAGCAGCTGCGGCTGGAAAAAATTTCACTTTCTAGATCAGGTTGTTCCTCTCTGAGTGGCAATGCAGCATGGCAGAAAGAACACAGATCTGGGACACAGCAGACTAACCCTGCAACTCACCTACTGTGGGGTCTTGGGAAGGCTGGGGACCTTCTCTGTGCCTCAGTTTCCTCATCTGTGAAGCACGGATTAAAGTGCTCTCCCCACCCTTTCTCAAGGCTGCTGGGACAATCATGCCGCTTATGAATGCTAACACTATGAATGATAATGGCAAACGCTTGTGATAGTGCATGGTTCTATGTGGATTTCGCATTAATTCACTGACACCTCACCACAGTCCTAACCAAGGAGGTTCTATCGTCTTCCCATTTTACACAAAGGAAACAGAAGCAAAGTATTCTGCCTAGGTGGAGGAGTAAGTAAACGGAGGAGTCACATTCCAAATGCCTCTCACTCCACAATGCTGCTTATTTCAACAAGAAAGCACGGGGAAAAGTATGTGCAAAGAAGCCGGGGAAGCATCTGGTTTTGGCCCAGTCAAGAAGAGTCCAACTTCAGATATTTCCTCCTAAGTCCTCAGAGAAATCAGCTGGGTCACAGTCATTTCAGGCCACCTCCCAAGTCCCAAGTTACATGCAATCTCTCTATCTCCATCACTGTTTTCAGAGGTCCAGTGGAAATACTAATAAGTGGGTGCTTTGCAAACCATCAATCACCTTCAAGGGCATCCTTATCAGCCCTCGGGGCCTGTGAGATGGGCACCGGCAGCAGCCTGCCAGGCCCTCTGATCGGCGTCTCCAGTTCCAGGCTGGGCATGCTGGCCTTGCACGTGCATGCTGGACGTGAGGATGTAGGGCTTGGGAACTGAGGGATCTGGACCCTCCTGGTCCCTGACATTGGTCCACTGTGTGACCCTGGAGAAAGCCCTTGGCTCCTCTGGTCCACAGTGCCCTCATTTATAATTGAGGGAGTTGGATGTGTGATCTAGAAGGCCCTTCCAGTTCCCCTCACCAAAGGCTGACCACAGAGGGGCAGTGGAAAAAAGTGCTGTAGGCGTCTTTCTCTTTCCCCAGGGATTCAGGAGAAGAGACCCAGTTAAGATCATGTGTGCTCTGGGAGCAGGAGAACTAGGCGCCCAGGAGGGCCTGATGGAAGAAACGGACGGGCCGCCTGTGGTGAGGAGTGCACACAGGCGCTGGCCCTGCCCGGGGCACATACTTGGCAGGGGAGCATTCTAAATAAAACCTGACTGAATTCCTAGCAGTTCTATGGCTGGCAGCTCAGGGCCTTCCTTCCAGAGCCACCCTAGTCCTGGAGTCTAAGGTTGAGGTAGGAAAGAAGGGAGACAAGGAAAGAAAGAGAGGAAGGAGAGGAGAGGAGGAAGCACCATGCCTGGATGAGGCGTGAAAACAGAGACAGAACATGTCGTTCATGTACATACTAAACACACGCATGTGGAGAACAGTGGTGCATGTTTTATAAGAACACAAATGGAAAAGACACCCATTAATACGATGGCCAGGATATGCTTCCAAATAATAGTCAGTGGGAGAAAGTGGGGGGTGCAGATGAAACAAGATTGGCCACGAGTAGATCATCATGGGGCCTGGGAATGGGGAAGGGGGATTGAATCGAACAAAATAAAGTTCAACAAACTCGAAGGGAATCCGGGGAAGTGGAAGAAAGGAGGGAGGGCCAGGAGAGGGAGAGGCCTGGGAAATCAGGAGCAGGAGAGGAGACTTCTCTCTATCCCAGGGCCCCTCTTCTACTTGGTGACCGCCATCCAGAGTCCACGTGAATAGCCACAGAATTCCAGAGCCAAGTAACTTTGGCGACATTCCAATCACTCCCTCCTTTACCAGTGAGGACCCTGAGGTGCTGGGAAGAGAGCGCCTTGGGCACGTCACCCAGGTCACCATAGGAGGAGAGTAAGCCCAACGCCCAGTGCTCGGTTCCTAGCCCTTTCTAAAACGCGACAGAACAAGAAAACCAACAAAAGCCACAACTTTGGAGTCAGCGAGACCCAGCTTAGAGCCCACTTCTGAAACTGTGATCTTGAGCAAGTTGCTCAGCCACTCTGATCAGCAGCTGCCCAACAGGTACAGGCGCCTTAGCAGGGATCCAGGAGGCAGAAAGGCAGGCCTTGCCCTTGACTTCTAGAGAAACGGAAGCACCACCACAAGTGTTAAAGGAAGGGGATATGCTTAGCTCAGGGCTTGAGTGCCTGAGAGGCAGCCCTGGAGTCCCGGCCCCTTCCGATGCTGGGAAGGAACAGCAGCACGCAGCTCCCCTCGGGCTCTCACCTGCACCACTTGGGTGAAGGTGTTCTTGGCCTCCTGCACCTGCTCTTCTTGGCCTTGCTGCCTCCGGTCCCTGTCGGCCTGGGAGCTCTCAGCCTCGGGCTGTTCTGTCCACGTGTGCTCACTTACAGACACCAGGACCTTCTCGTACTCCTGAGATCCACCGGGCTCTAGCCCTTCAGTCATGGTACTTGTTCCCTGGAATGAGTGTGGACCTTGCGTGACCTCCTCTTGCCAGGAACCTTGTGCAGCATCTTGCAGGTATGAGACAATCGAGCCGTCTGCATCCCAGTCCTGCAGTCTGGGGTCCAGAAGAAGCAGCAGATGGCCGGCCGGGGAGAGAGAAAAGACACCTGGTCACCCATCAGTCTCATTCCTTTTAGACACTCTCCCCACCCAGAGCTCTGGCTCATCAAGGACACAGACCGTCCTCCCATCCCTCCAAAGGTCAGGGGCGCATGAGCACATTGCTCACCTCACTGCTGTGGTTCAGAGGGGTACACGTGGCCCATCTAATGCTGTCCAGGTGGAAAGGCCACTGGTCCCTCCCTGTGGGTGAACAGCTTGCCCTTGGGGCTCCCAGAGCACTTGGCTCACCCTAATGGTCCAAACACTGGGGCCTCCACACTCTCATCCCACATCCTCAAACTCTGCCACCACCTCCTTCTGCTCTCCAGGCCCTTCCCACTCAGCAGTCCTCATCTGACAAGGTGGTCATTCTCTCCCCCTCAAGACACATTCTCCCGTGGCTCCTGGAAGGTGCTAGCCTGGCGTCTCCCCCTTCCTCTCTGGCCGCTGTTGTTCCATGTCCTCTGCTTGTTCCTCCTAGCTTTCCTGACTTCTGAACATAGGAGCACCCCGGGGTGCAGTTCTCAGACCTCACCGCTGTCCACATCCACTTCCTAAGCAAGCTCATTCATCCCATGGTTCCAAAGCCCATCTCTACACTCAGCGTGCCTGGATGTGTGTCTCCAGCTTGGCTCTCCTCCTAGACCTACAGCTGTGTGCACCCCGCTGCCTCCTCCACATCTTTACTTTGTTGTTGTTTTCTGAGACAGGGCTTCATTCTGTCTCCCGGGCTGCAGTGCAGTGGTACAATCACAGCTCACTGCAGCTCTGCACTCCTGGGCTCAGGCGATCCTCCTGCCTCAGCCACTTGAGTAGCTGGGACTGCAGGCACACGCCACCACGTCCAGCTATTTAAAAAATTTTGTAGAGATGGGTTCTGGCTCACAGGTCTACTTTGGATCTCTACTTGGCATCTCCAGGACAGTGCGATCCAATCCACACTCAAAATCTTCTCCCCTAGCCTGTCCCACCCCATCCCTGCTGCCATCCCTGGTATCTTCATCCTTGCAGTGGGCAGGTCGAGGACACCACTGCCCTCCTTGACCCCTCTCTTCCTCTCTTACCCCACATTGTATTTGTTAGCAGATGCTTCTGAAATATGCCCTGCACCCGCCCACCTCTCAGCACGGCCACCGCTGCCGTCCCAGCCCACAAGCCCACGGCCCTTTCCTCCCGACACACCTCCTGCTTCTCTGCCAGGTTGCGCCAGCCTCCTCTCAAGGCAGGTGCAGCTTACCCTGCTCACCATTCCCTCCCTAGCTTCATGGGCTTGGTTACTCTGTTAGGGCACGTGCCAGGCACGGTCTCCTTCAAAGGGCTAGGCCTTCTGTGGGGCATCCTCCCTGAGATGTCCTCACCCTCACCCTCAATTCCTTGAAGTCTCTCAGCTGGCACTCATGCAGGCCTCCCCTGGCCACCCATCTGTAATTCCAGTCAGCCTTCTTTCCACACACACGCCTACCTCCTGTCCTCCTTCTCTGCTTGATTTTTCTTTTTAGCACGTATTATCTAGAATTTCTGTTTTAATGACTTCTAATTTTATTTACTTTATCTTGTTTCTAGTTAGTTTCCCTGCTAGAACCACGCTTCTTGCAGGTAGAGACTTTTTTCTGTTTCATTCAATGCTGGCACCCAGGCACTCTTTATTGGTGCCTGGCACACAGTAGGCACTCAATAAATATTGTTGAGTAAGTGGATGAAATTCATCTGTCCCCATGAGAAGGCTGACCAAGGTCACAGCACCAGGAAGTGACAAAATAGGCCTAGAGCCCAGGCGTTCATGAACCCAGTTAGCAACACTGCTGCGGTAATGCAGGGGCCAGCATGCAGCCCCTGCAGGTGCTCAATAAATGCTTGTTGAAGGAATGGCCGTCCCAGGAAGGTGTCTCTCTCCCGGGAAGGCCACTATTTCACTTTAAACCAGCCTAAGCTCCATCTGTTCAATCCTCCCCATGAATCCAAAGATTTGTGTAGGAAAAAAAATTAAATCTTTGCTGTCTCAACTTCCAAACGACTTCCTTTCCCTTCCTGTTAGGGTATTGGGGCCAGGCTGCATGGATCCTGTGGAATGGCCCCACTAGCCTGGGCCTCAGGGTGGGACTGAGGGGTCACACAGGTGGGACTGAGGGGTCACACAGGTGGGGAAAGGACATGAGAACAGCTTTCCTTTACCTGACCAGTCCTGAGCTCCTTGGGGTGGGGGCCTGGAACAGCTGCCTGGGGGCACAAGAACCATGTCCTTACTTTAGGGAAAACTCAGCAAGCCAAGGTGACCTGGAGGAAAGGGGATTCCTCTGTCATCCGCTTCCTGTGCTAGCCCAGGAGGACAACGTGAGCCCCATCTCATGTCTGTCTCATCTCTTTCTACAATGGCAAGGGCCTGGCTTGTCTTGGCATCCTTCCCTGCACTCAGCGGAGGGGCATGGTGTAGGCCCTGGCCCAGATGGGACGATGAGAGCTCCAAGGTGAGCCGGTCCTCGGCCGCAGACTTGCAGTGTCTGGGAAATGCATCACCTTCTCCTGACCTGCCGACGCTGCTTTTCTGCTGCGGCACAGGGCGGGGGCTTCTCAGTGCGGGAAGCGTGGGGAAGAGAGCACCCACTGCTCTACAGCTGAAAGCTCCGTCCTGCCCCAGTTAAGCCCACCAGCCCCTCCTTCAAAGGGGGTAAGTGGGGAGGGCGCCATTATCAGCTCCGTCACATGCAGGCTGTGTGACTGCACACAAATAACTTCCCTGGGTACTGGTGCTTCTAAATATGGTCTTCAACTAAATATGGCCTTCAACCGGAAGCACGCAAGGGGAGAGGAGCTCCGAACGCCAGCTCCAGCAGCAGCTGACCCACGGTCTTCCCCAGCCTCATGATTGCTCTTTTAAGTGAGCCATCCTGGTGCTCTAATGTCCCTAAGTGAGCCCTTCCCGTGCACTAATGGCTCTAAGTGAGCACTCCAGGTACCCTAATGTCCCTAAGTGAGCTCTCCCGGCACCCCGATGTCCCTAAGTGAGACCTCCCGGCACCCCGATGTCCCTAAGTGAGCCCTCCCAGCACCCCGATGTCCCTAAGTGAGCCCTCCCGGCGCCCCGATGTCCCTAAGTGAGTCTTCCCGGCGCCCCGATGTCCTAAGTAAGCCCTCCCAGTGCCCTAATGTCCCTAAGTGAGCCCTCCCAGTGCCCTAATGTCCCTAAGTGAGCACTCCAGGCACCCTAATGTCCCTAAGTGAGTCCTCCCGGTGCCCCGATGTCCTAAGTGAGCCCTCCCAGCGCCCCGATGTCCCTGAGTCCTCCCGGTGCCCCGATGTCCTAAGTGAGCCCTCCCAGTGCCCTAATGTCCCTAAGTGAGCCCTCCCAGTGCCCTCATGTCCCTAAGTGAGCACTCCAGGCACCCTAATGTCCCTAAGTGAGCCCTCCCAGTGCCCTCATGTCTCTAAGTGAGCTCTCCCGGTGCCCTAATGTCCCTAAGTGAGCCCTCCCGGCGCCCATATGTCCCTATGTGTGCTCTCCCAGTGCTCCTCGGGGTCTCTCCTGCCGGGCATACCTGGTGGGGTCTTGGGGAGGCACTGGCTTTTGCAGATGGCACCTATGCTCTTATATATGGCATCTGCCAGACTGAATGTATGTGCTCCTGTGCAATTAGAACCCAGGGTCAGGGTTGGCATCGACACCTCTGTCCTCACTGCCAGGCATAATCTTACCCAGGAGCCCAGAAGACAAAAAGGGACCCTGCTCCCACAGTCAAGCTCTTACCTGTCCTGACTCCTCTCCGTCACCTGACTCACGGTGGGGGAATGTGTGATTCGGGCTTGCCCCCTCTGATGGCCTGAAACAAGAGACACTTCATTCTCTGAGTCCTGCCCTGCACCTGTCGCGTCATCCTGCCTCTTAGAACCTGGCAGCTTCTCTTCTGACCTCTGACCTTCCTCCTGTTCAAGCAAATCGATAAGGCCATTTGTGGCATCTGAATCCACTGTGTCGTCCTCCACAAGTTCCAGAGAGCCCAACTCGGGGCCCCGCGGTTCCTCTGAGAGTGCCCCCTCCAACTTCCACTCGTGACCTGTGGCATCAGAGTCCTCAGCCTTGCTACACTCCAGAGAGGAGTCCTCAGCAGTGACCAGAGAAGGCGTGAGGCCCGCAGACCACACCTGCATGTCAGACATCTCCAGCATGGTGTCATGCTCCGTGGCCGCCAAGGGGATGGCGTCTAGGACGGCCACCTCATTCCAGTACTGGTCTGCACGTAGCGGAGAGGAAAGTGCACAGCCCAGGGAGGCAGGGGACAGCAGCTCGTCCTGCAGTGAGGAGTAACCTGGATGGGCAGACAGAGGGCAACATGCTCCAGCAGTGATTCCTGTCCCACCCATTCACGTGCAGGTCCACGCACACGCACGAACACACACATGCGGGTGCGGCCACAGAGATGCATGCACATTCGGGGTGGGTTGGGGGCTTTCCAAGCTCCAGGCCCAATGCTCAGGCCTTGTGGCTGCTGCCTGGGCATCCAGGCAAGAGAAGCAAGGCTCTGAATTGGGTGGGGGCAGCCAGGGTGTGAGGCAGAGATGGGGGAGCGCCCTGCTGGATGGCGAAGAGGAGATTGGACTTTCTTATCCAGTTCAGAGCACTAGATAAAGAAGCCTTTATCCAAAGGACTTGTGCTCCAATCTGTCTCTGATCCCATGAAAGCTCCACTTCTCCATGGCTGGGCAGAAGTAGACGTTGCTCCTCTACTCAAAACTTCACTTTAGCTTAGCTCTTAGGTTCTCAGGGATGTACCTTAAAGGGAAGGAAAGGCCACCCAGAACCAGGGGTAGTAACCAGGCTGCCCTTGAGGGGCCTATCAGGGTACACTAAACACCCATAGACCTCACTGTGGTGGTCAAATGGGAAACAACCTTCTGGTGTGGCCAGGCATCACTTTCCTCAAGTTGCCTATTGGTTCCAGAAACTCTGCATGATCTAAAGTGCTACAGGGGAGGGCTCTTAGGGCTCAAAAGGGGCAAGGTCAGAAGGCACCAAGAGGCACCAGGTCTGCCCGCCCCAAAACCCTGTGTCCAAGAGCCCTGAGCTGCTTGTCCCAGCTGCAGGTCAGCACCGACCTGGTGGGATGGGAGCCAGCTTGCTCAGGCCCTGAGTGCATGACCCGTGCATTGACAGGAAAAAGAGGACTCTGATGCCCCTTCAGAGCAGGTGCCTCTGTGGGTGGGAGAAGAGACTAGAAGACAAGATTCTCCAATGGGCTTGGCCTGTCTAGGAAATCAGGAAGCAAGTACGTGCTTACAGCAGCTGGAAAGCCCACAGAGCTGAAGGGGGACCCTGGGAATGGGCAGGGCTGCCCCTTGCAGTCTCTAGGGACCTTCCTGCCATCGAGAGATGTCCAGACACCCCCAGCCTAGAGTTCAAACCTAGTTCAAATGCTCCATTCTGCCATTCAGCCCCTACCCCCACTCCTACTCACATGCAACTGCCCCCGGGCTGTGCTTTGATTCAAGCCAGGCGGGCTCCTTTCTTGCCCCCTCAGCCTCCGCTCGGGGCCTCAGCCTCCGCTCGGGGCCTCAGCTCCTGATCACCTGCTCCCCTGCTTTTACATCACTAGCTCCATTTATTCTCATCCACTCACTGTTCAACCAAAATAAGAGAGGTCCGATTACATGCCAGGCACTGTGCTATGGGAATGGGGATGACAAACCCCAAACACACATGCACACACACACACTCACACACTCTCTCTCACCCACACACTCACAGATGGGACAGCTTCTTGTCTCATGGCATTTTCCCAGCTTCAGCTCCTGTTGCTCCCTCCCATCTCTGAGGCTGTCCTAGGGTCCCTCGCTAAGGCGGTTCTCAGAAATGCAAACCCATGAGGACAGGGCTGATGCCTGCCTTCCTCGCCCCACCCTTTCCTACAACAGGATTGGGCCTCCACTAGCCCCATGACCACTGAAGAGCTCTCCAGGTGTGTGAGAGGACCCAGCAGCTGGAACAGAAAGACCTCAGGCACATTCAGTGGAACTGCAATTGCTAACATGTACCTGTGTGTTCAACGTGCCCGGAGCCATGCTGTGTACTCCGCATGCATTCTCTTAATCTCCCAGGGAAGTTTTCTTCCCTGCAAGCCTACTTGGTTCCAGGTCCCAAATGAGCGGGGAGGATGAGCCCGTGAAGGTGGGGTGGTTGGGAGAAGGGCTGCACAGCGGCAGAGACTGAGGGAAACCCCTTTTAGCTCTGGCCAAACTAGGAAGAACAAGGAGGAAGGAGTGGGAAGAGTAGGTGAAATGGGTGGGTCACATCTTACCATGAACTGAACTCCAAGTCACTGTACATGAAACTGTGACTTGAGGAATTATATAGCTGACCAGGGCCATGGCCTTCAAACCCTTCATAGAAAACCCTCCACATATACAAAAGCAGGACATTTTGGGGTCAACTGATGATTATTTTTCTTATTACTCTTGCGAGCATTTTATATTATTTACATCAGTTACTGAGCATTTTGTTGTTTTTTAAAGCAGAGTCTTGCTCTGTTGCCCAGGCTGGAGTGCAGTAATGCAATCTCAGTTCACTGTAACCTCTGCCTTCTAGGTTCAAGTGATTCTCCTGCCTTAGCCTCTCCACTGGGAGTAGCTGGGATTACAGGTATGCGCCATGACGCCTGGCCAATTTTTGTATTTTTAGTAGAGATGGGGTTTCACCCTGTTGGCCAGGCTGGTCTCGAACTGCTGACCTCAAGTGATTCGCTTGCCTCAGCCTCCCAAAGTGCTGGGATTACAGGGTTGAGTCACTGAGCCCGGCCACTGAGCGTATTTTTAGTGCAAAACATATCTAACATGTTTTTAATTGCCACAACAACCACATGAGGAAAATAATATAATTCCTACTTTATAGATTAGGAAACTACAGGTTTAGCAACTTGCGGAAGGCCATACAGCTAGTAAGTTTGGTCTTTTCCATAGACTTTGCCATTAATCTCTATTAAAAATAGCTTTGTTGAGGTATGTTTGACATTCAATAAATGTGTATCTTTAAAAGGGGGTAAATTGATACGTTGTGACACATGTGTACCCCCATGAAGCCATCACTTCAAAGAAGAAAAAGGACATTTGTCACCCCAGAAAGGTCTCCTCAAGCTTCTTTGTAATCTCTCCCTGCCCTTTCCCCCTCTGCCAACCCCAAACCATTCCCAGGTGACCCCGATCTGCTTTTTGCCACTACACATCAGTTTGCATTTCCCAGGATTTTACATAAACGGATTCATACAGTATGCACTCTCTCTTTCTTTAAAGCCTGGCTTCTTTCACTCAACGTAGTCAATTTGGGTTTCATCCATGCTGATGCATGTATCAATAATTTATTTCTGTTGCTAAGCCATAGCCCTTTGGAAGGATATATCACAGTTTGTAAATTTATTTACCTGCCAATGGACATTTGGGCTGCTTCCAGTTTGTGGCTATTACAAGTAAAGATGCTAGTCTGTATGGACATAATGCTTTCTTTTCTCTTGGGTAAATAGCTAGGAATGGAATGACTTGATTGTACAGTAGGTATATGTTTAACTTTGTCAGAAATGATCAAGTGGTTGTACCATTTTGCATTCCCACCAGTGGTGTATGAGAGTTCCAGTTCCCCCATATCCTCACCAACACTTGATATGGCCAGCCTTTTTAATTTTAACCATTCTTTTAGGTATGTGGTGGTACCTCCTTATAGTTTTAATTTGTATTTCCCAAATCACTAATGATGTTGAGCATATTTTCATGTGCTTATTTGCCATGTGTATATATTCTGGGTGAAAAGTCTGTTCGAATCTATTGCTCAATCTAAAAACTGAGTTGTTTTCTTATTATTAAGTTTTGAGAGTTCTTTGTATATTCCAATACTATAGCAGATGATTATTTGCCAATATTTTCTCCCAGTCTGTAGCTCGTCTTTTCATTTTCTTAACAGTGTATTTTGAAGAGCAGAAGTTTTGATTTTGATGAAGCCCAACTTGTCAATTTGTTCTTTTATGGATTGTGCTTTTGGTGTTGTATCTGAGAAATCTTTGCCTTAACCAAGATCTTTAAGGTTTTTTTCTTATGTTTTCTTCTAGAAGTTTTATAGTTGTAGATATTACATTTAATCTATGACCCATTTAGAGTTGATTTTTGTATACAAGGTAATAATCCAAGTTCATTTCAGTTTAGATTTTTTGCATAAATGTTCATAAATGATATTGGTTTGCAGTTTTCTTGTTAATTGTCTTTCTTCCCAATATCAGGGTAATGCTGGCCTCATAAACTTAATTGAGAAGTATTTTCTCATTTTCAATTTTCTAAACAAGTTGTTTCTTCCTTAAATGTTTGGTAGAATTCACCAGTGAAGCCATCTGGGCATGGACTTTTCTTTGTAGGAATGTTCCAAACCATACATTTAATGTCTTTCATTTATATGGGGCTATATCTATTTCTTCCTAAGTGAGCTTTGATAGTTTGTGTCTTTCAAGGAATTTGTTGATTTCACCTGTTTTCCAATTTACTGGCACAAAATTGTCATAATATCCCTTTATTGTCCTTTTACTACCTATAGAATCTGTAGATATTCTATAGGTAGTATATATTCCTTATTCCTGATATTGGTAATCTGCAGGTCTTCTCTTTTTTCATAATCAGTCTGGCTAGAGGTTTATCAATGTTATTGATCTTTTCAAATCACCAGCTTTTGGTTTCATTAAGTTTCTCCAAGTTTTTCTGCTTTCTGTGTCACTGATTTCCACTCTGATCTTTATTATTTCCTTTATTCTATGATTTTGGGTTTAATTTACTCTTCTTTTTCTAATTTCTTAAGGTAGAAAAGTCTTTATTTTGCTTTCATTTTTGAAGTTACGTGTGCTAGGTATAGAAGTCTAGGTTACTTTGGAGATGTTATTTCTTTCTTCTTTAAAGATGTGGCATACTTTAAAGATGCCACACCATGTTCTGGCTTCTGTTGTTTCTTTTTTTCCCTTTTTCTTTGTTTTTTTTTTTTGAGACAGGATTTCACTCCCGTTGCCCAGGCTGGAGTGCAATGGTGCAATCTTGGTTCACTGCAACCTCTGCCTCCTGGGCTCAAGCGATTCTCCTGCCTCAGCCTTCTGAGTAGCTAAAAGTACAGGCACGCACCACCATACACGGCTAATTTTTGTATTTTTTGTAGAGATGGAGTTTCACCCTGTTGCCCAGGCTGGTCTCGAACTCCTGATCTCAAGTGATCCACCCACCTCGACCTCCCAAAGTGCCAGGATTACAAGCGTGAACCACTGCACCTGGCCTTGGCTTGTGTTGTTTCTAATAAGAAATCTGATGTGAATCTTATTTTGGTTCCCTTGTACATAACACATTTTTTTCCCTCTGATTGCTTTTAAGATTTTTCTCTTCACCACTGGTTTTGACCAGTCTGCTAATAATGTGCCCTGATAGAGTTGCTCACGTGTTTCCTGTGCATGCAGTTCATCAAACTTGTTGGATCTATGTCTTCATGATTTTTATCAAATTTGGCAAGTTTCTGTCCATATTTCTTTTTTTTTCTTTTTCTTTTTTTTTGCGTTGAGAACTCTGTCACCCAGACTGGAATGCAGTAATGTAATCTCGGTCCACTGCAACCTCCACCTCCTGGGTTCAAGCGATTCTCCTGCCTCAGCCTCTCAAGTAGCTGGGACTACAGTCA